>NC_000016.10:53653409-53956439 GCF_000001405.40 Homo sapiens
GGGGTGATGGATAAGTTTATTATCCTGATCATGATGATGGTTTCACCGTTATATACAGAGGCCAACCAAATATCACCAACGTGAATATCTGCCTTGCTTTTCTGTGAAACTGCTCCAGAAAAAGCCAACAATAATCAATTAATTGCTAGACGCAATGAACGCTGGTCCTTGTATTACTTGATTTCTTTACTACATTTGACACTGATGACAATCTCCCATTAGTGAACTCTGTCTAACCTGGACTTCCATGTATGTCATCATCTTCTCTGCTTCTCCTCCTATCCTTCTTCTCATTCTTTTGGGATTTCTCTTCGTCTGCTAGTTTTCTGGGCTTCTGTTTTTAATTATTTTCTTAGTCTACATATTCTCATGAGTGATCTCATCAACTTTTATGACTTTTGTCATTATTAATATGCTAAAGGCTTCCATATTACTATTTTAAATTCATATTTATCTTCTCAACTCCATTCCTATATTTCTAAAGTTTTGTTTAACCCTCTATGTATCTAGATATCCCACACAACATATTCAAAACAGAATGTATCATACTGTCTTGTTTTTTTGTATGTTTTGAGACAGATTCTCACTCTGTCACCCAGGCTGGAGTGCAGTGGCGGAATCTCGGCTCACTGCAACCTCTGCTTCCCAGGTTCAAACGATTCTCCTGACTCAGCCTCCCGAGTAGCTGGGATTACAGGCACCTGCCACCACACTCGGCTAATTTTTAAAATATTTTTAGTAGATGGGGTTTTGCCATGTTGGCCATGCTGGTCTTGAACTCCTAGCCTCAAGTAATCCATCCGCCTTGGCTCTTCAGGTTAATAAGCTTCTACCTCATCAATCAGGGTGAAAACAGGGCCTTCACAATTTTGTTCCTTATAGCTTTCTCTCCAGGTTCTCCTCCTTTTTTTGACTTTCCTGAATTCCAGTTGGATGGATCTACAGTGCAGTTTCTCAAATGTACTGCAATACGTCATATTTAGGGCATCTTTCCCTGCTTTACTTACTGCCTGGAATGCCTTATATTACTTTTACTTAGTAGTGAATTCTGTCATCTTTAAAGACTCCATACCTACTGTGTGAAGTCTTGCCTGAATCTTGAGGTAGAAATAGGCATTCTCTCCTCAATGTTTCCTTGATACCTTTAGATTTTCTTAGCTTTACACTCTTCATAGTAAAACATAACCATTTATTTACTTGTCAACATCTTAGGAGTTCCATGAGGGTAGTGCCTCAGTTTTTCCTATTTGTATTCTCCCTGCCCAGCACTTTGCTTAGGATGCATTAGGGGCTTGATCATGTTTATGGAGTCAATCAATGAATTGAGGGGACAGATAAAATATGATGGTTAAAATTTAGTAAAACTTGAAAGGAATGAAAATCCCAAACACTGTGACCTCCCTTTTAACCAAGAAAATTCCATTAAACAAATTTTTATTGAGTACTACTTGGAATAAAAGGTACACATTGCTCCTTGACTTTTGGAAAACCCTGCTTCGTCAGATAAAGATATTTATTGAGCTCTTCTGCCCAGATCAGAGTTTCTGAAAGTGTGGTTTGGAAACCCCTGATGGTCTCTGAAACCATTTTGGGGATCTGTGAGGTCACAACTATTTTTATAATAATGGTAAAGTGTAATCTGCCCTTTTCATTTTTATCCTCTCACAAGTGTATAATGGAGTTTCTTGGAGGTTACATGATGTGTGATATCACAACAGATTAAATGCAGAAGCAGATATAAAAATCCAGCTGTTTTCTATTAAGCCAGTCTCTAAGAAGATTTGCGAAATGTTAAAAATTTAAAAAATTTTAAACAATGTCCCTCTTCTTGAAGTATTTTTTTGTTTTGGAAAATATAACTTAAAAAAGGTACTTTAATTTATGTTAACACGCAATAAGTTTATTATTATTTTAACAAATTAAAAATATTTAAACATTTTTTTCACTTTTGTTATGATAAATATCAATTAAGTATAACTCATGAATAAAGGCCTTCTCGAACCTCAATAAGTTTTAAGAGTGTAAAATTACTGCTGGCATAGACCACTGAAGTAAATATGGTACGTAGTGGACGTGGACGTGAAAGAGAGACAAAGAACTTATCACTGTAGAACTTACATTTTGGTTATGGAGAATATGCAAAACTCCAACAGCTGAAGAACACTTATATGCTCCCCAAACTTACAGCTTCTGAGTGCATGAGAAGAAAACTGGGTTGGTAAGTGCTGAGCTAGTTTTTTTCAACATGTAGTCTTGCACCTCCATCTGAATAGCTTGCAGTTATTTCTAAATACAATATAAAAAAGCATGGGCCCCAGAACCTCTAGGGGTAGGGCCCAGGAAACTACATTTTAAACGAGTTCCTCAAGTGATTTTCCTACTTGCTAAAGTCTAAAAATCACTGTAAGGACATTTCAAGTAGAGGGATCGCTAGGAATAATTAGAACCAGCTTCCTAGCACAGGTGAGTATTATGTTAGGTTTCAAAGCAGGGAAGCGTGTATCTTGGAATCATGGTAGAAAGGAGGTTTAGGCAGAGCAAACAGCAAGAACAAAGGCATGGCAGTGGGCCTGAGCATGACATATCTGCAAAGAGCAGGTGGAGGACCTGTTTGGCTGAGGTGCACAGGTTGCTTAGAAGAGAAATTAAAAAGTGGTAGTAAATTTGAGTTTGTAGTAATTTATGAAGTAATTTGAAATCTTGCTTGCAACACTGAATTTAAAAAGCAGTAGGGAATTACTAAAAATTCTTGAGTAGAAAAGAATCAAGGCTTGGTGCAGTGTCTCACGCCTGTAATCCCAATACTTTGAGAGGCCGAGGCGGGAGGACGATTTGAGCCCAGGAGTTTGAGATGAGCCTGGGCAACATAGGCTCTACAAAAAAATTAAAAATTAGGAATACTGCTGGAACCCAGGAGGTCAAAGCTGCATTCATGAGCTAGCTATGAATTAGGCGTAAACACAGCAAAAATACACTGTAAGTGCAGATTTGGATGACATTATCAACTGTTATAAAATCCATTCCTCTAGTTACTGTGGACCAAAAAATCGTATATGTTGTACCTTCTAGTTTATGGATACGTGCAGCCCTGATATCAAGAAGATGAACATACTGTTCCACTTTGAGTTCATAATCTTGCTGCAAATTTTCCATCTTACGGGTCACTGCCTCAACCTCCATCTACAAAATAAGGGAAAATAAGTTTTAATACTTATGATTAGTTCTATTTTCATTATTCAAAGCAACTATGATTCAAGCATTTTCTAGATCCTGGAAATAGTAGGAGCTATGAACCATGGTTTCCTGACCTCAAGTAGCTTACACTTTAGAAAATTATGCTTGGCAATATTCACAAATCAGAAGAAAGATAAAACTCCAGATTCCCTTTTATGGAGATGTGTTTTCATTTTGTTAAAAGCTAAGACAATACAGTTATGGCATGACTTCAGGATAACTATAACTCACTCGCAGAATGTGCTAAAGCTAACAAAGGTGATTTCATTGCCACTACTCATTCCCTAAAATCAGGGACTTTAAAAACATTATTTGTGGCAGGGCATGGTGGCTCAGGCCTGTAATCCCAGCACTTTGGGAGGCCGAGGTGGGTGGATCACTTGAGGTCAGAGTTAGAGACCAGTCTGGCTAACATGGTGAATCCCCATCTCTACTAAAAATATAAAAATTAGCTGGGCATGGTGGCGGCACCTGTAATCTCAGCTACTTGGGAGGCTGAGGCAAGAGAATCACTTGAACCTGGGAGGCGGAGGTTGCAGTGAGCCACGATTGCGCCACTGGATTCCAGCCTGGGTGACAACAGCAAAACTCTGTCTCAAAAAAAAAACCAAAAAAACCCCACATTATTTGTTTTAAAACTATTTATTCTAACTAAGTACCTAGTTATAAGGCTACATTCCAGAGATGTGATATGTTAGTAGATTACAATAGATGTTAATAGATAACAGGTGATAACATACAGTATTTAGAAAATAAATCATCAGAATATTATAGAAAACTTACTTTCCCCATTTAGTGTATTACATTACCTGATAATCTTTATTAATTTTGTGTTGCATAATTAGCATGTTTCTTGTCTTTTCCAGCTCTTGCACCGTTTCTGCATGAGTTGCTTGCAGCTCTCTCATAGAGCGTTCTAGATCTTTATTAATTTCACTATCTACTTTCACTAAAAAGGAAAGGTCTCCATTTTTTTGTTCTTTTTGAGCCTAAAATAAAAAACATGTTTTATGACTGAAACAAAAATTTCTAAGATGTGATTTTATGAATTAATATAGATGTATCAATAAATAATTCATTGATTGATCAATTTTCAATTTCATTAATTGAAAACAGACAAAGGAAGTCCTGATATATATATCAGGACTGCTTCATTCCTGATGGAAAAAATGAAATTTACCTGTTAATCAAATTTGAATATTTGGATAGACAATTGGAACAGTTATAGAGAAATCAAAAAATAGTTACTTTATGACATATAAAAGAATCATGTACATTTATTTTTATTTCATTTGATTAAAATCTATGCTGTGATGTAAAAGAAGTGTTTTTTTGTGTCTTATAAATAACAGAATATTCTAGAATTAAAAATTATCTTCTTGAGATATTTATAATTCAATATTTTACTTAGGGTGTGCATCAAGGTCTCTTAGGGCAGAAAATCGATGAGTTAAATAGTGAAGCAGATAAAAGTAAAACGTTTGTTATAATTAAAGAAAGTGCTTTAAATGAGAGTTTTTGAGGTCTGGTTTAATGTAACTTTGATGTCATTATGAAATATGTATATGCTATAACTAAATGTCACCTGATCACTTTCCTGAGTCTTAGTAGTGTTGACATGTTACATACATATTTGTAAAGGATGTACTAAGTTTCAGAAGATGCAAGAATAATTCATTCTCCAAATGTAAGGGTTACAGATAAGGGTCATCATTATGCTGAAACAGTTGTATGCAGACATGAAAATCACGATGAAGTTCAGAACCTTACCTTTATAAGTAGGAGAGCTTCACTCAATTCATCAGCATTAATATCATTCTCCTGCAATAGATTAAGTAAAAGCTCACAATGAGTTATGAATGGAAAATACAAGAGACATTCCAAGTATTCAAATTATCCCCATGAAACATAAACTGACTGATGCCATGAACTAACAAACTAAGTCTACAAGACATTCCAGTGCTTCAAAATGTCCCTATGGAACATAAACTACCTGATAGCATGAGTTAATAAACTGAGTAATTAATATATCTGTATGCTTTCGCTTTGTAGTATAGTGCTTTCTCTATGCATAAAATATTGAGATAAAAATTCTGAGTTTTATTTCTTAAATAAGGAAATAATTCACCTGGTTGTACAATTTTATGCGTTTTTTAAGTTCATCAAGTTGTTGCTTTTGTTCCAGATACTGTAACTGTAGTTCTCTATTCTCTTGAACGAGTTTTTCATTTTGATCTTAAAAATAAAGTCCACACAATTGGAAAGGTAAGTAAAAATCAGGTTTAAGGACACATTTCAAATTACTTTAATTCCTGTTCCACACCAGTCTTGATCTAGTATTGTTCTGGTCAGAAAGGAAACTGAGCTAGCACCTCGACAAAGACAGCAGGGGAATGAGGAATAAATGAACACTATCATGTGTCTACCATATGATTCACTTGCTCATCAAAAACCCAAGACATAAGTTCACAGTATTAATATAAGGAAATTGTGGCCTCTGGGACTTCAAAGGAATGTTCTATTTAAAATACCTGAGAAAATGTGTTTCAAAATCTGTGATTTTTTACTTACTTATTAAGGCTCCTGAAAAGCATGTGGAAAAAAAATTGTCTTTTAGTTTTTTAATTGACATCTTTGAATTTTATTTTCCCAACTTAGCATATAGTATTTTTATTAAAACAAGGTAATTTCCAGAACATGGTAGGGGGGTGAGGGATGAGAAATTACCTGTTGGGTATAATGTACATTATTCGAGTGATGGTTACACTGAAAGGCCAGACTTCATCACTACCTAATATACCCATGTGCACTTGTACCCTCTAAATCCATAATAAAAAAATTAAAAAGTAAGGAAATTCTGAATCTGTATTTAGTCAACCATACTTCCAACAGGTCTATTACATTAGGAGGACTGGATTCTTAAGCCATGCATGGTGGTATCAATAATAATTCATATGGGTTGGGCATCGTGGCTTATGCCTATAATCTCAGCACTTTGGGAGGCTGAGGCAGGAGGATCCCTTAAGTCCAGGAGTTTTGAGATCAGCCTGGGCAACACAGGGAGATCTCATCTCTTAAAAAAAAAATTAAAACAAAATTAGCTGGGCATGCTTGTAGTCCCATCTACTTGGGAGGCTGAGGTGGGAGGATCTGTTGAGCCTGGGGAGTTGAGGCTGCAGTGAGCCATGATTGTGCCACTGCATTCCAGCCTGGGCGACAGAGCAAGACTCTGTCCCCCCAAAATAAATAAATTCATATGTGTTCTTTATTCACTGAGTTCATGCTACTAATCAGTCGGAATGGACTTGGAGCTAGTGCTAAGAAATGGAATAATGGTTATGCTTGTCTAGGTACTCAGTTGCTATGACCCACAAGCAGGAGGGTAGAGTAGAATTTAGAAGATAGCAAATTCATAAAGAGACTAATTTTTCACTCCCTGCATTAAACATGTTTAGCTTTTTTTAAAAAAAGCATAATAGCTAGCGAACAAATCCACAGTATTTGATAATCTCACGTACTTAAGTGTACTCTTTGCTAGAGCTCACTGTCACACTCAGGTATCCTCCTTTGTTGACTCCCTGTGGACTAACTCTAAGCCATGTCATCTAAAGTATCTCTACCAATTTCATCCTGCTCTCAACCATTTATGTTTATCATAAGTCTTCAATTTATGTTGTACATTTTTGTTTCCTTTTCTTAAAAAAATGAACACATTTGCCAAGAATTCTTTGCACAAAGGCATTTGCATACTGACTGCATTTTAAACAAAAATATGTTTCTGACTTTTATAAGGCATTGTGTTCTCAAGCTATAAATACTACATATAAATAAAAATGTTAAATTACACAGTTAGGAATAAATTTGGATGTTTTTAATGTCATATAATTCTTGGCAGTCTAAAAAGTAAAAAAATAAAAAAATAAAAAAAAAAAACCTGTGATCCTAGGCAATACAGAGACATTTTACATCAAGGCTGGCGCAGTGGCTCATGCCTGTAATCCCAGCACTTTGGGAGGCTGAGGCAGGTGGATCGCGAGGTCAGGAGTTCGAGACCAGCCTGACCAACATGGTGAACCCCGTCTCTACTAAAAATACAAAAATTAGCTGGGCATGGTGGCACGTGCCTGTAATCCCAGCTACTCAGGAGGCTGAGGCAGGAGAATTGCTTGAACCCAGGAGGCAGAGGTTGCTGTGAGCCGAGATTGCGCCACTGCACTCCAGCCTGGGCAATAGAGTGAGACTACATCTAAAAAAAAAAAAAAAAAATCAAATATACTGTATAAACACTTTTGTCTTATTGATAGAAGGTTACAAGGTTATCCTAGAGTATAAATTGCTTATATCTAGTTTACTAAAGAAAAGAATATCCAGGCCGGGCACGATGGCTCACGCCTGTAATCCCAGCACTTTGGGAGGCAGAGGTGGGTGGATTATGAGGTCAGGAGTTCAAGACCAGCCTAGTCAACATGGTGAAACCCCATCTCTACTAAAAATACAAGAATTAGCTGGGCATGGTGGTGCATGCCTGTAGTCCCAGCTACTCAGGAGGCTGAGACAGGATAAGAATTGCTTGAACCTGGGAGGCGGAGGTTGTGGTGAGCCGAGATCGCACCACTGCACTCCAGCCTGGGCAACAGAGCGACACTCCATTTCAAAAAAAAAAAAAAAGAATATCCAAATGTGAACAATACTTAAAAATTTTGAAGGTATAGGTTAAATACTTGTCTTTAAACTAAAAATTCAGATGAATAATAAATATGGATTTATATGAGATAAACTTTTTTGTTAGAGAATAGAATAAGTAAGTGGGACTCTGTATGTTGATTAAATTAAAACAACATCTAGATAGAATGGTTAGGTAACAAAAAGAAGGCAAATATAGTCCGAAGTATGTAAAAACAAAGGTACTGAGGATAATATAATTTTATTCTCTGGCCAGTAAAACATTTTAGGGTTTCTAAGGGTGAGCTAAAGTGTAAAGGGCATGACTGTTCCATCTTTATCCAGACACACTGTATTTTGATTATCATTTCTATGTTCTGGTTTTCCTTTTCTTTCAATTTTTCAGAGCAGGGTTCCTATATGTTATTAGGTAGAAATAAACTTATTTATTTAAATGTTTCCAGCCTTTCCTAACTGTTGTTTCAACAACGATATCTCCATTCACTGATATTTTTTAAACAAGGGCATTATTAGTGGAAAAATAACTTAGTGTGAGAAGACATTACTGAGTACCTGTAACTTACCTTCTACTGAATTTTATTTAGAATTATCCACTACATTTTTCCTTTCTCAAACTGTTTATTTGGGACATAACTCCTGGGTCTTTAAAAAGTACTGAAATGCTATAGTTCAAAGAGGAAATATACTTGCTGAATTATAATAGGCAAAATCAAAGCACTCTGTACAAGATGAAAAATAACCTCCTTACCTTATGATTTGACAAAAAGCAGGTCAAGCTAAACAGCATTTTATTCAAATGAGATAACATTTCACTCTTTTAAAATTATGTTCTTCCAGCACACCATTAATAAGCAGACTGCAGAGAACAATTCAACTAAACAATTTTCAGAGCGCCTTTGTGCTAATATCTTCAGCTGTGATCAATATAACCATATGCATTATGCTGAATTATGCATTTCAGCTAAAGATAGAAAGGAACTTTCAAAAGCAAGCCCTTAAACACATGCAGTTAATTTAAGCATTAACCAAATGCAAACTGCATTTACATATCCTTCCCCCACATATTCACACAATCTGAAACTAATTTGTACCTTGAATAAAGAGGTGAGTATTCTTTAAAAATAATTTGCCAGTTAGATGAATGACTACAAGAAGCCAGGGAAACATCTTCTGGCAAAGAACACTTGATACATGAGAAGGTAAATGTATGAAGACACTTCAAAGTAAAATTAAACAGTTTCAAAATCTGTAATACAAAATGGAGCTTTCTAAATATTAAAAGATTTTCTTAAATAGACAGTTTCGGTTTTTTTGTGTATTATTTCCTTGGAAGAAATGGTTAAAGGCTGTAATATTTTTCTTATAACCCATTGTAACATTCCCACAAAGAAACGAAAACTTAAATCCTTAGACTTGCAAATCTGAGGTATTCAAACAAAAATAACTGGAAAGTAATAGTTGCATTAAAAGTAAGGATTCAGTTCTAGCAATTTTTCTTTAGAAAATAATCGGATAAATGTGTAAAAATTTGTGTGGAAAGATACTGTTTTATGATACTTAAACTGAAGCTATTTAAATATTCAATAGAAGATTGTTAAATAATCCATGGTACATACACACACTGGAAAACTGTAACAGCCATTATAAATGATTGTGATGTAGATTTATATTAAGGAATGATTTTACAATATAGCAAAAAAAGCACATTGTAAAACTACATCTATCATTTAGAAATAACTCTGAAAGGACATAAATCAAATATTAGCAGTGATTATTTTGCTAATATTTTGTGGGTTGTGGGATTGATTTTTCTAATTTACATACTGGACTTTTTCATAATGTACATGAGTTATGTTTATTATTAAAAAAAATTCCCAAATGATAAAAAAGCCACTAAAAAAGATGAGGAATAAATTAGATAAATTAAAATAAGAACTGTAATACTTAGTAAGAACCCTCAGAATTAATTCAACGACAATAAACAGGTCTAACAAAAAAACCAAGATTTTACCCCCCTTAAGAAAAGCTTCTTTGCAAAGATCAGTTCAGATATCCAAAAGATAACAGCTTTAGGATTCTTGATATCTAAGTAAACACAGAAAGCACAGAAATAAAAATGGTTTATTTCATTTCCTTTCCGTTTAAGAATGGGCAATTTATCTGCTCTTGGAAAAGAGAGAGGGAATATAGAGCACTTCCACATTTTTACCTAAACAATAATTTATTGAGCAATTACTAAGGCAAAGCACTCTGTTAGGTATTTGATACTGCACGTTAAAATCAGGAACTGTATGTATTTCTGACATGAAAACTTAAAAAAATCCACCAGGTCAGAAAACCTGTCATCACCATTTTATTCCACTCACAGTCTTCTAAAGAAAAAGTCATAAAAAAAATCTATCATCAAATGTAGTCACTTGGTGAATAAACATTGCCCTAGTGTGTTTCATTGAAATTAAGACTCCATTGATTATGTGTTCCAATTTCAGACTTGCTAAAATGTGAAAAAAAGGTCACACTGAAATTTAAAAATGCCATCACTTATAAGATGCAACTCAATATTAGAGATGTTAAAATATGAAAAGATAATGTTCCTTATAGTCAGTGAAATATGGCATTGTGGTCTAAATAAAAACATAAGAATACTAACTAGAAACGTAACTGTTTTTTAGTGAGTATGTATTAAACTTTTAAACATTCTCATGCAACTGAATTGCAAGTTTTCAAAAGCAGCAACCTTCTTAGCACATGACTCGGTTTATCTAGGGCATGAGCAAACAGATATAACAACACTTAAAGCAAATAATTCATTTCCCCTATTGTGCATTTGTGTGTATATCTATGTGTGTGTAACACAGTAAAATTCAGACTTCTTTAATTATAATTCTTTTACTTCTATGAGATCTGTTACTTATACTGAAACTTATTAGTGATTATTATTTTAGCATGGGGCACAAAACTTTCTGGTATTTAAGGTCACTGTCACAAAGTAGAATTAGACATCTCATCAGAGATTTTCCCTATTCGAACTCTCAAAAACGGCAAGCTACTATTTCTGCCACTCTCTGTCATCTTACACTAGTTTTTGTGCCATTACACTTGCCACCACCTCACGTATTACATATTTATTTAATTGTTGTTAGTTTCT
This sequence comes from Homo sapiens, assembly GCF_000001405.40. Classification (NCBI taxonomy): domain Eukaryota; kingdom Metazoa; phylum Chordata; class Mammalia; order Primates; family Hominidae; genus Homo; species Homo sapiens. The sequence goes on from NC_000016.10 coordinate 53,664,475, forward strand.
CCCTATTAAATTCATATTTCATGAGGGAAAGACTTTTGTTTCTATTCATTGCTGTATCCCCAGAAATTAGAACAGTACCTAGCACTAACTGGTGCTCAATAAATACTTCTCAACTGTTGAGTAAAGAAAGGCTCAGAATTTAGGAAAATTGAACAATTAAAAACAACCTAAATAAGAATAGCTATGAGAAAAAGCAATTCTTTTGGCATATACACTAAGCTGAGTATGAGAAATTTTGAGCAACCACTGAATTCATGAGAGTGGATGACTGTGTCTGTCCCTCATACATTGCGGGGATACTGGCAAACAGTAGGCACCAGAGTAAGTACTGACTGATTCAATGAAGAAACATTAGATGTCTGAAATGAGTAAGGCAGTGGTTATTTCAAATGTACCTCTTTCAGTTTTTAATCTGTCAAGGATTTCAGTTTTGTCTGTTAAGTCAGACTTCAAGGCAGTCTCGAGCTGAGCAATCTGCACTTTCAGCTGTTGCTCCTTTAACTTCCATTGCTCTTCATGGGCAGCACTGAAGGCACTGCAAAACACACGTGACATGCAAGGAAAGCTTGGAAATCAGCTTCAACCGAAAATAATAAAGAGAAAAGCTTTTAGTGGCGCAGAGACCACTGTCATCATGTCTTAGGAATTAAGTAAACATATGCTGGTCTGCTGCTGTTGAAACCAAGGCGCCTTTCTCAGGCTGCGGTTAGGGAACATGAAAGAGTTTGTGGGATGAGCAAAGGAACTGGCCTTAATTTAGAGCTCTAAAGTCAGAAAAGTTGGCAGTATGCAGCTTTTGTGGGACTAGTAAAGGAATTCAGATACTGTACATACTCCAGAGGAATCCACAATTCCAAAACTCAGCAATTGACATCGGACAAAACCATTCTCTCCCACATACAAACCTCTTAATACAGAGAAAATGGACTTTCCACCTGATCTTTAATTCTGTGAAACTTTTAAAGAGTCTGTGATAATAACACGTTCACAAAATATTGGCCACAAAATGATAGCATATTGAACCACCAGACAATACCTCCGATATTGATTAAGAAGTAGTGATAATATAGTTTTTGTTAAAAAACAAAAAACAATAGGCTAAAAACAGTTTTAGATGTAACACGATTGGAATGAAAACCAGTGCTCTGTGCCTGATAAGAATGACGAAAATAGAATTACTATTCCTCAATAAAAGTACAGCAGTTTAAACCATGGTTAAAATTTGCTAATAATCAAGACCCAGCATATCAGAAGAAAGAACTGGTTGAAAAATAACTAGACAACGTACAGAAAGTGTACAATCAACATTCGTTTATGCCAGTGGTTCCTAAACGCTGACCTAAATACTGGTAGTAGGCCAGCTGCTACGTAAGGACACTTAGGGAGATTTTAAAATGAAGATCCCAGGGCCCAGGTATTCATATTTTTAGAAAGCTCCCCAGATGATAGCCAGGTTTTGGAAAAACTGATCTTGATCTGAATTTCAGCAGAAAACCATTATCTATGAAGCTTGATATGACTGAATAATCATCAGCAGCTTTGACCATTCTATGTATTTTAAGCCCAGTAAATACAACAAAAACTTATAAAATCTTGTTTTATACGATGATGAAGTAAATGGAAAAGAAACATATTACTGGAAATTGCCCTTAATGTTGCTCCCAACTAGTCTTCAGTTTTTATCCCAAAAAAGATACTTTTCTGGGAGGCATAGCTTCTCAAAAGAGAAACATTGTGTATTCATTTCACATTTTGAATATTTTACTGCCTTTAAGATAACATGACCTTGAAAATAAATGGAATTATGGAAGCTTCTCTAAATATGACATCTGTTTCTTCTATTAGTGTTCTCATTTCACTTATGGAAACTTAACAAAATATAGGATCTATATATCAATTATTTAAGTTGATTTTATCAAAGGTACAATGACCAAGACTTTAATGAAATCCAAATAAAATATGTATTTTAAATACTAAATAATATTCCTTTTTATGTTTGTTTTTAAAATAAAGAACAAATATAATTTCTATGTATGGCCAAATTGTATATATCAAACACATCCACATATATGCATGAATGTGAGTACATCTATGTGTGTGTGTGTGTGTGTGTGTGTGTATATATATATATATGTATGTATGTATGTATATGCATGTGTCTTATTTTATTAAAAACATGTACCACCCGGAAAAAAAAATTAGCATGATGAAATAGGCACAACATACATTATATCAGATGCCAAAAATTAGAAACAGTAGTGTTCCAATAGCATTAGTACCAGCAAAAAGATCACCAACAGCTAATCTGGCAGAAACATCAGAAGCTGTATGTGTTTAAATTAAGAACAATTTAGCGGCCTGGGTTTTCCAAACCCACAAAATACTAGTGTAAATCAGCATAAGTCAATCTGAATTTAGTCCACTGCTATCTTCCCTCTAAATTTAGGATTACATTCCACTGGAGTTTCATGAGAAATTCCTTTTGAATTTACTGTATTCCGCTATGCTTAGAGCCATCTGTGTAACTATAAATGGTGAACCACATCTGGCTCCATTTTCTTTGTAAGGGCTGTACACATGATTAAATCTGCATATGAGAACAGTCTTTGAGAACTTTTTATTCATGAAAATGTTTTTGTATATTGCCTATAGTGACAACTGAAGGGGGATCATAGTTAGTCTTTGTACACATTTCACTGTTACATGATGTTGCAGGACTGATCAAATGTCAGCCTGCAGTGGAATGCCCATTGCTGCTTGTGGTCACCGGCATGTCCACTGGCAGACATGGGTCAGCAAACTGTAAATACACACCCTTGACCAAAAACATGATAAAGATCTAAATAAAGCCAAAGAGTTCATCTGCTTCCTAAGATCTTTCCTTCTACAGAAGAAACTCCATTTGTTCAATGTTCAAGGGCATCCTAATGTGAGAGACAGGAAAGAATATACTCTAAATCATCCATAAAGAAATCCACAGTGGCTGGGTACAGCGGCTCATGCCTGTAATCCCAATGCTTTGGGAGGCTGAGGCAGGAGGATGGCTTGAGCCCAGGAGTTCAAGACCAGCCTAGGAAACATAGAGAGATCCCATCTCTATAAAAAATAAAATTGAAGACCCAGTGTGGTGGCTTGTGCCTGTAATCCCAGCACTTTGGGAGGCCGAGGTGGGCAGATCACTTGAGGTCAGGAGTTCGAGACCAGCCTGGCTAACATGGGGAAACCCCACCTCTACTAAAAATACAAAAATTAGGCAGGTGTGGTGACAAACACATGTAATCCCAGCTACTCAGGAGGCTGAGACAGAAGAATCGCTTGAACCTGGGAGGCAGGGGTTGCAGTGAGCCAAGACCATGCCACTATGCTCCAGCCTGGGTGACAGGGTGAGATTCTGTCTCAAAAAAAAAATTAAAAAATAATAATAAAATTAAAAATTAGACAGGTCTTGTGGCACATGCCTGTAGTCCTAGCTACTTGGGAGGCTGAGGTGGGAGGATTGCTTGAGTCCAGGAGGTCGAGATTGCAGTGAGCTATGATTGCGCCACTGCCCTCTAGCCTGGACAACAGAGCAAGATCCTGTCTCTCTGTCTCCTTTTTTTTTTTTAAATCATAGGTACTTTATTTAGGGCCTAATGAAAATTAAATTCATATTTACATCAGGATATTTCACTTACTGAAAGAAGATGATGCCCCAAATGTACTTGGAGTTTGATTTCTGGGAAGCATAAGCTGCTCATATTTGATCACATGAGATTTTATGGTTTCTAGAAGGTTACAGGGCACAGATGCTCACTTTACAGAAACAGAACACAGAGCATCTATGGGTGTCAGTAGTGCTCTTTTACATTTTGAGAAGTAGATGACTATCACATAATAAAAACTTGATCCACCCAATTCTTAAAAAGGTTAATATCATCTTAAAAACTAGATGAATACCTTTTAAAAACAGACATTAGTGTCTCTCAAGGAGTTAATACCTCAAAATCACATTCAACAGATTTTTTTGGACCCAGTCTCAAATTAACTGAATCAGAGTTGGATGGTATGGGGGCAGAGGGAGGGGTGCAGATGGATAGGCGAAGAAGCTCTGAAGAGGTGGTGAAATCTACATTTTAATAAGTTTTCCAGGTTATTTGCATACATTATAGTTTAGGAACCATTGCATTTATCAGTTACATGGCCCCAACACTAACTAACTTCAAAAGTGAAGCACAGCATTACTAAATTATAGCATACTAATATAATACTGTATTACATACCACAGTATAGAGTTTCTCTCTGACCCAACAGAAAGATATAATTGCAAAAAATGTATTCTCAACTTTTAAATTGAACATTTATTAAAGTTATACTTACTTCTTGGCAGTGTATCAAAAGTGTTTTAGCATATTAAAAAATGCTCATACTAAAAAGTAACATGAGGGTTTTATCTTCCCACATGATTCTCTAATATGTCATATGTCAAGTAATAAACACATTCAAAATTTATTTGAAAAAGAAAGATGAGAATGCAAACTGCAAATCATATTTTTCTCCTGAAAACTAGTCAATTTTGAATAACAAACAAATGCTGTCCTTTTAAAAACATGTTATCATTATGACTAAGCAAACAGGGAGTATGTGCAGTTTTTGATGAACATTAGTTGTTGGCAATAACGAATAACAGTGTCATGAAACAAAAGAGCTGTAAAGAATCTGAGAGACAATGTAGACTTTTGTCGAATTTCTCCAACTATACTTCTAAAATGTATCATATATTTCAAAAACATTATATTAGAGAATTCTGTAGTTCTGTTGACTATTATGTGTGTTTGCTGGGTTTTGTGCTTATGTTACATTAATTTTTCTTTTGACATTAAATGTTTTGACACTCATTACACACATTTACTTCCATATATCTCACATAAACTTCACGTGTGAGCAGCATAACGAAGTCTGCTTTTAGTGTGACAGGAAAAAAATGTTAGTGCAAGCATAAAACATTGAAAAAAAAAAACCCTTCAAATTTATACTCTTAGATCATCTTCTAATATGGAAAGATAAAGTTTTATGGTGGGAAAGTAAATATGAGAAAAACATGACTTTCTCAAAATTTCGTTTATACATTATTCCCAGGTAAGTTTGATTTTTTTTATTCCAAGTAAGTATGTTCAGCAAATTTTCAAACTGGGGAGAAGTAGAAAATTTGGAAGTAATGGCCATATGGCACTATTTTCTTCTATTTAGACTGTGTAAATTATTTGAAATTACAAGATACTGAAGACATATGTAAATCAGTAAGAATTTCTGGATGTATAACAGTTCTGTTATTCCATGAATGTTTCCCTTCCACATATGCAATTTTCCAATGCAATTAAAATCAGATAGTGAAGCATAACAAAAAAAGAATTCAAGTTTTAGAGTTTAAAAAAATCTGGGTTTTAGTTCTAAACTAGAGTCTCAGCAATGCTGTGTGACTCTGCACAAGTCTTAATTTTTCTGGAATCCCAATTTCCTCATTTATAAAAGAGGGATGATATCTTCTCTAATAGGGTACTGTGCAATTTGTATACTGACATTTAAACTTTTCAAACACACATATGATTTTAACTGGTGTCTGAACCTACTGTTGGTAACCCTTAATATAATCAGTCACTGTACAAAGATAGTCCCAAGTAGGTAAATAACATAGATGATACAAACTACTGAAATAATGCCTATGTTAATTTAGGTAACTTTCCAGAAGTAAATCAAAATAAAAGCCTATCCCCACACTCCTTGGGTATAATTTGTTTAATTTACAAAATGTAAATTTAATTTATAAAAAATAAGACAAAGAGCTAAAAAGTTAAAGATGCACTTGTAGCTCAAATGGTTATTTTCTGAGGTTTCAGCACATGACCAGAAGTAGTAGCTGTTGAATATCAGCTATAACATATGTATTTAAGTATATATTACATTTGCTTTCATGTAAACCTGTATTTATCATTTATCAGTATCATATACTAAAAAGACTTAAAATTACACACACAGACACACACACACACAGATATCTGTATCACTTAACCAAACTTAGATGTGGGGTATAATTTTGTTTCTAATACTACCAGAAGGGATTAATTTCTAAAATACCATAATTATGAAGTAGATTAAGAAACAAAATTGAAGCAGCCCTTTAAAATGTATCTTGAGATAAAGATGCTTGTGTTTCTCTTTATAAGGAACAGAGACAATTGTAAGTGGACACCTTTGCTTTTCCCTAACAGAATAACTCTCAGTTAATAAGCTGGGGAGTCTAAGAAAGAGACCAAAAGAGGTTCAAACACAAGCTCTATTACTTTATACATTTAAAAGGTATGGGCTGGGCGCAGTGGCTCACCCCTGTAATCTCAGCACTTTCGGAGGCTGAGGCAGGAGGATCACTTGAGCCCAGGAGTTCAAGATCAGCCTGAGCAACATAGAAAGAACTCGTCACTACCAAAAAATTAAAAAAATTAGTCTGACATGGTGGCATGTGCCTGTGGTCCCAGTTGCTCAGGCTGCTGAGGTGGGAGGATTGTTTGAGCCCAGGAAGTTGAGGCTGCAGTGAGCCATGATTGTGCCACTGCACTCCAGCTTGGGTGACTGAGACACTGTCTCAAAAAAAAGAGGTGGGAAGTGCCTCTTAATGTTACTTAATTTTGCTTCATCTTCCTTGTCTGCAAAATGGGAATTTGTAATACATACATTTCAGGGTGCTGTGAACAATTTATAACAATAAATGTAGAGTATCTAGCATGGTGTCTGTTAGTTTATAGTTAGTGTTCAATAAATGATAGCAGTTTACTGGCAACAAAGTGATATGGTTTTCTTAGTAGTGATAGGCTACTGCTCAGGTTAAATAACTTATTACAATGCCTTTAAAAAGCTTGTATTTCCTTTATACAGTTTGCATATTTCTTGCTATCATTTGTTGCTAATTCTTTGATCAACATGATCTATTCTGACAACAGCAAATGCTTACATATAAAAGAGCTCAAACAAGACAATGAAAGAACACATGGAATCACGATTTACCTGTCATAAAGTTTATCATAGTTTTCCTTTAAAAGTTCCCGTTCCTTTTCTAAATCATTAATTCTATCCTGCAGCTAAAATGAAAATAAAATTACATATTAAGTAAATATTATATAAAACCACTTGGGGGTAAAAAAAAACATTAAAAAACTCTATATGAGAGAAGGTTAACATGTTTTAATCTCGATTGCTAAATGGTAGCTGCTAACCAGACCACTTATATTGTCTGCATTTAAGTCAGCATTGATTTTTCCCAAGTTGTTAAATAAACGTGAAATTAATATTCCTGTTTTAATTTAGTAGAAACGTATGCACTGCTTTATGCAACATGTGCCAGAAGTCATTAAAGAATATGTTAAGAGCTTGCTAAGTCCCGGGAAACATAGTATTTTTTACTTTTCACCATGATAACTTCTGTCATTATATTCATTTTGTATTAATTTACAATTAGCCCATAAAGAATTAAAAGAGTTAACTTTTTTTTAGGTTCATGGTTCAAATTGTGTTGTTAATCACAATTTACTCTGAAGATACAATTTCTCACATTATCTGAAATTTATAAATAGCTACTAGCACCTTTTGTGAATAAATGAATAAACAAACTTACATACTGTTTTAGCCCATGAACAGTATTTTCAGAAATAAACGGAGTAATAATTACATCCCTATGGCTAAAATGTAGATTTCTGTACTCTAGTATTTATTTTTAAGTTTTATTCATAAGTATATTTTGCAGTCACAACTTTTTCCTGTGGATCAGATTACTCTTTATTTCCATTTTCAGAATTCTCTTTTGATGCTAGTATGAGACAGTAAAAGATTCTCCCAAGATCAGAACAGAATGCAGGCATCTTATTTCACTTCCATTCTCCTTGGGAACAAACTTAACAGGCTACATAAAATACTACGATAATAGGAAGATGAGTTTTCAAAGAACTCTCTAAAAAAATTAGATAATTTCACAAAATTACTGATAATGCAGAATACAACAGCCATCTCCTCAGAAACAGATACAGTCCTGTTATTTTGTTTCAGTATCTCAAATGATTAATAAGCTGTTACAGTTGAGAAAGTTAAGTTCCATAGGTAATCTGGCATCAGTTTCAAAATGCTGGTTTCATTTTACTCAAGGATCTTTAATCCTTTGGGTAAACAGTGGATCTTGCCACATTTGCAAGTACAGTTAAACACTGATTTGCCATTCATATATTAACAACTATATTTTGCTGTGCTCAAAACACCATGTACATAACTTATAATTTTAAATAAGTACAATTTTGAAATATCTCTATTTTACTTTTTCAAAACAGTTACCAAGAAGTTGTAATGCAACAGATGGCTAAACTCTTTGGGAGCTTACCTCTTCTATTCTTCTTTCAGAAAACTTCATAGAATGTAATTGTTTCTCAAGACTGCAGCATTTTAAACGCTGCTCTTTAAGTTGCATGTTTAATTCATCCCCATTTGCCATCAAAGCATCGTGGCTGATTCTGAGAGTTCTTTGCTTCTAAAAGATAAAAAGAACATCTTTCAAACATTATTTTTGACTAAATGATTAAATTTGACTAAATGATTTGACTAAATGATTACAATTCTATAAATGAATTTACTCCCGAAGTTCACCTTATACAGATTATTTTTTACATAACAAATGATGTATACGTGCTACTTATCCGTAGGAGACGCTCTGAACATGTGTGTGACATGAGGAAGAAAATACAGGGTTATCTTAGCATAGAGTCACATATTTTATTTCCTCCTAGTTTTTGACTTATTGATGGTGACCAGCAAGTAAATTCATTTTAACAATAACTTTTTTTCTTTTTGCTGTGGTTACATTGGTTGGACATGCTGTCTAAAAATGCTGTAGCATGGGTCAAAAATGCTGACCACAGATATTCGAACTGAAGGGATTCGCTGCCACATCGTATAAACAGCCTTGGATGGTCAGCTTTTAATTTGCATACAATTAAGTTAAAATTTCCAATTTAGTAAAAGTTATGAACTTTTCTTAATTTTTCAAAAATGGTCTATTTATGACCATGCTGTAAATTCAATTTTATATACTTTAATGTCACATAGTTTTTTTTTAAAATAAAAAAAGGTAAAGTCTTTTCATATAGACCATATAACCATAGCATGCAATGCCTCACCTGCTAACTTAAATCTCTCAAGTCCCACTGAAGTTTTTTTTCACTCATTTAAATGACACATGGCTATTGAGCCATTCAGGTCAATTTTCGTTTATCTTGGTATTATTATAGAACAGTATCTTCAGCCACCTTTTTCTAGGCTCCACACTTCACTGAGGCTGTTGGGCTTAACCTCTCAATTTTTTACCCTATGTCAACTTCCAAAAGAGCTGCCTGTACTACAGCAGACACCTGTTATTGTTGGTATTTAAACTAATACCTGGGTTCACTGTTAAATAGAAATCAAAATTGTCAAAGTGATAAGAGAATGTAAAATCATTTTTCAATTCCTTTCTTAATTCTTAATCTTAGAAATGGCTTTCAACTACAGGGATTTTTAAAATTTCCTTCTTCTAACATCTGTAGATAGCACTATCATTCTCACTCTCTCATCAGTCTCCTTTTACAAACTCTCATATTTATGCAGAAGTAATTACCACTTGGCATTTAAAGAGGTTCCTGCAGGATGGAAAACAAAATCCCCAGAGCATGGCTGAAAAATATTTAACTATTGAATTCAACAGTGAATTTAGGCTTCAGATGACCCTTTGCTTTGCATCAATCTACTGCCCTCCTTGTCTCGGGACTTCAAAGAAAGTGTTACTTCACATAAATTCTGCTCAACTGGAATGTCTTGGAGTTCATTAATTCCAGAACCTATGTTAATTATGCAGTGCCAACAAATAGAAGCCCTCAGATGGCATATTCCTGTGGGGTCACAGTCCTTGTTAAAACAACCATGGGCATAAAGAATCCCAAGTATTGTCAACCTGAAGGGTTAAGGTTTAAAATAAATACACTGATAGTTGACGTTAAGAGTAATCAAATATTTTCAGGTAATGGTAGTGACCAAAAAAGAAAAAAAAATTCAAATAAAAGAAAGTTTTAACAGAACATGATTACTGACCTATTCATTACTTTGGTCTATTGCCAATAATTTTATAAATGCTTAAAATTGAAGATATATGCAAATATGGCAAAACTTCAGTGCTATGTGTCCATAATAAATTCAGATAAAAGGAGTTAAAAATAAATTTCCTTGGTAGAAGATAATTTATAATAAATATGGTTATTATTTTAAGATGACACAGATATTTATAAAAAGTCCAAGCAGTTAATTATTTCTTTAGTGCTTGAGTTATAAATAATAAACAATATATTAAGGGAAATGATACACATTTGTGAATACAAAGAACAATCCTTCAAAATTATGTTCTAGTGTTATGATAATTCCATGTTAAAAAAACAACTTGAATACTACTTTTGAATCCTTTGCATCTCTGTAACATTGTAATAAAATAAATTATCACTGTACCTCTTGAAGCTGAATAAATTTTCCTTCCATTGCTGAAAGAGCATTGCTTTTCTCTACTAGCTGTTTATGAAGCTTAATCATTTCTACATTGTCCCGAATATTTGACCTTCAGAGTTGTGTTTAAGAAAAAGAGAGACAGAAGTAAAAAACGCAAGTTAGAAGAAAATCTATGGTGGAATCACAATTTTTCAACTAATGTTACATAGAAAATATTTATATACTTGTACATCAGTCAATGAGGTTTTTGGATTATTATAAATGCAGGACAGATTAATTATTTAAAACAAACCAATAATCATTCCTGAACTTTCATAACCTTGAACTCACAAAGTTTGAAGGGAGCCCCCAAACTTCATGACTATGTCACCTCTACAATTGATAATATGGATTTAAAATCATTTTATAGTATCCTGAAAGATGGCACAGAAACACAATAGTTTTTAGTATAGCAATGGTACCATTACCGAACTTCACACTTATTTTAAGGAGGACTATCACGCTACTTTTCCCTAAATGAAAAATATGCAATACAGCCATTCATCTTTCTACAACTCTCTCGACGCAAATGGCATCATAAGATTACCATTTATTGGAGTTTCCTCTTGGAGTTTTAAACTTTTCAAAATATTTGCAAAAAAAGTGACTTAGCATTTTATACTAACAATGTCCAAAGCTGGCATTTAAATATGTTGCAGATGTGCCTTTAGCTGTAAGAGATCACTTGATGTCCACAGGGTATATAGAAACCTTATATGTTACAATACTATTTTGTATTTTTCCTACTGAGATTAAAGCAAATGTAGAATTTAACAGGAAGATCTTGTTAAAGGTTAATCATAGATCTAAATGAGTACCTGTTTTCAAAAGGCATTTATTTTCTTGACAGAGAAAAGTTCCTTAATTTAATACATTTTATATTAAAAAATATTTTGTTAATTTTGAAGCTTCATTTCAGAGTTCACTTTTAGGAAAAATAAATGTAAAAAATTTAAAATCAGAGTTCAATATTTAAAGTAAGAGATTTTACTTTTAAAACTTATCTAGTGTACACATATTGGAAAAATTGTCATAATGCCCTACTGGAACCAGAAAATGGACTACAAAGCTCACACATCTGTAAACCAGCTGAGGACTTGAAATACTTAATTTTCCTCTTTGATATTTGAAAGTTCATTGTATTTTGGCATTGGACAGTTAGTTGTCCTCACACAGAAGATAAACAAAACCATGAATCCAAATTTTGCCCAGGGTACAGTCTTAACACAATGTTAAAATAATTATATGTCTAAAACATGTTATCTAGTAGTTCTGAGCACATATTCAACAATATACTCACTAATATTCACTCAGTATTACCTTTAGCCACTAAAAATACATATATATATAATATAAAGAGAAAAATACATCTTAAAGTCTAAAGAAAATATTCTTTTTTTCATATTTAGAAGCCAAAATATAATTTACTTATTTGCCCCAGAATTACCTGGTTTGACCACTCAGCAGTGAATGACATTTATTGATATGTAAGGACAGAATGTGATTCAAATAATTTAAAATCTTTTCATATATTTCCAGTTGTCTCTGATATTTTATTTTTGTTTTAAAGTATGATAATTTATTTATTTATTTTTTTTTGAGACGGAGACTTGCTCTGTCACCCAGGCTGGAGTGTAGTGGCGCGATCTCGGCTACTGCAACCTCCGCCTCCTGGTTTCAAGCGATTCTCCTGCCTCAGCTTCCTGAGTAGCAGGGACTACAGGCGCGTGCCACCATGCACAGCTGATTTTTTTGTATTTTTAGTAGAGACGGGTTTTCACTGTGTTAGCCAGGATGGTTTCGATCTCCTGACCTCATAATCCACCCGCCTCGGCCTCCCAAAGTGCTGGGATTACAGGTGTGAGCCACTGTACCCGGCCGCAGTATGTTGATACTTTTAAGAAAATTAAGATATATTTGAATAATAACCATTAATTACAGTAACACAATTAAATCTCTATAATCCATTCGGGCACATAGGGTGATAGAAATAACAGTTTTTAATTTTAAATTTTTTTGTAAGGCAGAAACCAGTAAGCATATGTCAAAAACTTTCAGTGGTTTAATCGGTGGGTGCTTTCCTGAATATTTTCCTAAACTCCTTGGAGTTTAAACTTTTCAAAATACTGCCAAAAACAGTGACAGGGCATTTTAAACTGGTAATGGCCAACAGGTAGGTATAAATACAACTTACGTAGTATTTAGACAACAGCAGTAATGTACTTTAAACAATACCTTAAGTAACAACGTGGTATAATAATGTTGTACTTCAAATAAAAAGTCAGTTTGCTGCAGAGTACACCTTTCCTGGGACAATGCTAAACTTGTAAGTCTTTAATAATTACTTTTACGTATCAGTTTTAGGGACTTTATTATTATGACTTTATTTTTTTTTCATGTAACAATGAGAAGAGGAGGATAATCTGTTAAACTAAAAGTGCTAGGTCAGTGATAACATAAAAGTTCAAATCAGCAATGTGATAAATGTGGTCTAGCCTTTAAGAAGATGTGCAATAAAAATTACTTCAAACCTGACAATCAACTCAACATTTTTATATAGACGAAATATGGTACAAGAATAATGGGAGGAAGTAAGAGAGAAAGAGGGAGAGAGATGTCACAAAAAGATGACAAGAAATGTGAGAAGGATGTTGTAGGCAACACGGAGCTAGGGTGTTTAGCTAAGTGACCAGTCCTAGACCTCTGTGCTTGTGGAGCAAGGCCTCAGGTTGGTATTTGAAGAATAGACTTAGGGCTAATTTTATGAGTAATATTTTAAGTGACCTCCACACAATATTTTTTTGCCCTCTTCTACACACTATGACAGGAATACCAAATCTTCAGGATGATGACATTCTAACAGAAAGAATAATGCATGGTAAAAACATTCAGACATTCGGATGAACTCTGACAGTCATGGACCAAATCACACATGCTGCATTACACATGGTGAAATGATCTGCAAACAGATATCAAGCATACTAATTAAGTGCTTTGTAAAAATAAATTTCTCAAAATTTTCATCAAGGATTTTGAAAAAGTCAGGAATGATTAAGTTGGAAAATGCAGTTTCTTTTCTCTTTCCTTTTTTTTTTTAAAAAAACCATGATTTTAAATTATGATCAAATCTTATAAAACTATGAGAAGAGTTGCTGGCCCATCTCTAGATTAAGAACAAACTGAAATAAATTAGATTTCATGTCCAAAAAAAAGTAATCCAGCTCAACAACCTGTGTGCCAAGTTTCTCTCATATAATTTGAAACAGTCAAGCAATAAACTCTGAAAAAGGAATTTCTAATGGAAGCCTTGAAAACACTTGACTCCAGCTTTGCTACTGGGTGCCATAATAAATCCAGAAACCTAAAACCTCAGATACACTGGAGAAGTAAAAACTTTCAGCGGAGCTATGTAATGTATAGTCTAATATGAAAGCTTAAGAAGCAAAAACTTTGCTCCAGTGAAAGTTTCATATACTTTATTCCCCAGGCATTCAATTCCCCTCCCCCACCCTTTGCCAACATTTCATTCCTTGCTACCATATTATGAAAGCTAAAAAAAAGCTTCCTGAATTTTTGAGATAAAAATGTCATAGTATTTAACGTCATTTAGAAGAGAAGGCTTTAAAACACAAAAGCTAGGCTATGAGATTCGGGGAAGTAGTTAGGTCAAATATTTACGACACAGAATGGAGAGACTGTTTTGAGTAATAGTTACAGGCTGACCAAATTTGGGGCATAAGGTTGAAAACAACCTTAGGGTTAAAAAAAGCACTCTAGATTTTCTTTTCAAACAGTGGCAGACATTCTGTAGCTGTATTGTTGAAGGAAATGTAGGTCATTCATAGTTTTTATTAGGGATACACAGATAACAATCAGCAGCAAGGCTATCCCCTATGACTAGGGCTACAGAAGGCTGCTAGTAAACTGAATAGAATAAGCTTCACTAAAATAGCTGAGGAAAGTCTATTTGAAAGATAATGATTTTGCTCAAAATTGCTACTTGACTTCATAGGTGAAAACAGTGCTCTCTGATTTAAGATTGCTCAAAGGAAAAAAACTGTCTGTGTATATTTATTTGCCTCTGAATCATTACTTTCCTGTGGTGTTGGGTCAAACTATAAATCAGAACTCAGTATTTTCTTACTCTTACCACCCACAGGAATGGAGGGGACAGTTTTGTCAGCTCTCTACATGCATAAAATCACACTCAGTGGAAGGGTACTCCCAAAGGCTGGTTGGGAACAGGAAGAACTCAAATCCTGGCTCATCTTCTTATAGGGACCATTTTTACGGTCAAGTTTAATGGATTCCAACTTGAGATTTACAGTAAAAGAAATGGGAATCTGATTTTTTTTTCCTTTTTTTTTTAGATGGAGTCTCACTCTGTCACCGACGATGGAGTGCAGTGTCGTGATCTCGGCTCACTGCACCCTCTGCCTCCTGGTTCAAGTGATTCTCCTGCCTCAGCCTCCGGAGTAGCTGGGACTACAGGCATGTGCCACCACACCTGGCAGGAATCTGAACCTTACAGTCAATATTTCAGAAAGCCCAATAAGAAACATACATTTACTGGCAATGAAGTTGCAAAACTGAACTAATGGTTTTGTGTTGTTTTCATTTCTTGATAGAATTGTGCCAATCCAGTGTCATAACGCAGGTTATTTAACAATTAGCAGAAGGAGGGATTGGCATGATACAGGTCTCTTTGAGGAATACAAACAGCTAATTTAGTAGGCCAAATCTTTCTGAACACAAGGTCCCTAGAGAGAAAAACAGCTGTTGTTTAAAGGCAGGGAATCATTTACCCATTTCAATCTAATCATTTTACAGTTCAGGTGGTTAACTGAGGCTCACAGAAGTAAAGAATTTGGCCAGAGACCTTAAGTAATGGAAACAACACTCAAATCTCGCTCTAAGAGTTAAATTCTTCCCACTCTTCAAAGTTAAATTCTTCCCACTCTTCTAAGTTTTTTCCTCTAAGATCTTCCTAAGTTTTAACTTTCCCTCCACTATCATGCATACACTCATATACTAGTAACTATTATCTGTGACAATTTCTGTGGTTTGTATAAAGTGGCAGGAGGCTATGTTAAGTCACTATCAAGGAAATATCTTAATGTTAATAATAAAAACATGAGGATAAAAGAAATGGTATTTCAGTGTGAAAATTTTCATTGGGTGAATTCTAAACTGTTCAAAATAACAGTCAGAGCATGGTGAATATATTTTAAAAAATGACAGATCACTCCCCTGTGTAACAAGGTCTGCATGGCTATCCCTGGTCCCAGTTACCCCTCCATCAGAGAACCAGATGTGCCCTTTAAATTAGGGGGTTGGGCAATCAGGCAAATCCAAACTGAGGGACATTCTGCATACAACTGTCAATGGGCTATAAAAGAGTGGGGGACCATTTGAGAACAAAGGATATTTAGAAGACATGATAACTAAATGCAACAACACGTGACCCTCGACTGGATCCTAGATCAAAAGAAAATAAAACAACAACAGCTATTACAAAAAGACCAAGCTGCAAAAGACATTATTGGGACAATTGGGGAAATTTGGATATGGACTGTGTATTAGATGCTGTGGCTGTATCATTCATTGTTAAGTGTTCTGAATGTGATAGCTGTATTGTGGTTATGTAGGAGGATGTCCTTGTTCCTAGAAGATACTTACCCGTAACTGTACAGAGGGTGAAGTGATGTATGCACCTAATGGGAGTAAGGAAGGGAGAGAGGTGAAGAGAAGGGAAGTGAGGAATGAGTGAAGAGAAGAGAGAGAGGGAGGGAGAAGGAGAAATAGGAGGGAAGAGGAGATGAGAGATGTTGAGAGAAGAAAACAGGCTGAGTGAAAGAAGGCTTAAGCAAGAGCAGGCCGAGTGCAAAAACAGGCTTGTTGTACCATTCAAAAAATATGCTAAGGGGTGAAAGGTTATGTGAGTGCTCACTCAACTATTCTTTCCATTTTTCTGAAGGTTTGCAATTTCTCAAAATGAAAAGTTGGGCATAACCTAGAGTGCTAGAAAGTAATCTTGTATCTGTGCAGAGGGGAAAGAGTGAGCCCTGAAAGCCAAGGCATGGCGCAAAAGGCCTCTCTGTTGCGAGATTTGACAGTCGGCTGTCCGCCAAAGGGAAGGCAAGTCAGAGTGTCTGAGATACTTATGGGTTAAATTTCCTCCACTGGGACATTATGGCAGTTACATGATTTCTAATTAAGAAGGTAAACACCCTAACATTTATTTTAAAAAAACACTTAGTACAAACTAGTTACACATTTGTAAGAGTATAAATATTTTTGGAGTTGAAAAAGGTCAGTAAATGGTAAAATCATTCTGATTTTAACGTTCATGTACATGTGTTCACTGGTTACTGCTTTGAATTTAATTTAAGACGGCCTTTTTAATAAGCAGAAAATGTGCATTTTTATATTGTTTAAATTTAATATGGATTTTTCTTCAAAACAACACAGACATTCAGGCTACTTGTAAATGATATAAGATTTTTTGCTAATGAGGCATTATGTAGAACATATGCAAAAATCACAACTCACTCTCCCAAAATAGACCACAACAACAGGAAAAAACATGATTTTAATAAAAAAGAGCAGCACTGGGCTTTGACTTCAAAGCAATTAAGGGCTTTGGATAACCAAAAGTTTATGTCAAGCTGATGCCAAACCAAACTGGTCTATTAAACACATACTATGAAGAGTTTCTGTAATATTCTATGAAAAGGCTCTTTGCCATAAATATCAAGCACTGCCACTCTGAAGATTACAACTACGTTAGGTTCATGTTTGAGAACAAGGAGTCCAACATCCAGATCAGACTTCTAGAATTTCAAATCTGAAATAATGTATCCGTGAAAGAAAAGTTTAAATATGTTTCCCATTTTGTGATTTTTCTCTACAGTAAATTATACCAAGTTTTATATTCTCCCTAACATTTTTTTCAATAGTTTTCCATTAGTCTCAAAAAAATTGCTGTTACATATAAAATTATAAGCTATGTGTAAACATTTAAAAAAGGCATTGAACATCCTTATTTTAAGCTATTTCCTCAATTTCAACAACTGTATTTCAAGCAACAATATGCTATTCACTATAGGTATCTTTCCTTCTAAGCAAATAACATGTAAATTTTCAATTTTATAAGATCAAGTGAGGTAGGGTACACACTGATTTATTTCTCTGGTCTCTGCAATAAAAGTTCCTTTGCCTGTAATAGCCATTTTGTCTCTGCTTTAATTCTTGATGTGACAAAAATAGACTGCTACAGAGTAAATAATATAGCCCCCTAAGGAGGGACTTACCTCTTCTATGTATACATGTTGGTGTCTCTTGTTGGTAATATTTATAGTAGGAAAGTATGTACCCTTGTCTATCACTCTATTTCTTCTGTTGCTCTAGTTTCAGGATTGAAGGACTTTTGGGTTTCCCTTTCAGTTAACACTAGCTCCTAAATGATTACATCCCTTTGGAAAAGGGAATGGCCAATACAGTGTCCACCTTACACTAAACTTGAGAAATGTAACAGGGAAAGCAATCCTTGATAACCTTGTACTCAGTGGTTCAGTAAAGATGGGGACTGCCCCAAGCTTGAGCTTGGCCCCTATATGAATTTTTATATTCAGACAATGTCTTAAACATGGCTGTTGGCATTTACTAAGATCACCATATTCAGTGTTGAGAGGTCTGGTCCTTTAGCACTGTTTCTCACAAGGAACCATTCTTGGTTTTTAAAGTAGGCCAAATCTAAATCTTCTTCCTACAGAAATATGAATAACTCATAGGTATTCAAGCTTATGCTTTAGCCAGAGTTCAAATTATATCCCCTAATTTAAATATGATTCTCAAAAATATTCATGTTTCTTTTGTCTTGCACTTAGAAGGGTATATAATGTCACTAGACATATAGGATTTCTCATATAATTTAATTTTACACATAGTTTTTTAGGAATAGAATTTTTAGAGATAACACTAATCTGATAAATCTATGAAATATAAAGCTTCTTATATATTTTTAGCCCACTTTTTTTTTAACAAGTCTGATATTAAGCATCCTTTCTTAGCTTCTTCATACATTACCACATAAGTTTAGTTTGTTAAAAGATGAATAAACTCTGAATCTGAAATGAAAAGCCAGAAAATCTTACTTGGTTTTTCTAATAAGAACCTAGGCATACAAGTATGATATCAAACTTGTTGGAAAGGAGAAAAGTAAGTACAGCAACTAGGTCTGGTTTAAAAAAAAAATCCAGGGAAATAAAAGAGACATAATAACCAAATGCTATGTGTAGAACTTATTTGGATTCCAATTCAAATGAACAGTAGAAGGACATCTTCACAGAAGTTTGAATATAAACCAGTTATTAGACGATATCAAAGAACTACTGTGATTTTTGTTAGGTGTGATAATGGCATGGTAGGTATGTTTTTAAAAATTCCTTTTCAGACAGAAATAGAGGTTGAAGTATTTATCAGTGAGGTGACATGATATCTGGCTGGGGATAATTCGAAAAATAAATGTGAGGGGATAGATGAAACAAGATTGGTAAGATGTTAATAGTTGTTAAAGCTGAGTGATGTGTATGTGGGGGTTCAATATACTATTCTCTACTTTTGAGTACACTTAGTTCAAAAAAAAAAAAAAGAAAAAAATCCAGAAAGGGAAAAAATAATTCAAGAAAGAATATTTAAAAAGATAAAGTATTGTTGAAAGCACAATGTCAAAGCAGAAAATGAATGAACAGGTACTAGGAACCAAAAAATGGCAAAGAAGAATGGGAAATAAAATATCGTACATTATAAAATGTCAGAGATGACAAAAACAAGCAATCCCTATTTAATAAGTGGTGCTGGAAGAACTGGCTAGCCATATGCAGAAAATTGAAAACGGGCCCCTTTCTTACAACTTATACAAAAATCAACTCAAGATGGATTTAAGGATTTAAATGTAAAACCCGAAACTACAAAAACTCTAGAAGAAAACCTAGGTGATATCCAGTTAGAATGGTGATCACTAAAAATTCAGGAAACAACAGATGCTGGAGAGGATGTGGAGAAATAGGAACACTTTTACACTGTTGGTGGGACTGGAAACTAGTTCAACCATTGTGGAAGTCAGTGTGGCAATTCCTCAGGGATCTAGAACTAGAAATACCATTTGACCCAGCCATCCCATTACTGGGTATATACCCAAAGGATTATAAATCATGCTGCTATAAAGACACATGCACACGTATGTTTATTGTGGCACTATTCACAATAGCAAAGACTTGGAATCAACCCAAATGTCCAACAATGATAGACTGGATTAAGAAAATGTGGCACATATACACCATGGAATACTATGCAGCCTTAAAAAATGATGAGTTCATGTCCTTTGTAGGGACATGGATGAAGTTGGAAACCATCATTCTCAGCAAACTATCGCAAGGACAAAAAACCAAACACCGCATGTTCTCACTCATAGGTGGGAATTGAACAATGAGAACACATGGACACAGGAAGGGGAACATGACACACCAGGGACTGTTATGGGTGGGGGTTGGGGGGAGGGATAACATTAGGAGATATACCTAATGCTAAATGACGAGTTAATGGGTGCAGCACACCAACATCGCACATGTATACAATGTAACAAACCTGCACGTTGTGCACATGTACCCTAAAACTTAAAGTATAATAATAATAAAATTAAAAAAAAAAAAGAAAACCTAGGTGATATCATTCAGCATATAGGCATGGGCAAAGTTTTCACAACGAAGATGCCAAAAGCAATTGCAGCAAAAGCAAAATTGACAAATGGGATCTAATTAAACTAAAGAGTTTCTGCACAGCAAAAGAAACTATGAACAGAGTAAACAGACAACCTATAGAATGGGAGAAAATTTCTGCAATCTATCCATCTGACAAAGGTATAATATCCAGCATCTATAAGGAACTTAAACAAATTTACAAGAAAAAAAAGCCAAACAACCCCATTACAAAGTGGGCAAAGGACATGAACAGACACTTCTCAAAAGAAGACATCATGTGGCCAAAAAAACATAAAAAAAAAGCTCAACATCACTGATCATTAGAGAAATGCAAGCCAAAACCACAATGAGATACCATCTCACACCAGTGAGACTGGCGAGTCAAAAAACAACAGATGTTGGTAAGGTTATGGAGAAAAAGGAACACTTTTACACTGTTGGTGGGAGTGTAATTTGGTTCAACCATTGTGTAAGACTGTGTGGTGATTCCGCAAAGACCTACAGGCAGAAATACCATTCGACAAGGAAATCCCATTACTGGGTATATACCTAAAGGAATATAAATCATTCTATTATAAAGACACATGCACACGTATGTTCATTGAGTACCAGTCACAATAGCAAAGACATGAAATTGACCTAAATGCCCATCAATGATAGGCTAGATAAAGATAATGTGGTACATACATACCATGGAATACTATGCAGCCATAAAAAGGAATGAGATCATGACCTTTGCAGGGACATGGATGGAGCCAGAGGCCACTATCCTTCACAAACTAATGCAGAAACAGAAAACCAAACACTGCGTGTTCTCACTTTAAGTGAGAGCTAAATGATAAGAACACATGGACACATAGGGTGGGGGGAACAACACACACTGGGGCCTGTCGGAGGGTGAGGGGTGGGAGGAGGGAAAGCATCAGGAAGAACAGCTAGTGGACGCTGGGTTTAATATCTGGGTGACGGGATTATCTGTGCAGCAAACCACCATGGTACACATTTATCTATGTAACAAACCTACACATCCTGTACATGTACCCCTGAACTTAAAAGTTGGAAATTATAACAAAAAAAGTTTTTTAATGTCATAGATGAAAAGGCAGCAAGGAGACTATCTACAGGACCAACTGTAATCTTATCACAGCCAACAGATTGCAATCCAAACTTGGAATATTAGGGATCTTTTTGGGATTACAAACTGGTACCATATTATGGAATTTACTATCTTTTAAGGTTGAAAAAAGTAATGCTGGACTTATGTACAAGATATGCCAACAGTTGAGTTCTTGTCACCCATATTTCTCTCAGTAGTTATAATCAAATGGTATCAGAACTTCCTGCAATCTTGGCAAATGGGGTAAATGAACATAGAAAACAAGATGAGGGTGATTTCCACGCATCAGAAGCTGCTTAAAAGCACAGCAGGTTAGGGAAAACTGTCTTTAGACTAGAGTTCTTGACAGCAGTTAGTAGGTCGAGCATAGGCTTATATGAAGAATGTTAAGTAAAAACATGATTTTTAAATAGACTAGATAAACTTATCCTTTTATGGCACATGATAAAGTATTTTAAACTAATTTTGACCTTATCAAAGTGATATTTCTGTTTTAACATACCTTTGATCTGTAGCTTGCTGTTCTCGAAGCTGAAGAAGAGATAACTCAATTTCATTTTCTTTTCTCCTCAACTGAGTTTTCAGGATCTCAGCCAAGTGCTCTAACTCCTCTATCTGGCCTCTTTGTGACTGAATAACGTTTTCTCTGAAATAAAGAGCCTCTGTAAGAACTTGTAGTTTGAGGAAAATTTTTCAATAGTTAAGATCAGTGCAAAGAAAGTTCTTCATGAAAAAGAGCAAGCAGAAGTTAAAAAATTTAGCTTAAGTGCCTCTGCACACAGTGAAATAGTAGCAGATTAAATGTGATGACTTGGAAATACATACGGAACAATGCAAGATACTGCTTTTTATAAGATAATGTCCTAGGCAATGGATTGGACTTTGGTTTGATTCAATTGAGTAAGTATTTATTGTGGAGTACACCTACTATGTATGCCACAATCTGGTCTTCAGAATATTTATATGTCTTTGTTCTTTCATATATGCACATCTGCTTATAACACCCAAATTAACACTTCAGAGAGAGAGGGCAGGAAATTTGCCAAATATAACTTAGTGGTCTCTGGCATGCATTTATCTCTATCATGTCTGGCAGCATCACACTGTAATGAGTCTCAGGAACCGGTATAAACGTTGGCTTTTCAGGTGATCATCAGGTAACAAGGTTATGTCTAGTCTTTTATTTTCCTGCAGGCTAATCATTACTGTAGCTGCTATTTAAAATATTCAAAAGGAAACATTTGAAGACCATATTATTCTTAAGCAACTATCTTAAGTATGATACTGTGCGCCATGTTTTCTTTTCTCATGAAGTATTGTTACTTTTTGATGATCCAGGTGAAGGCTTAAAGTGGAACCTTACCTTCATTTGTGTAACTCACAGACACTGAAACCATGAGGCTTGGATTAACTAGAAAAGTAAGCTAAATGTGGCAGAAGTAACTTTTTTGAAACCATATGATGAAGAATGCAGTGCCATAGAATCATACGAAAACAAAATCTGAAATCCATATGTATCTGATAACTCCAAACTTTTATGCCACTCCCCAATTCTTTATTTATTTTTTTTAACCAAGAAAAGGGCTAATTGATTCAGGATCTAAAAAAATTACCTGTGATTTTCTGGGAATAAAAATGTTGCCTCTAAATCTTACACTATTCTAACTGACTGGACTTTATGCCATTCCTCTGAGGGTCAAATTATAATAAAGAAGACTATTACATAAATCCTTCCATTGAGGCAGCTGGATAAGTTCTTCATTTTCCTTTTTCTGAGAACATGTTATATAACATCTGTTGTTACCCTACAGAACATAGCTGTATTTCAGTGGAGCAAACTGTTTACATATAAATAAAGGAAAGGGAAGGATAAAAAAAAAAGACATTATCAATAACCAAAGTTCTCAAATTACCACAAAAAAGAACACATACAAATTTCTTATTTCTCCTCTGGCTTCTTCAAGTAAACTGTTGCCATATTTTGTAAACATGGGATGTGGAGTTTCTGCTACATCTGCATCTTGGAATTTTATACCTAAAAACAAAGTAATAAAATATGATTACAGAATTGAAGTTAGAAAAGAAGGATCTTTGATTTGCTATAATAAGGATATTTATAATAAAATCTCTTAAGTATTAAGAGGTATGTGTTTTATAGTACACAGAATTATAAATACACTGCCAAAGGGAATATGTGATCTCAGCCACCAGTAGGCATTAAATAAAACACAGCAGCAAGTATTGCTCATTTTACAAATCTACTGTAGAAATCAAATTACCTAGAAATAATTTTATTCAACTTAAGATTTAGACTCCTGCAGTAATTTCTGAAATAAATCAGTCTTCTATTCAAGTTTTAACAATGTAAATAGGTTATAAAAACCTGATTTTTTCCCCAGTGTTTGTGATAAGGGTTTTTTAAATTTTTAAATTATTCATATTCCTTGCCCTTAAATGTTTAAGTAAAAATGTTTTCTGTATTTTGATTTATTCCACCCCAATAACAAAATCCCTATTTATGAAAAGGTACTTTGAGAATGGATCATCGCAAGAATTCCTTTAAATAAAACATTTCCCTGCTGCACTTAAAATATAATTTTTCTTATAGAAATCTGTAGAATTTTACAAAGACAGTCCCATTGTTTAAAATAAGGCATATTCTTAATTATGTGAGTTATTTTACATTTATAGAATAACTAAATATTAGAGTTTAAGGTAGATAAAGCATCACAGATGATTAAGGTTTTTAAATGGAGAACAAAACAACAAATTTATTCCTTTAGAAAAGTTAACTTTTTAAACGTGAGATTTCATTGCTCTGCATATTCTCAGTAAAGAGAAAATTTAAATAAAGAAAAAAGAGAATTTTAACTAGAACAATGGAACTATTACTCGCTCTTTCCAAAGTAGTCAATATCTATTGCTGTAATCCAGAAGAATAGAAAAGGCTCTGCCTAAAACATTAAAATAGTTTACTGTGTTAGAATTTGCCAATTGTATTATTTTGGCAGTAATGCTAATTCTTACGCTTTTCCTACATATACCATGAAAAAATTCAACATTACTAGTGGAAATAAAAAATAATCAAAACATATCTTAAAACTTACAGTCTCATGGTGATTTGCCAATGGCTATATATATATATATGTTATATATATGTTATATATATATATAAAACCTTTTAAAGATTGATACATAATATTTGTACATATCACTGGGGTACATGTGGTATTTTGATGCATGCATAC
This sequence comes from Homo sapiens, assembly GCF_000001405.40. NCBI lineage: Eukaryota > Metazoa > Chordata > Mammalia > Primates > Hominidae > Homo > Homo sapiens. The sequence goes on from NC_000016.10 coordinate 53,689,179, forward strand.
AATGTGTAATGATCCAATCAGGGTATTTAGGATATCCATCACCTTGACCATTTATCATTTGTGTTGGGAATATTTCAAATCTCTTCTGGATATTTTTAAATATTCAGTATGCTGTTGTTGCCTATACAGTCTACTGTGCTATAAAACACTAGAACTTTTTCTTATTTTTTCTATCTAACTGTATCTATGTGCCCATTAACCAACCTCCTTTCATCCTCCCCAGCGCCCCATACTCTTCCCAGCCTCTAGTAACTATCATTCTACTCTCTACCAATGGTTACATTTCAAAACCTTTGCTTTACAAAAATCTTTGTTCCGTTGTTTCCTCATAATAAGTATTGTTTCTATATTACATTGATCACACATTTAGCCAGTGCTTTCCATCCTTTATCCTGACAAGGCACAAACAGAAAACAGTAGTATTTGTATAGCACCTTGATGGTAAAGGTTGCTTGTGGCCAGAGAGGGGTTTTAGGGTTCTTAGCCAGCCATCCCAGGCTGAGATATTTTCCTGACAAGTCTCGCCTGTCTCAGCCTCAAAGGTAGTCCTGGAGAGCCTGTTAAAGTGTCAGTTTTGGTAATGATGCTTCAGGTTTACTCATAAAGACGGATTAAGAAAGTATTCATCACTACTTAATGCTTTGTGTCACTTCCATGTCCTGAACTCTATCCTGAACAGTGAGAAAGGTCTGAATCACCAAGAGAGTACAAATGTAAGGAGAAATTAAAGTATGTAGTCATGTTTTTAAGAGTCTGCTGATCTGTGGCTCTTAATTTCGCTATAGGGAGAAACTTCCAGCAAACTCTCCTGTCTGAACAGCAATTTATAGCACTAGATTAGCTTGCCATTTTAATTAACATTGACAATATTATGATTTTATCAAAGAGAAAGTCAAAACTTATTTTTCTCTTCCTAAAGACACTTAAAAGCATGAATAATACAGAAACAAAACTTTTTTTGTGTTAAATGATCTAATTAGACTTCAGTTTAGATTTAATGTAAAATCTGGGCATTATAGACTTATTTATTTATTTTTGAGACTTAGTCTCCTCTGTCGCCCAGGTTGGAGTGCAATGGTGCAATCTTGGCTCACTGCAAACTCCGCCTCCTGGGTTCAAGTGATTCTCCTGCCTCGGCTTCCCAAGTAGCTGGGATTACAGGTGCGTGCCACCAAGCCCAGCTAATTTTTTGTATTTTTAGTAGAGATGGGGTTTCACCGTGTTGGCCAGGATGGTCTCCATCTCCTGACCTTGTGATCCACCTGCCTTGACCTCCCAAAGTGCTGGGATTATAGGCGTGAGTCACTGCGCCCAGCCTAGACTCACTTATTTTTAGAGACTGTGTCTCACTACGTCGCCCAGGCTAGACTCAAACTCCTGGGCTCAAGTAATCTTCCCACCTCAGCTTCTCGAGGACTTTAGGTGTACACCATTGTGCCTAGCTTGAACATTATTTTTATTTAGTATAAAAGATCTTGCAGACTTTAGAGATCATCTTGCCCAGTTCCAGTTCCAGATGGCAAAACTAAGGTTCAGAGAGGATAGGTCACTTTAAAGGTAAAATATATTATTGTGGGAGCCACCATCTCCTGATCTCTTATCTAAGCTGGATTATTACCACTCCATTTTATAGATGGGGAAAATGAGGCTGAGGTCAGTATTATCTTCCATGTAAAACAGTTACTCAGTGGCAGAATGTACTTTCTAATTTATAATTCATTATGCTTACTTTAGTTGTATTCAGAGTCTACTGCCAATCTCACATAGCTAGGAGTAGCCAAGCCCTTTCATCCTGCAGCTGCCTCCTGCCTGTGTGGAGGCCTTATTGACTTCAAAGGAACTCTATCTAGGGAAAAGATAGTGCTAACATTTTGGCTTCAAGAGCGAACTACAACAAATTTTTCTCCCTTTCTGTTCATAGTGGTTTTTCGTTTTTTTTTTTTTAATTCCTCAAAGAATTGAAACTAAAGTTTTACATGCTACTTTACATCCCTAAAAATGTTTGGTCTTTATGTAAAGTATAGTCTAAACAAAAACCAATTAGAGCTAAAACCTAATTTCCTTTCCTACTAGTTGAAATTTTAAAAACGTTACTTAAGATATTTATTGAATTGTGGTTCCATTATAATAAAGTTTCTCTGTGGGTGAAGAGAATTGAAAATTTTTATTAGAAATATTTATGTTCTATATTGAGTCTTGTCTACACAATTTAATTACTTTGCAACTTGGGTACATTTTAGGTTATTAATTTTTAAAGTGAACAAAGTGATTGGCCTATGATCATTTTTAGAGATGGAAGAGACCTTTATCCTTACTTGTTTCAATCCTTTTACTTTACATGTAAAGAAAACTCAGGGTCAGATTGATTAGGAGACTTGTCTAAGGTCACCAGCCAGTAAGTGTAGAAATAAGGACCCAACTTTTTAAACCCCTGGTTACATGCACATGCCATGTCATGCTACCGCCATCCAATGAGAAAGATTTCAACACTTTTGCAAATTTCGAAAAGGTCTTTGGATGAAGAACTTAAATGTGATCATTCATTACAGTAAATGTGGTCATATGTAAGCAAACTAGCTAGTTTCCCCACCTGCCTGAGTACAGTGGGTTTAACCAACCCAAACGCAATTCAACTCATTTTACTTAGTTTCACACATCTCTTACATTAAGGTTATGTGGAATGTTTTTACTAAACAAATTTGAGACTGATCTAGTGATTCTTAAATAATCTTCACTGACAATATTATTTTATCAAAGTAAAAAATTATTTTTCTCTTCCTAAAGACACTTAAAAGCATGCGTAATACAGAAGTAAAACTTTGTGTTTTTTTTGTGTTAAACAATCTAATAAGACTTCAGTTTAGATTTAACGTAAGCTTTGTTTTACCTTTCCTGGGGCATTCCTGTAAACCAGCATTTTCATTTGCTTTTCTACGCCCAGTGTTAATACGAGATTGTACATTATTGTATGGAGTTTGCCTGTAACCCTGGGTTTGAAGTTGCTGTTTGGCTGAAATCAGTCTGTTTTTGAGGGTTTCATTTTGTTTTTCAAGCTCATGAACTTTCTCTTGCAGCTGCTCAATCATTTCTTCCATTTCCACATCTCGTCCCAGCCGCTTGGGGCCGCCACCAACCCGCTCATATCTTTTCTTGTCATTAACTAGCCGTATTAACTTGGTGGCCATTCTGGGGAAATAATAAAAAGATGAAAAGGAATGTGAGAAGTCAGCATAAAATCCATTCTGTTGAAAGGAACATAATCACTGTGAAGACTTCAGTGCAGAACCTGAATAATAAATTTCAGGTTTTGATGTAACTATTACTGCCTGTGAAGAATCCTTTGATGATAATTGAAACCACTGGGCAACAATCTGCTTTATAGCACTGACAAATAACAGTTTCCTAAGGCTTATCATTTAAGGTTAGTAAAGAGAGGACACATATTTACTCCATATGTTCCTGAAACGCAATTTTTAACGCATGACCTTATATAGGAATGCTGTACGCACTTAAGTGTAGTTACAGATTGTGGATGTGGTGGGTTATATCTGCAATCCACAGTAAGTTAAAACTTTTGAAAAGTGTGTTAAGACTGTGCAGCATTTAGGTAATATATTGTTTTCAGTTTCTCCAGGATTAAGACACACTATAAATATAAAAATGTTAGAATGCATAAATGCACACATATAAAGCCCAATGAAAAATTCAAAAGAAACCAAAATGCACCAATAAATGTTGCTTAGTGCTCAAGAAACACTTGTGTTTAATGGTAAAAAATAATTAGATGCAAAAGTATCATTTTAATGCTATCTTTAAATTTGGACATAAATTGTGCTTTTGACATCTCAGGAGTTTATACCTTTGATTCTTTTAAGTTTTGATAAAAACTGGTTAGAAAGAACAAAAGACAGAAAGGGCACATGGGGGTGATGTAATATACACGTACGGAAAACATGCCTGACAGTGAATGGAAAAATCTTGGCAGGACAAGAAAGAAAAGGTGGCTTTGATGAGAGACACAAGTTCAAGACTTTACAAAATTGGTCGCACATCTTCAATAGCTGATTCTAGTTTATAGTGAATCTATTTTTATAAAGACCCAGACAGGAGATTGAAAATAAAAACACACTTCATTTTTCTTTAAATGGGTTTTGCTTTATTTTAGCGTGGTTATGGACAGAAGCTTTTACTTAAGGGAACAAAAGTGAAATAAAAAAACCTTTAATAGCTTTGGGATGTCATAGAACAACCTTTTTTCTGCCCTAAGCAGAGTCCGCTGTAAATGCGGTAGTAATACATGTCTATCCACACTCTGGCTACTCGGCCTACAGCATGTGGCATCAGGGAGAGCTATGCATAACATAATCAGTTAAGATTGTTTTCTCTTTCCCTTGAGGCACATCCATTAAGCATGCTTTATAAAGGATACAGGATAATAAAAACCAAGATCCAAGAGTACCACAAACACTCTAGTAAAATAATCAATGGATTAGTTCCTTTTCCACCTAATTCCGAGAATGATATATCACTGGGAAATTTGGCCAGGTATCACAGTCCAAGAGGGCCACACACTCTACCTGGCCCTTTAATGAGTTTAGGGTCCTAAGCCCCACCCAATGGCCTGTGCACAAAAGTAAGGTTGTCATATGAATGAGACGTCAACCTAAATATCTGAATTTTCTGTTACAGAGAGACTTTCACACAGAGATGTAGATTACATTCAAAAGAAAGACACAGATTTAATATAAAAAGGCAGTTAACACCCAGGTAAAAATAAATGACCCTAATTTTTAAGGCAGGGTATCTTTAAATTCTTCAAATGATATTCAAATAAACTTTGTCAAGAAACATGATTGCATCTGTTTGTCTCGTAATAGCCATACATTCCATTTGCTGGATTTGATTATTTTATCATATTAATGAATCATACGTGATCTGGCAAAGTCTGAGTGCTTATTTAAAAAGGTAGTTTTGGCTAGACGAGGTGGCTCATGGCTGTAATCCCAACACTTTGGGAGGCCAAGGCAGACGGATCACCTGAGGTCTGGAGTTCATTTGAGACCAGCCTGGCCAACATGGTGAAACCCCGTCTCTACTAAAACATAAAAATTAGCCAGGTATGGTGGCAGGCGCCTGTGATCCCAGCTACTCGGGAGGCTGAGGCAGGAGAATCACTTGAACCCGGGAGGCGAAGGTTGCAGTGAGCCGAGATCTTACCACTGCACTCCAGCCTGGGCAACAAAGACTTCCTCTCAAAAAAAAAAAAAAAAAAAATTAAAAAATAAAAAGGTAGTTTATAAAATCTACATTTATAGAAAATAAACTATTTACTTTTTTGTTTTGTTTTGTTTTTTAGACAGAGTTTCGCTCTTATTGCCCAAGCTCAGTCCAATGGCGCGATCTTGGCTCTGCAACCTCTGCCTCCCGGGTTCAAGCAATTTTCCTGCCTCAACCTCCGAGTAGCTAGGATTACAGGCTTGTGCCACCATGCCCAGCTAATTTTTTGTATTTTTAGTAGAAATGGGGTTTCATCATGTTAGCCAGGCTGGTCTTGAACTCCTGACCTCAAGTGATCCGCCCGCCTCAGCCTCCCAAAGTGCTGGGATTACAGGCGTGAGCCACTGTGCCTGGCCTATTTACTTCTAAAAGATAAATTTAAAGACAGTTCTACCCATGTATCTAGGTCACAGTCAGTGGTGTGAGATCGAGAGGCATTTAGAGCTTTTGGGTCATAGTGTTCATTGGATCATTATTCTCGTAGCTAAAGTAAAACGAACTTTCAGGAGGTTAAATGGCTTGAACATACATACCACAGGCTAGTGGCAGAGAGATAACAGAATGCATACATACAACTTGATTCCTAGCTCAGTCCTTTTCCCATTAAACTACATGGCTCATTATTCAGTTGTTTTTTATTTTCTGGCTATGACAAATTACTAATGAGGTCAAGGATGTGAATTCGATTCTTTTACTGACCAATTAGGCTTACAAAGAAAAAAATTGTTAGGTGGTCATAGCAGACTACATGCCTCATTCTGACTGGCTGATGTGTGTGGGATAATGGTCAGAAAAGGAATCAGGCAAGTGAGTCACAAATCTTGAAAACAGCCATCATCATGACTAAAACCCAACTCAAAGTAAAAGGCCTGCACATAGCATGCCAGTGGGTTGTTGAAGTCCACAGAGTAGAAACTGAACTGGAACCACCTCCTTAGGATGGATTCTAAGCAGAAAAACCCTATTTTCATTCTTCAATGGTTGTCTCACCTTTTCTTTGAACCTAGAACATAAATATGAATACAGACCTGCTCATGATTACACATCTGAACACACTTTGTTTTTAATGCCTTCCCCTCAGAAAATAGGCACAGCATTTCTGAATAAAAAAGAATGAAAGAGTATCTACTCTTAAGAAATCATTTTTGCCAAGATTTTTTGCACATAAATCAAAAGTGACAATACTGTTTCTTCAGAAACAGTAGAGACTCTTTGAAATCAATATAGAATCTAGTATAACCCAAGCAAAGTTAAATATGTTCCAGAGACTGAAGTGATGTTTTCATTAGTAAACCCCAAATCTTAAGGGAATGTGCATTCTAACAAGTTAGAATAGTTAGTTACTTTTTAAAACTTTCATTTTAAAATCAAGACATTTAAAAAACAGATGCTTTGGCCATTTGCTTATTAAACTATAAATATTAAACCAAAAGTTATTTATAGGTATGATATACTAACGGCACTCTATTAGCTTTTTTCATTTAAATAGCAAATTCAGACATAATAAACACTCATAATCTTTTTGGTTTATTATTCTAGTTTGCAAGATTTTCCATTTTTAAAAATTGTACTTATTTACATCCTGCCTTGTTCCAAACAAGATTCAAGGTGGGGTATTCAATTAAGTTTATAAAATACCATACCCTCCAAATTTTACTGAGTCAAGAAAAAAAGCTAAAAGCTTTTTATCATAACCTTTTAATTTTATCCTCCTGCTTGCGGGCATGCTGTTTAAGTAAAATGTTCTCATCATGCAAACGCAAAAATCTGTCTTCCAGTTCCTCACGACTGACACGTGACACTGCCTGGCGAGACTTCATTGTCCGTGTTGTTGAAGTTTCTGCAAAAATGCCAAGATAATTAATTGTGAGGTTACTTAAAATAGTCTCTAGAAACTCTTGATATTAATATAATCTCTGATGCACTCATCTGAGATTTTTTCCTTTGTGACCTACAGTTAAGATTGCTTTAGAAAATGTTGTACCATTGTTTACATCAATTATTTAAGGTGAGAATAAAAATCTTTGCTATTAATACTTTATATACAGTTTTAGGAATTTGAATAACAATAGTATCCATTCAAAAATGTATTCAAGTGCCGTTCTTTAAGAATATAAGATGGAATTCTGATTCAATAAAGACTTTTGAATTTACCTGCTGAATGTTGTGACAACTAAAAGAGTATCCGAAGCTTATTTTTTTACAAAGGCAAGAGTAAGAGTAATTTGGTAAACATAATATAACTAAGATATTTTTCTGTGCTATGAGTGTCTTAGAAAACAAACTATAAAAGTTGTAAGACCAAATCAAAAAACCCCTAAATTTAAAAATTTTCATTTAAAAGCTTCACAAATAATTTCTCTTTACACTACCTTATATAAATTTTAAGAACGTTTATACTCTTTAGCATGTGTTTATGATTTCTTTTTACAGACGCTTAAATTTGGTATTTTCCGAGCCAGGCTTGGTGGCTCACGCCTGTAATCTCAGCACTTTGGGGGGCTGGGGCGGGTGGATCACCTGAGGTCGGGAGTTCAAGACCAGCCTGGCCAACATGGTGAAACCCCGTCTCTACTAAAAATACGAAACTTAGCTGGGCATGGTGGCGGACACCTGTAGTCCCAGCTACTCAGGAGGCTAAGTCTGGACAATCGCCCAGGAGGCGGAGGTTGCAGTGAGCTGAGATTGTGCCACTGCACTCCAGCCTGGGTGAGAGAGCGAGACTCTGTCTCAAAAAAAAAAAAGAAAGAAAAGAAAGAAAAAAGATGACTCAATAAAAAATGAGCAAGCTGCTTGAACAGGAACATCACTGACAGAAAATTCATATGATCATTAAACATATGAAAAGTTTATCAATCTCCCTCTCCCTCTCCCTCTCCCTCTCCCCACGGTCTCCCTCTCCCCACGGTCTCCCTCTCCCTCTCCCTCTCTTTCCACGGTCTCCCTCTGATGCCAAGCCGAAGCTGGACTGTGCTGCTGCCATCTCGGCTCACTGCAACCTCCCTGCCTGATTCTCCTGCCTCAGCCTGCCGAGTGCCTGCGATTGCAGGCGCACGCCGCCACGCCTGGCTGGTTTTCGTATTTTTTTGGTGGAGACGGGGTTTCGCTGTGTTGGCCGGGCTGGTCTCCAGCTCCTGACCGCGAGTGATCCACCAGCCTCGGCCTCTGGAGGTGCCGGGATTGCAGACGGTGTCTGGTTCACTCAGTGCTCAATGGTGCCCAGGCTGGAGTGCAGTGGCGTGATCTCGGCTCGCTACAACCTCCACCTCCCAGCCGCCTGCCTTGGCCTCCCAAAGTGCCCAGAGTGCAGCCTCTGCCCGGCCGCCACCCCGTCTAGGAAGTGAGGAGCGTCTCTGCCTGGCCGCCCATCGTCTGGGATGTGAAGAGCCCCTCTGCCTGGCTGCCCAGTCTGGAAAGTGAGGAGCGTCTCTGCCCGGCCGCCATCCCATCTAGGAAGTGAGGAGCGCCTCTTCCCGGCCGCCATCCCATCTAGGAAGTGAGGAGCGTCTCTGCCCGGCCGCCCATCGTCTGAGATGTGGGGAGCGCCTTTGCCCTGCCGCCCCGTCTGGGATGTGAGGAGTGCCTCTGCCCGGCCGCAACCCTGTCTGGGAGGTGAGGAGCATCTCTGCCCAGCCACCCCATCTGAGAAGGGAGGAGACCCTCCGCCCGGCAACCGCCCCGTCTGAGAAGTGAGGAGCCCCTCCGCCCGGCAGCCGCCCCGTCTGAGAAGTGAGGAGCCCCTCCGCCCGGCAGCCACCCCGTCTGGGAAGTGAGGAGCCTCTCCGCCCGGCAGCCGACCCGTCCGGGAGGGAGGTGGGGGGTCAGCCCCCGCCAGGCCAGCCGCCCCGTCCGGGAGGGAGGTGGGGGGGTCAGCCCCCCGCCCGGCCAGCCACCCCGTCCGGGAGGGAGGTGGGGGGTCAGCCCCCCGCCCGGCCAGCCGTCCTGTCTGGGAGATGAGGGGCGCCTCTGCCCGGCCACTCCTACTGGGAAGTGAGGGGCCTCTCTGCCCGGCCAGCCGCCCCGTCCAGGAGGGAGGTTGGGGGGTCAGCCTCCCGCCCGGCCAGCCGCCCCGTCTGGGAGGGAGGTGGAGGGGTCAGCCCCCCGCCCGGCCAGCCGCCTCGTCCAGGAGGTGAGGGGCGCCTCTGCCCGGCCGCCCCTACTGGGAAGTGAGGAGCCCCTCTGCCCGGCCAGCCGCCCCGTCGGGAGGGAGGTGGGGGGGTCAGCCCCCCGCCCGGCCAGCCGCACCGCCCGGGAGGGAGGTGGGGGGGTCAGCACCCCGCCCGGCCAGCCGCCCCGTCTGGGAGGGAGGTGGGGGGGTCAGCCCCCCACCCGGCCAGCCGCCTCGTCCGGGAGGTGAGGGGCGCCTCTGCCCGGCCGCCCCTACTGGGAAGTGAGGACCCCTCTGCCCAGCCACCACCCCGTCTGGGAGGTGTGCCCAACAGCTCATTGAGAATGGGCCATGATGACAATGGTGGTTTTGTGGAATAGAAAGCGGGGAAAGGTGGGGAAAAGATTGAGAAATCGGATGGTTGCCGTGTCTGTGTGGAAAGAAGTAGACATGGGAGACTTTTCATTTTGTTCTGTACTAAGAAAAATTCTTCTGCCTTGGGATCCTGTTGATCTGTGACCTTACCCCGCAACCCTGTGCTCTCTGAAACATGTGCTGTGTCCACTCAGGGTTAAATGGATTAAGGGCAGTGCAAGATGTGCTTTGTTAAACAGATGCTTGAAGGCAGCATGCTCGTTAAGAGTCATCACCACTCCCTAATCTCAAGTACCCAGGGACACAAACACTGAGGAAGGCCTCAGGGTCCTCTGCCTAGGAAAACCAGAGACCTTTGTTCACTTGTTTATCTGCTGACCTTCCCTCCACTATTGTCCTATGACCCTGCCAAATCCCCCTCTGTGAGAAACACCCAAGAATGATCAATAAAAAAAAAAAAAAAAAAAAAAAAATTGGTATTTTCCATATCATTGTGAAGAAGGTCGATTTTCAACAATTCTCCAATAGAAACAAAGAACAACTGATAGAGACTAAGGTCCTGTGATAGGTTACTGAGCACAAGAATTGAACTTATAGAGTATCAAAACCCAATAAATCACTTTGCACACTTACAAGTTATTTGTATAATACTTGATACTCCCTGAAAGATCTGCAGAGCAAAGCTTACACATACTTTTTACTTCTAACAATAAAATCTGTGTAGCCAAAAATTAGCCGGCATGGCGGCGAACACCTGTAAACCCAGCTACATGGCAGGCTGAGGCAGGAGAATCGCTTAAATCCGGGAGGCGGAGGTTGTAGTGAGCGGAGGTCGCGCCACTGCACTCCAGCCTGGGCGACAGAGCGAGACTTCGTCTCAAAAAAAAAAAAAAAAAAAAAAATTTCTGTGTAGCCAAATTTTATCTTTTTCAATAAACAATACATTGACCACTTTTCTGGTTTTCACAGTGGCCATTTACACTGTTCTGATTGAAAAGTGTATGTAGATTCCTAAATGGAATGTATCTTAAATCCCTAGCCTTCTCAGGCTAGAGGGGGATTTTACGTTTTCTATGAGCTGTTGATAATCGATACATGCATGACAGCATAGCTGACACAATGGACACACAAAGATAAACACAGCTCTCTGTTCTAAATTGTTCTTTAAAGTAGTGCTTTTCTTTCTCAATTTGAAAGTGCTTTTTAGCTCTACAGCAACTACTAAGTGATAAAAGGATAAAGAAAACCTTTAATCCATATTAATTCGATAAAAAAGTCACTATCATGTGAGATATTCCACTTAAAAGGCAAAACACTTAAAATACGGCCTTTCCTCCCATATAAAATTTAAACACAAAGAAATGTTTTAACACTGAATGTAATTTAAACCAGGCAATTCAGTTTGGAGGCTTGATACTCTCTATGTAGTTTCTACTGATGTGAGGAATTTTAAAAAGATGATTTATGTTAATTCTTTATCAGAACAGAGGGGGGACTGTACATTTTCTATGAGCTGTTGATAACTGATGCATGTAGTAAAATACCATATGTGTTCTAAACTCTCCATCTTTTTGTTTAGTCCAATCAAGGACTATATAGTTACTTAAATGGTTTGGTTTGTATGAGTATAAGAAATACTTTAAATTAAAAGTAGTCAGTGATCAAAGTTCATAACTGTAATAAATAACAGCTGGCCATACCTTGTAACCCTCCCATTCCAAAGAGGTTTAGACCTGTATCTTTCACAGGCAAGTCTCCTGCAGTCTCATCAGTTGGACCAGACATGGCCTAGCTGTGGAAAAAAGAAAATTCAAATAAACTCTTTCCAAATTATTACATTAACTATGCAATGGAATGAACCAAATAAAACGAAAAAGGGACTAGAACTTTAATGGGCATCTTATTGTCCACATGTGCTGCTTGGAGAAGATGAAAGCTTCTATTCTAATAGTACTACTACATTCAGTCATGGAGACAGTGTTCCTTTCAACAGTGTATTTCCTATAGTTTGCTTAGGAAATGAAGTAAGATTATCATTTAAGAAATACCTCCTCTCCATCCCTTTCCTCTCCCCAGCCTCCAAAAGAAAGCAGATATCTTGGAAAAAACTCAGGTCAGGAACTTGATTCAAATGGTTGCTCTATCATTAACAAACTAGTCAAGCCACCTAAACTCTCTGAGTTTCAGTCTCTCAGTTTTAAAAATGGAGAAAATAATACCTATCTCAGAGAGTTATTCTAAGGGTAAATGGGATGAGTAAATTAAAAGCACTGATCACATGTGCCTGGGATGTCAATATTACTCAAATATTGTCTGCTTGATGTACAAATGAGTGGGCAGTTCTGTGCATTTTGTGAGTTTTGTGAAAGAGGTTTCGTTGCATAAATTTACCAACTGGGTTTGTGTTTTTTTGTGTGTGTGTCTTGCCTTTGTTGCCATGAGGCCTAGGTCTCACCCAGGGTTCAACTACTTCAACATATAGGCTCTCTAGCTAATTCTAGTATTTTTGTAGTTTCTATTCTTTACAGAAATACACCATAGTAACTCTATTTTGAGTATGGATGTGAGTGGTCCACACAATATCTAGTATGCAAAAATAAAGGATTTTATATTTTCATTTCAATCTACCTAGTAAGCTACATGCAAACTGTGAATGAAGATACTCTAAAGGGCAGAGTTCTTAAGCTCTAGGATATTGGTTCTAGAATGTAAAGACCAAGACAGTAGCAAGCTTCATTGTCTTGTTCAGCTCTGTATTCTTGGAGGCTAGCATAGAGCGTGGTGCATTCTGAGAGCAGGCATTCATTAAATAGTTGTTGAGTGAGTGAATGGAGTCCATGGGGTTTCAGGGTCTGTGAACCCAGAGATGGTTTACCAAATTTTGTATGTATATGTATATATGCAATATCTTTTAAAGAGGGTTCATAACTTTTATTACAACTCGCAAATGGTGGAGAACCATTGCATTTTGCTTTTACAGAAACAGCTAACAGACAAATCCTTGGGAGATCATCTACTTCTTTTGGAAGTACTCCTATAGAAAAGGTCAATTTTTAGGATCCTGTTGACACATAGGCCCGTGTATGAAAATGATTAGTTTTCCATGACAGAGTTAAGGTCACTTTAAAAATAATAATGATGATGATGATGATGATGGTGTTAACATTCATTGAACGCTTACTATGTGCCAGGTACTGTTCTAAGTGTTCTGTTATAGGAATGAAGTGTCTCACCATATCCTTGTGAGGCTGTTACTCAAATGATTCCTGCTTTACAAATGAGGAAGCTGAGACACAGATTAGTTAACTCACTTAAGGTGGTAGTTGAAAGTATTAATAGTTGTGTCTGGTGATATTTTTGGTTGTCACAACAAGGAAGCGGGATGCTACTGGCATCTAGTGAGTAGAGGCCATGGATGATGCTAAATATCTTACAGTGCTTAGGAGACATAATAATGAATTATCCAGCCCAAAATGTTAATAATAGTGTAGAAGCTGAAAAACCCTGCACAATGCTGCAATGCCTCTCCAACACCATCTTATGTTATCCTTCTTTGCTCACTATGCTTCACTTACATTATTCTTTACTTTCCTCGAACCCCCCATACCCTTGTCTTGCTCAAGGCCTTTGTATTAGCTGGTTCCTTAATCTTTGGAGCTCAGTTCACTTCCTCAGACAGGTTTTCCCTGACCATCCTATGTTAGAGTAGTCTTCCTTACATTTCTTCACTGTTTATTTCTTTTCTTTTCTTTTTTTTTTTTTTGAGACAGGGTCTTGCTATGTTGCCCGGGCTGGCCTTGAATTCATGGGTTCAAGTGATCCTCCCACCTCAGCCTCCCGAGTAGCTGGAACTACATGTGCGTGCCACCAAGCATGGCTTGTATCTCTTATAGCAACTGCCTCTATCTGAAGTTATCAGATAAAATTATTGTTTGTCTCCACTAAAAAAGGATAAACATCTTGAGACGGGTATTAGTCTTGTTCACAACTGTTCAGGAACAGTGCCTGGTACAGGGTGGGAACCAACATTAATATTTATTGAATGATTGGCTGTGCGTGGTGGCTCACACCTGTAATCCCAGCACTTTGCGAGGCCGAGACGGGCGGCTGACTTCAGGCCAGGAGTTCGAGACCAGCCTGGCCAACATGATGAAACCCTGTCTCTACTAAAAATACAAAAATTAGCTGGGTGTGGTGGCACACGCCTGTAATCCCAGCTACTCGGGAGGCTGAGGCAGAAGAATCGCTTGAACCTGGGAGGAGGAGTTTGCAGTAAGCTGAGGTCTTACCACTGCACTCCAGCCTGGGCAACGGAGCAAGAACCTGTCACACACACAAAAAAAAGAATAAAGAAAAAATATTTATTGAATGAATAAATGAATATCAGGTACTGAGATTAAAATGGCAAGCAAAACCCCCGCCTTTATGAAGCTAGCAAGTTATGGAGGTAATCACATGATAAACAAATAATATATAATTAAGCAAACAATAGACCACTCAGGAGGTTTAGGGTCTACCAACCAACTCCTAATCCAGGGCAAATGAGCAAACTGTGTTAGGGACCTACAACTTGCAGGATCTGGATAGAGATGGCAATTAGCAGCATCAACTCTCACCTTCATGGCTGGGATATAACATTTCAAATTGGTCCTGGACGTGGGGATAAAGGGCGGCCTGTGATTCAGGCCTGAGGATGTGGAGGTGTCTTGGGCTGGGCTGCTTTCACGCCAGCAGAACTCCAGGGCCAACTCCAGGGCCTTCTCCAGGCGGCAGAGCGGACCCTAGGACCCCGGCCCGCGCTGCAGTGGGGAGGGTCAGCAACCTCCACCCACCCTCATCCTCCCCCATCCTCCCGGGTACTCACCGTGCCACTGGCCCTGCAGCTAGCTACCGTTGCTATAGCGCCGACAGCGTGGCGGGCGGCTGGCCGAGAGGAGCACGGGAGAAACATGGCAGGCTCCCGTAGCCTCCTGGGAAATGTAGTTCTCCTTGGACTCTAGCCTGTTTGCTCGCGGGGTAGCGGACTACGCTCTTCCAGCTGTCGGACCTGGGAAATTCTCCTGTGCTAAATCCCGTGGCGCTCGCGGGTGTCGCCGCGGTGCATCCTGGGAGTTGTAGTTTTTTCTACTCAGAGGGAGAATAGCTCCAGACGGGAGCAGGACGCTGAGAGAACTACATGCAGGAGGCGGGGTCCAGGGCGAGGGATCTACGCAGCTTGCGGTGGCGAAGGCGGCTTTAGTGGCAGCATGAAGCGCACCCCGACTGCCGAGGAACGAGAGCGCGAAGCTAAGGTATGTCGGGCTCCCGGGGCCTGGAGATCTTCGTGCGCTGTGAGCAAGGATCAGGGAACCGGAAGGGCTTGGTTTGATGGCGAGCGGATGCGCGGTGTTAAACTAAGGGATGACAGGGCCTTGTCAGCAAGGGACCTGGAGATATTAGAGGGGATGTTACAAATTCGTGCTCTTCAGGATGCAGGCCGAGTCTTGTTGGATCGGCTCAAAAATGAGAAGCAAGATACCCATTTCCTTGTCCTTCTTCTGCATCTATTCCTTGGTTAAATTTGTCGCCATCCCTGTGCCTCAGTTTACCGGATTCTCAGATGACTGTGATCATACCAGCTGTGCTTTCTCATAATGGTCTCTGAGGACTGAGATCGGCTTAGATGAAATATCTGTGCAGTCAGCTGTGTTTCTTTGGAACAATTGTCTCCGTGACCGGCTGATAACAGTTTGTGTCTTTTAGCGCTGTGGATATGAATCTTTAACTACATTGCTCCTCTCTACCTTTGATGTTCAGCTTCTGGTAGTTGCCATTCCATGGGATGACCATAATAATGGCAACAGAGATTTTAAAAAGCATTTATTGTGGGTCAGGCACTGTATTAAGTGCATAATATTTAAATTATTTCATATCATTGTCACAGCAGATTGCAAGATAGATATTATACAGATGGAGTATAAATAACAGCCCAGCTTCACAGATGAAGAACTGAGGCTCAGAAGCATTGAGTGTTTTCCTTTCTCTCATTCCCAAACTCAGATCCTGTTGATTTGTCTACGTATATTGGGAATATGCCCACTTTTTTTTTTTTTCATCTCCACTACCTTGGAC
Source organism: Homo sapiens (assembly GCF_000001405.40). Classification (NCBI taxonomy): domain Eukaryota; kingdom Metazoa; phylum Chordata; class Mammalia; order Primates; family Hominidae; genus Homo; species Homo sapiens. The sequence goes on from NC_000016.10 coordinate 53,705,050, forward strand.
CAAGCTACCATTATCTTTTTAATAGACTGTTGGAATAGCCTATTGATTGGCCTACACTCACTCTACACCCTAACTTAACTCTTCTTCCACCTTCTCTCCCTTCCCTCAACTACCATTCTCTTCTGCACACCATAGAGTAAGATCTTCGTGAAATGCAAATATAATTATGTCCCTTTCCTTTCTCCTTACTCTGCCAACCACCTGTTTAAAAATATTCCATGGCTTTCTGTTGCTCTTAGGATAAAGGCAAAACTTCACATTGCCTACAAGATCCTGCATGATCTGGACCCTACCTGCTTTCACAACCCCATTGGATATGACACTCTGCTCTCTGCCTACCAGTCACTTTGGCCTTCTTAAAAGTCACTCTTCACTATACTTTATCGGGCTTCAGGGCCTTTGCACATGTCATTTGCTGCCTACTCTATGTTAGGCAAATATTGGCAGTGAATAACAGTGTTAAATAACGTAGACACAGTTCTTGCTTTCATAGAATTTCATCTTACACGTGAGTCTGTTTAGGGCAATACACCTAAGGATTTAAAATATAAAATCTGCTCTATATTGACCTGAGTTATTGCAGTATTTCGTAAGGGACCAGAAGTTTTCATGCTTGAGTCTGCATATGATGTGGATAATATATTAAAGATAAGCACAAAGAGGGCGACCCTTCTGCTTTAGTCTACACAGTGCAAAGAAACAAATGTCACCTCATGGTGTTGTGCATGATGTCTTTCTCATCTTTCAGGTTTATTTTTAAAGTATTTCATTTATTCTGTGAAGATTTGTTGAGCACCTATTATTTGCCATAAGTTGGGATTATAATTTTGGCTGAAATAGAATCACTGCACCAAAGAAGCTCTTACTCTATTGAAACCATAACCATTGCCTGTGAGGGAGTTACTAGTGTCATCCATATTTTAGAGATTTAGAAACTGAGACTTGTAGGTAAATCGTGACTTGCCCAAGGCCACTTGGTTGCTAGGTGAAACTAGTGCTCTGAGCCAGGTCTTCTGACTCCAAATTCAAGGCTTTTCCCATTTTCTGCTTGTGAAACATGTTGAATTAGTAGAGCAAATTGTCTTCCTTTTTTCTTTAAAAAATTGGCTGTTCATTTAAAATTTGTTTGCTTAATATTATTTGTTAGAACAAAGTATAAGTAGTTGTTTTAAATCTTAAATGTAAAGTGTCCAATGGCTCATGAATTATCTTCTCTTTTTCTAATCAATTTTATTGAGGTATAATTTACATACAGTCATTTGCAACCATTTTTGTGTACAATTTGATGCCTTTTGACAAATGTATATACCTGCAAAACCACCACAGTTGGCATAGCGAACATTTCTCTCCTAAGTTCCCTCTCGTTAATTTGTGGTTAGTCTGTCCCTCCACCTTGGCCCCCAAACAACCACTGATATGTTTTTTGTCTCTGTAGATGCATCTGTATTTTCTAGATTTCATATAAATGGAAGCATACAGTGTATACTTTTGGGTCTTTTTTTCATTCAGCGTAATGATTTTTTTTTCAAAATAGAGATGGTGTCTTGCTGTGTTGCCCAAGTTGGTCTGGAACTCCTGGGCTGAAGCCGTCCTCCTGCCTCTGCTACCCAAAGTACTGGGATTATAGGCGTGAGCCACTGTGCCTGGCCAGCATAATGGTTTTTGAGATTAATCCATGTTGTTGTATGTATCCATAATTTGTTCCTTTTTATCGCAAATTAGTGGCCCACTGTATGGAGATACCACATGTTGTTTATTCATTCACTTGTTGCTGGACATTAGGATTGTTTCTGGTTTTGGACTCTTATGAAAAAAGCTGTTTTTACCATTCATGTATGAGTCTTTCCATTTTCATTTCTGTCAAAAAAAGCTGCTATGACCATTCACCTAAGAGTCTTTACATTTTTATTTCTGTCGGGTAATGCCCAGGAGTAGAATTGCTTAGTTATAGGGGAGTTCTTTGTTTAACCTTATGAAGAAATTACCAGTTTTCCGAAGTGATTTGACCATTTGTTTTAGTTTCTTATGGCTGCTGCAACAAGTTACCACAAACTTGGTGGCTTAAAACAACAGAAATTTATTATCTTACAGTTCTGGAGATGAGGCATTGAAATCAAGGCATCAATAGGGCCATACTCCCTTTGAAGGACTCTAGGGGAAACTCCTTCCTTGCCTCTTCCAGCTTCTAGTGTCCCTGGTGTTCCTTGGCTTGTGGTAGCATCACTTCATAACTTCTCTGCTTCCATCTTCACATGGCCTTCTCTCTGTTTCTGTGTCTCAAATCTCTCTCTCCTTTCTGTTAAAAGGATGCCAGTCATTGGATTAGGACCCGTCCTAAATCCAGGATGATCCTGAGATCCTTAAGAGCCTCAACTTAATTACATTTGCAAGGACACTTTTTCCAAATAAGGTTACATTCACACGTGCCGGGTTTTTGGATTCGGACATATCTTTTTGGGGAACAATATTCAAATGCACTGCACCCTTTTACATTCCTACCAACTGTTAGTAGGAATGTAAAATGAGAGTTCTACTTGTTTCATATCTTTTCATCGCTTGTCAGTCTTTTACATTTTAACCATTCTAGTAGGTGTGCAGTGATATTTGATTTTAATTTGCATTTCAGTGATGACTAATGAGGTTGCATATCTCTCTTTTTGTAAATCTTTATTGAGTGAGGTATAATTTACATACCATAAAATTCACCTGTTTTCAGTGTAGGACTCAATGGTTGGTAGCATATTTGCAGAGTCGTGTAACTGTCACCACCGTCTTATTTTAGAACAGTTCCATTCCAGAAGAAACTTTGTATTCATTTGCAGTTATTTCTCAATTCTACTTCCTCCCTAGGGAACCACGAATCTACTCTGTTCTTTAGATTTGCCTTTTCTGGACATTTTTATATAGATGGACTCATACAATATGTGGTCTTCTTTCACCCAGGATGTTTTTGAGGTTCATCCATGTTGTAGCATATATTGGTACTTTGTTCCTTTTTATTACACAGTGGATAGAATTCCAGTGTCAGGCCGAGCATGGTGGCTCATGCCTGTAATCCCAGCACTTTGGGAGGCCAAGGCAGGTGGATCACCTGAGGTCAGGATAACTTAGATCAAGACCAGCCTGGCCAACATGGTGAAACCCTGTCTCTACTAAAAATACTAAAATTAGCCAGGAGTGGTGGCACATGCCTGTAATTCTAGCTACTCGGGAGGCTGAGGCATGAGAATCACCTAACCTGGAAGGCAGAGGTTGCAGAGAGCCCAGATTGTGCCACTGCATTCCAGCCTGGGTGACAGAGTGAGACTGTGTCTCAAAAAAAAAAAAAGAATTCCAGTGTCAGGATATACCATATTTTGTTTATCTGTTCACCAGTTGATGGACATTTGATTTGTTTCTACATTTTGACTATTATGGAAAATGCTACTGTGAACATTTGCACCCTAGTTTTTGTGTGGACGTGTTTTCATTCCTCTTTGGTAGATACTTAGGAGTGGAATTACAGGACTTATGGTAAATCTATGTTTAACATTTTAAGAAACTGACAAACTGTTTACTTGTGTGGCTACACCATTTTACATTTCCCATCAGCCATTTTGAGGGTTACAATTTTGTCACATCCTTGTCAACACTTGTTGTTGTCTGTCTTTTCTATTGTAGCCGTTATAGTGGGTGTGAAGTAGTATCTCATTGTGGTTTGATTTGCATTTCTCTGATGGGTAATAATGTTATGCATCTTCTCATGTGCTTATTGGACATGTGTATATCTTCTTTTGTGAAGTGTCTGTTCAAAATCTTTGCCCATTTTTTTGTTGGATTGTTTGTGTTCCTATTATTAAGTTTTATGAGTTCTTTATATTTTCTAGATATAAATCCTTTGTTTACTATGTGTGTTGCAAACATTATCTTCCATTCATCTAGGTTACTTAATAGTTTTTAAGAAAGGTCCACTTTATCAATGTTTATTTTTATGATTCATGCTTTTTGTGTCATATCTATGCAGTCTTTATCCCAAAGTCACAAAGATTTCTTTTTTGCTTTTTAAATTAAACTTTGTCATCCCCATAATGGGCACTTAGTTTTTATTTTTCTTTTCTCTTTGAAATAACTTAGATCATATTTTCTCTCTTGTGATTGCTTATGCTATGGACTTTTATGCTGTTTCCAAGTCTGGAGGGTGAATAAGAAGGTTGGACCACATAGCTTTCTACGATTAACATTTATTTAATTTGTGTTAAGCACATGAGAATACTATACGGTATTCATGCATTTTTAAAATGAACTTTTCTTCTAAGGCATATAATAGAACAGTCCAGATAAGTATTTGATGGTTTGAGTTAGAACCATGGCGTCTACTATTTCCTTACTGTAGGGATAGGGGATTCATACCCCGTGCCTCAGTTTCTCCAGTCATTAATGAGGTTAAGAATAGCTGCTTCTGTGGGTTGGTGTGAGGACCCAGTGTGATGAGGTCTAGCTACTATTCCAGGGGTAGAGTAGCATGCCCTTGATTGAGTTTGGTGGCCTGAGGGGTCCTCTGCTGGGGTGGGGCTGGCCCTATGCATTTTTTCCCAGATGTTATAATTTATTATTTTGAAATGATTTAAAACTTATTGAAGAGCAAGAGTAGAACCTAGAGCTCTCATAGACCTGTTTGTCCATATTCACAGGTTAACATCTTGCTGTGTTCACTTTATTGCTCTCTTTCTCGCCATATATATCCACATGAACAATTTTTTTAATGAACCATTGCAGAGTAAGTCGGAGACATCAGTCCTCTTTACCCCTAAATAGTTCAGCATATATTTCCTAAGAACATGGACATTCTCTTGCATACAAATATAAACACAATCAATTGTTAATTTCAGAAAAAGTTAACATTGATATAATGCTATTATTTCATCCAAAGTCCATATTCAAATTTTGCTAATTGTCCTAATAATGAATTTTATAGCATTTTTTTCCTGGTCCAGGTTCCATCTGGATTGCATATTACCTTTCATTGTCAGGTCCCTTTGGTCTCTTCTCCTTTAATCTGGTGTCCTTTCATGTCCTTTAAATTGGTTCCTCATCCTTTTTCTTTCAAGACATTGACATTTGTGATGTGTGCAAGCTATCTTTTATTTATTTATTTATTTATTTATTTAATTTTTTTGTAGAATGGCCCTGTATTCTTATTTGTCTTATGTTTCCTTATGATTAGATTCAGATTTTGCCTTTTTTTTTTTTTTTTTGAGACCAAGTCTCGCTCTGTTGCCCAGGCTGGAGTGCAGTGGCGCGATCTCAGCTCACTGCAACCTCCACCTCCCGAGTTCAAGCGATTCTTCTGCCTCAGCCTCCTGAGTAGCTCAGACTACAGACACGTGCCACCACACCCAGCTAATTTTTGTATTTTTAGTAGAGATGGGTTTCACCATGTTGGCCAGCCTGATCTCGAACTCCTGACCTCGTGATTCACCTGCCTCGGCCTCCCAAAGCGTTGGGATTACAGGCGTGAGCCACCGTGCGCAGCCCAGATTTTGCATTTTTGCATGTATATTTTTGAGGAAAGATGGGGCCTCTAGAGGTCACATATTTATAATCCACATATGCCTCCTGGCTGTAGGTAAGTTTTATTTGGCCCAAACAAACTAAAAGTTGTTTCAGAATTATTTTCTAATATTTAAAAGTTGAGGGATTTCACATAAAGATCTGGGTGTCTGACTCTCTTGAAAAACTTAAGTATCTGGTAACAGTGGGCATGCATTTTCCTAACTAGAATTGAATAGTGGCTTCCCTTTTAGGTGGGAAATGTGCTTTCCATTTTGCTGTCATCCAGTTTTGCCCCTTAAGTTACAATATAGTGGTGTAGTGTGGAGCTTTAGATGCAGACTCCTGAGATTGAATTCTGCTCCCTCATTTACTTGCGCAAGCAATTTAACTTCTCTGAGCCTCCATTTCCTCATCTATCAAATAGGAGTGATATGGTTCTGGTAGGGATTGAGATATTATATAGCACATAAAACATTGCTGGCATACAGTAAAAATAAACATTGTTATCATCATCATTATCACCATCATCACCACCACCTTCACTACTGCCTATCTGACCCCAGTAGATATATATTCTGTATGTATATATATATATATGTATTCTGATCCCAGGACGTTTATTCTGTAAACTTATGTTGAGTGTCTAGTCAAGTGGATTTTCTCAAATGGGGTTCCATTAACTTATTTCCCATGCAGCCAGAATGGTACTAGTTTTGTACCACCTTTCAGAAAATTGAGAATATAGTCACTCAAACCATTTTCTGTGTTCTGTGGTTCAGATAAGGAACCTGATTAAGTGTCGAGTAGTGTACTCAGCACCAGGGTAAAGATGGCAGACACAGTCCCATGGAACTGGCTGGCTGTCCATGGAAGGTAAGTAAGTACCAACAGCAGAGTGGTGAGTTTTATCACGGGAGGACACGGTAGCAAAGAGGATCTAACATGGCCTAGTAGTCATGGAATTCCTTCCTTAGAAGATCTGTTTAAAGGTGTATCCTTATGAGAGGCCTGGGATTCCTTACGGGGTTTTTCAGAAACATTAAAACTGTTTCATTAGTCATGGAATAAAAAGCTATGGATGTTGAAATCCAAGTTAGCTTCAAAGACTCTTATGCTGGCTTAGGTTAGATAATCTTTTAAACTATTAAAAATAGAACTAGTTTATTATGGAAATGGTTATATACCTAAGAACATTTAATAATTTTGTTTGAGTAATGTACATTTTTATCAATGAAGGAAAATATCCAGAATATGTAACCTACCGTTTTAAGTAACATGATTTAAAAACTCTTCTGCTTTTGGTGATAGTTGTCTTATCAACTTTAAATGATAAGGTTTATTGAGTTATAAAAATAATAACTTGGCCAAATGCAGTGGCTTATACCTGTAATCCCAATGCTTTGTGAGGCCAAGGTGGAGGAGGCTCACTTGAGACCAGGAGTTGGAGGTTACAGTGAGCTGTGATTATGCCACTGCACTCCAGGCTGGGCAACAGAGTGAGACCCTGTCTCTAAATAATAATAACAATAACTCAACAAAAGAAAGTTTGTTATTTATGTTTTTACTGACTGGGTATTTTTACCTTATTTTATATTTCAAATTTGGCATTTTATTGAGGTCCTGAGAAGGTTCTTTTGGAGTCTACTTTTATTATGGGCCATTCTAGATTATGTCACCAGTTTATCTAAAGTGGACACTAAATATAGGACAGTTTTGGTGTTAGGCCAAAGACCAGGGGACTTGAAAAATGAAAACCTCACCTGACAGATTCTACTCTGTTTTTTTTCCTTCTTCCCGAAATCCATTATTATTTTTTGCTTAATCTCTCCTTCAATATATGGGTAAGCCTTTAATCACTGTTTCGGAGGTTTAGTTGACTTCTGTAAATAGAAGAAGAGTTAGTGTATTTGATCATAGTTTCCAAACCACTTTTAATACTGTACCTTACTTGAAAATTAACCAGCTAAACTATCGAGTAACAGTGAGTTCTTGTTGCTTTCTGTTATTTCCAGGCTGTTTCCTAACCCTCCTAGTACTGGTTTTGAAAACTAAATTAGCCATTCAAAAAAACTCTTAGACACTTTGAGCAAACAGTAGCTTCCTTGAAGATAGCATTTGTGTCTAATTCATCTTTTCATCTCTCCATTGTACCTGGCAGGATGTCTTCCACAAAGGAGACATTAATAAGTATCTGGTGAAGAAAGATTAAATGGTTGAGAGAGTCCAGCATCTGTTATGTGATATATGTGACCCTTCATAATTATGATTCTGGATCCTTGGCTGCTAATGAGATTTACTGTGGCTGAGTTTAGTGATACAGATTTTGGCATGTAGATGATAGTCTCCAAAAAAGTAGAGATCATGTTTTTTTTTTTTTTTCCGTTTTGTCATTCACCATTTTATCCCTAGCCCTTAAGATTTTGCCAGACACATGGTAGATATTCCATACTTGTCAAACAATGAATGAATGAATTCCCAAGAGCATCACTTGTTATTGGTCAGTAGACTTTCTAATAGTGAGAGATGGAACCGGAATTTGAAAGAAGTAATGGAAAATGGTTAAGTACCTTATGAATTTTAAATTAATATACCATAGGTGTGGGCATTAATTTTGAGAAACAAGACTCTTCTGTTCAACACATACTTTAGCAACTGTCAACACTTGTTTTCAAGTGTTCTCTTCCAATTTTAAAATGCCAGTTTACCTTTCAGATTTAGAGTATTTTGTTGTTGTTAGTTTATTATGGCAGTTTTCTTGCTAAAGTTATATTTAAAGTGTGACTTTCTAACTTCTAGAGGAGAGGAACTTTTGTTAAGGTGGTACTTTTGGAACCTTAATGAAAAACACACCTTAGAGAAGGTGAATTTAGAGTTCTGCTAAGCACATTCATTTACTCTTCTATTATAAACTGGTTTTGTAATATTTTATAAAATTGTCTCACTGGTTGATTTCACAATGTAAACTGGGAGGATTCTTAGGATTCCTTGGGTTGGATTAGAACAGGTTCAAGAGATGAAGATTTGTGTTGGTAGGGGCTTGTTTCCAAACGTTTGTCCTTGGCATGCTCTTTGTTAAGCCATCACATGTTTGAAAGTTAAACCTTGAATTGGTGCCATGGTTTGCATTTAAAAAAATGTATTTTATTATGGTAAGAACACAACATAAGATCTACTCTCTTACCACATTTTTAAGTGTACAATAAAGTATTGTAAACTGTAGGTACAATGTTGTATAGCAGATCTCTGGCACTGATTCATCTTGTATAATTGAAACTTTATGCCGCTTGATTAGCTCTTTCCCATCCTCCCAGCCCTGGTCATCATCTTTCTACTCTCTGATTCTATGAGTTTGACTATTAGACGTACATTTTTGTTTTTGCTATAAGCATCTGTCCTGTTGCTATGCTGATCATTTATTTACTCTGTAGTTTTGGAAATGACCTGCTTACAAGATAACCATGCCTCCCCTTATGTTAAAAAACTGCCATATGGATAAAGGGCAGTTAAGACCTTTACAACTGGTAGAAACCAAGTAGAAAATTCAGTTTGAAGGACCAAATTATGTTGCAGCTGCTCTGAGGAGGAGATTTGTTGCCAGAGCATGAGTGTTTTCATAATTGTTTGTGATCAGAAAATTCAGAGCTCTGATTTCTGCATTAGCCCTAAGTCTGCCCTTTGGCACCTTCATTTAGTGATTGGATCATTCAAGGCTGAGCCTCAAGGGCCAGCATTTCTCCAGTAATAATATAAAATGGGCTGATGTTGCAACCTTAACTCACTCTGCTGAATTGGGCATGATTAAAGTCTCAAGGCTGCATTAATATGGATTTTCTATTTCTATGTACAGCCGTCCATTATCTCACTATTTTCCAGTTTGCCATTTTTTGAAAACAAAGATGGAAAATTCTGCTGATGAAATTTTTTTTTTGTCTGTCAGCACAACAGCATTTTTTGGGCTTAAGAATATGAGAATAGCACCGGGCAAATGAATGCAAACATTACAGTTTATGTGGACTCTAGCCTGTTGTCATGTCAATCTTGTTATTTAGGTAAATAGTGTGCAATTTTTCACCAAATCAGCAGCCAATATGCTGCGAGCCATTTTTGTTTTAGTTACATTATTGGCTGGTAACACTATTAATGAGACAATAATTGGGAAATAGTAGTCATTGTTCTCATAAAACACGATCCTTGTGTTGGAACCACAGCCAGGCAGAGGAGTTGCATATGCAGACTGCAAGGGAGGAAAGGATGAGTAGCCAGTGTTCCCAGCTTTTAAAATCATCAGACCCCTGCTGCTTAAATTGCCCCAGCTGTTAATGCTGGAACCATTACAGTAATGGACTCAGCAAATGAAGGAGAACGAAGACACGCACACTTTATTACCAGAGGGGCAATTTTCTCTTCATATGTAATAGCAGCGGTGCCTCATATTGATCAGACCATCAAGATACTAATCCTCTGTAAAATTACTTTTTATAACTGAAAATGTGTTAATCCAAATCAGTCTGTGTCCTGACTGTCTACTTACTATTGAATACGGACTATTAGATGCTTTATTTTTCATGATTTAAAGGCTTTGCCCTGAAAATGGTTGGCTTTTCCCTTGCAACACTGAGTGCTTAATCTTAGCTATAGCCCAGGGTTGTCTTTTTGTTTTAAACAGAACATCACCCACTTAATTAAGGAGTGAGTGTCTGTCTTGCTGAGTTATGCTGGTGTTTTATGTTCCTCTGGATTTATTAAGCATCTTGTTTTACATTCAGTCTGCGGTTTGTGCTGTAAATAAAAATAGGCCCATCTTGCACATATTAGAAATTTGCAGGTAGCAAATGTCAATAAGTACCAGGGATGTAAGGTTCTTTGATTTATACTTCAGGCACCAGGTTGTGGTTTGTCGATTGAACCCATAGGCAGGATGCATCTTGGTGTCTTCTGTGGAGCAGATGTGTTTTTGCATCGTTGTCTGAGAAAGTTTATGTTTATTTCTGCATCCTTGGTTCAGTAGATTGCTTTTCAGACAATGAGGCATATCCGCTCCGCCTCTTATGTCTTGTGAGAAATGACTACAGCTAAACATTATTATGAGAAGACCCATTAAAAACTGATTTCTATCTTCCTGAATATTTGGAATTTTGGGAACTTTGTAAAATTCCCATTTTTTTCATTATAATCTCTTTCCACATACCTTATATGTTTATTTGTATATAGACTCAGGTGCCCTCTTGGCAGTATATTTATTCTAATATGTTGTTATAGCTGAAAGCATTTGTGTGACATTCTCTGTAGAGTTCATTCAGAAATACTTAATTAGTGTACCCTTTGTGTACCAGGACTTGGATTACAGGCTGGAGACTTGAGGAAGTGTAAGATATAATCTTTGCTATTGAGGACCTCAGTTTAGGAGGAAGACAGGCATGTAAACAAATAATTATAATAATGCAGTATAGTAAATACTAGTCTACTGTGAATGTGTACTTCTTGGGAGCATGGGCGCAATAGTAAAATCAGCCTCATTGGTTTTTTTTGCTGTGTTATCAAAAGCAGAATTCTGACATCCACTTTGAGACTTGTTTCTGAATGACTCGTAGCTGTTTGAAAGAAATCTCTTCCTTCCTCACTGGAGACATGTTTACCACCCTAGGGGGATAGTCAAAGGAAAGTTTTCCAAAAATGTTTTGATCAATGATCACATCTTTGGATATGTATAGAGTTTCCCAAGGAGGCTACTTGAAAGGAGATAGTGCTTATGTTGTTTATGTTCTGGCATTTATGTATAAATCAGTCTTATTGCTTTAGAGTATAGTTTATGAGGAGAAACTGTAGCCTGTGGTGGTTAAGAACGTGGAATCCTTTAGCTCTATTTACTGGCTGAGTGATCTTGGGCAAGTCACCTATTCTCCTTGAGCCTCAATCTTCATCTGTAAAATGGGGATCATAATAGTTGTGAAGATTAAATGATTTAATATATGTAAAGCATTTAGAATATTGTTGGGGTAAGTGCTATATAAGGTTATTATTATTATGCGTGTGACTATTAATGAAATTATTTTTCATATGTAGCTTATGAAAGTCAGCTTCGTAAATATAGAACCACACTGTATATATAAGTATATGGTATGTGAGATAGAGAAGCATTTCTTAAATTTCTTAATGAAATTTTTTTTCTGATTACATAATAATTTTTTATTTTAGAAAAACTAACAAATATGGAAAAATATGAGGCAGAAAAAAGTCTCATACTCTTCAGAGATAAATACTGTTACTTTATATTAGTGTATTGCTTAGAATATTGTTATTATGCTTATATATAATATATACAGTATGACTAATTTTAAATATATTTATGATCTATATTTATATAAGATATATTTTAAACAAAAATTAGAAAGATAACTTGCATATTTTTTACTCTGCTTTTTTTTACCATCCAGTATATTATATTTTTTTCATATAATTCCAATTGTATAGTATTTTATGGATTTTTTTCCATCCTATCATAGGTTATCCTTTAGTGAACATTCTTGTACATAAATCTCTGCAAATCTTTGGAATGTTTCATAGGGTAAATTAAAAGGAGAATTGTATGGGCTAACTTTTGTTAAGATTTTTGGTTCTCATTGTCAAGTTGCCACCTGGGGAGGTAATGCCAGTTTCCAATTTAAAGAAGCAATATGTCAGAATGCTTATTGGTACATCCACTCTAACACTGGGAATTATCAGAAAACAAAAATGTTTGCTGATTTGGAGGAGAAGTAGGAACTTGTAGAACTAATTTGTATTTTCCTAATTATTATATTTGGTTGAATTTCCTCCCACCATTTATATTGGCCAAATATAGTTCTTTTGTGATTTGTTTATTCATATAGGCTTTGTTCATTTTGCTAACGTGTTCGTCTTTTCTTACTGATTTGGAAAAATATTTTGTAGATTAGGGATGTTATTTACTAATCATGTGATAGAAATATTTTTCCAGTTTGTTTATTGCCTGACTTTTATATTTTTGTTATTCAAAAGTTTTCCTTTGTTTTTAATTAGAAAAACATTTTCCCTGTCAGTATTAGATTAACAGTCATGCATTCTTCTGGTTATTAATATTTTATGTTTTTTTCATGTAATTGTTAAAATGTGTCTAGAATTTAGTTGGTGTTATGGTATGGAGTAGATGTGGAAATTTTTCTTCCCCAAGGCCAATCAGATATCGCTGCCTGCATTTATTGACTTATCTTTTACGTACTGATTTGAATGCTTAAATAATCAGATCTGCTTTTTATCCTGTTTGTTTTTACTTTGACACATCATTTTAATTGCCATCGATTTATAATATCTTTCTAAATTTGGCAGCATGAGGCCCCTATAATTAGTCTTTACTTTCAAAAATTCTGTGGCTCATCTCTTGCTTTGAGAAGACAACCTAAATTTTTTCCCAGGTAAATTTAAAAATCACCTTTTCAAGGTCCCCCATGTGCCCCACCAGTCTTTTGGTATTTTAATTGTTATTGCATTAAATTTATACATTAATTTGGAAATAACTGAAATATTTGTGGTAAATCATTTTTCTCATTCAATAATTATCTGTCTCTACATTTATTTAAGTTTTATGATCTTCAGAAAGCTTTGTAATTTTGTTCAATTGGGCACCATTTATTACTTTATGTAAAATACGTGGGTATTTTATATTTTTGATTACTATTTTTTGGTTACTATTGAAAATGGGATATTTAAAAATTGTGTTTTTTAAATGATACTTAAGAAAGTTTTTTATGTGTTTGCTATTTTTGTATTTGGCCACAATACAGAATGCATTCTTATCATTCTAATAGTTTTGGATGATTTTCTTGGGTTTTCTGGATATTTACGAGGTTGATAATCTACTTATCTGCAAATATAATTTGTTTTTTCCTCTTTCAGTAATTATACTCTCCTCTCCTTTTTTTTTCTTCTATTATTACCTTGTCTAGAACCTCCAGTTGGTAGTGGTTATAGCAGATAGTCATGTCTTCAACAGTTATACTTCGGGATTCTAGTATTAAGTAAAGTGGTAGTTGTTGGCAGTTATCTTTGATTCTTACTTTGTTTTTTTCAGGGACTGAGGTTGAATTTTATTGAATTTTAGGAACATTTTTTGGACATCTCTTTAGATGGTAGTATCTTTACTTCTACTGATAAAATGTAATTTATTAGACTTTCTAATAATGGTTCCTTGGGATAAAGCCTACTTGGTTATATTATATAGGTCTTTTAATATATTGCTGAATTCAACATTTTAGTATATTTCAATTAGGAAAGTAAGATGGGTCAGTATCAGGGATTCTTATGGAAACCGCAGAGTGGTACTCCAGGGGTTGAGGGTATATCAGAATCTTTGAATGGGGCATATATAACATACATGTTGAACATAATTCAAGCTACAGTTTGTAAAGCCTAATAAAGCATTTTTGGCTGATGGGGATAAGATCACAGTAGAAGAAGGTAAAGTGAATAAAAATATTGAGAAACTCCTTTTTGTGCTTTCTTTTGTCAAATTTGGTATCGTATTATGCTAGTATCATAAAATGACTTGCAGAGTTTTCCTCCTCCCTGTCTTCTTGGGAACCATTTACAAAGCATTAGGATTATTTGCCTGTTGGAAGTTTGAACTTTACTTCTTCTTCTTCTTTTTCTTCTTCTTCTTTTTTTTTTTTTTTTTTTTTTGAGCAGAGTCTTGCTGTGTCACCCAGGCTCACTGCAGCCTCTGCCTCCCGGGCTCAAACAGTTCTCCTGCTTCAGCCCCCCGAGTAGCTGGGATTACAGGCGTGCACCACCATGCCTGGCTATTGTCTATTTAGTTTTCTTCTTGAGTAAATTTTGGTCATTATATCTTAGAATGGGAGAGTTTTACATTTATTGACATGGCATTGAGCATAACATTCTCTGGTTTACTAGGGTAGAATTGTGTATAGTTTTATAATTTAAAAAATTCCATATTCACTTTTTCCATCTTCTTTTAAATTATAACTTTGTACATTCTTGTCTTCTCTTTAAAAATTGACTATATTTGCTGGTAGTCTGTTTTTTTTTTTTTTTTTTAAACAAGCTCTTGAATTTGTTTATGCTCTAATTCATTAATTTCTACCTTTGTTTTTATTGTTTTCTTTGTCCTGCATTGCCTAAGCTTCTTTTGGCAACATCTTGAGATGAATGCTTACTTATTCATTTTTATTCTTTTTTGTTTAATATGGAAAGTATTTCAAAATCTTAAAATAGTTTTATCTTTTTGGTTTCTGTAGCAATTTGTGCATGTTTTTGTAGCACTTATTCAGTATTCTAATGATTTTTTTCATTTTCTTTCTCATACCTTAGTTATATAGACTATACTTTATTTTTCTTTGTACCCCAATGTCCGCAGAGTCTTGAACACAATAGGTACTGAACTAATGTTTCCTAAATGAATACCCTGAATTCCCCCATTCCCCTTTCACTCCACACAAATAGTAAGTAGCCTGCTATAGTTAGTGGAAGTTTAGCTCTCCAACTACCAGTGCACATCACTGGTGGTTGGAGGGCTAAACTTGTAGTCTCACATTCCAACTACCAGTGCACATCACTAGTAGTTGGAAGGCTAAACTTGGAGTTTCACATATGCCACTTACTACGTATTACCTTGTATGAGTCCTCCAATCTCTGTGATGTTTCATCTGTAAAATGGGGATAATAACTCCCTTCCCTGCTTCATCTGAGATGTCATCAATAAGATAATAAATGTAAAAGAACTTTGAATACTAACAATGTTATGTAGATATAAATATGATTTAAAATAGGTTTTTAGCATTCTTATCTCATCCACCACTTCTCCCCCTCCCCACCATGTAGAAATTATCAAGTTCTTAGGAACAGAAACTTATTTTGAAATAGACAATATTGTACATATTCATGGAGTACATAGTGATGTTTTGATACATATCGTGTATAGTGATAAGATCAGGATAATTAGCATTTTAATCATCTCAAACATTTATTATTTCTTTGTATTAGGAACACAGAAACTTAAAAAGATATATATATATCTTTTATATATATAAAATATATATATATCTTTTATATATATATAAAAGATATATATATATCTGTGTCTTCCGAAGTATCTAGCACAGAACTTTGTTGACAGATATACAGTAAATATTTGTTGACTGGATGTTTTCTGAGATGTACTTTTCTTTTTCTTTTTCTTTTTTTCTTTGAGACAGAGTCCTGGGTCCTGCTCTGTCACCCAGGCTGGAGTACAGTGGCACAGTCATAACTTACTGCAGCCTCGACCTCCTAGGCTCAAGCAGTCCTCCCACCCCAGGCTCCTCAGTAGCTGAGACTACAGGTTTGTGCCACCAAGCCTGGCTAATTTTTGTACATTTTGTAGAGACTGGGTCTCACTATGTTGCTCAGGCTGGTTTCAAACCCTTGGGCTCAAGCTATCTGCCTGCCTTGGTCTCCCAAAGTCCTAGGATTACAGGTATGAGCCACTGCACCTGGCCTGAGACCTACTTTTCAAACATGAAGTACTAAGTGATCCTCAATTGGACCAAGACTTAGGAGCCCTGCCCCAATCACGTTGCTTCTCCCAGTTTACTCGGGGTGACCTAGACAGCTACATCAACACACAGTCTGGTGAAATGCACATGCGTAACTTGAGGATGTCAACCTTTTGGCACAGTCTCATTTCCTCTGCAGAAGAGCGGCTAGAGACATTATACTCTGTTCCCGAAGTATATAGACTAATAAAATAGTGGAGTTGATTTAGATTGATAACAAATTATAAAATTGATAAAAAATATTTTCTATTTTTATACCATTTAGAACAGCTATTAATATTTTTAAAATTTTTTTCTCAATTGGATGAAAAATAAATGTATGATTATTCCTTCCCTTTCAATTGCAGTTACATTACATTTTCATTGTTTCTCTTGCACTGAGATTTATTTTTTATTTTTAGTTTATTTTGTTCATTGCTATGGAAGGGTGATAATTGTATCAAGTAAGTCTCTTTTACTTACCTGAGAGTTCCCATGTTCTTTGGGGAAATAAATGTCATCATATAAGTCAGTCTTAGGTTAACAGGTTGTTTTAAAATTGCTAACCACTATCCAAATGCAGAGTGATAGTATTTTCTGGGTAGGTATTTCATACTCTCTTTTCGAATATTGGTCACCGAAGGATTTCACAAACCACTGACATTTCAGCATTATGACAGTGCAATGTGCTCCTGTCACCCTCTGACCCCATATTTTTTTTAAACCATTCATTTCAATCGGAAAAAGTATAATTTTTTGAAAAAACAGAGATACTTACCCTTTGCGCTGCTTTTAAAGATTACTGGGAGACTTCATATCTCAGATAATTGATGGTAAATTCTGCTTGGTTGTTTATAAGCTCAAACTTTGGAGATCTACAAAAAGAGTTTCATCTGAGAAATAAAAACTATTTTAATGATTGTATGATCCACCAGACTGTGAGGTCTTTTCTTCAGTCCCTCCTCTTTCATGAAGCGTTTGAGGATTATTCCATTCATCTCTTTCCTTACCGACTTTATTTCCTGTGTCAAAAAGTATGATACTAACGGTAAGTTTGTGTATGGTACATTTACTGGTGTATGGTACCGTATGTGGTTGACGTTAGGTCATATTAAATTTTACATTTTGAGATTGCTTATACATAGTAGTGTTTTATACACAGTAATTCTCTTTTCCCTATGGGGATTATAAGATCCCTCTGGCTGACAACACTGCTATAAATTTGTTTTTTGTGTCTAGTAAGATGCTACAAATGTGGTTGACTCTCAGCATTTCTTGTCAAATGGAAACATGTATAGATTGGAAGTTAAGCTTTTTGTTTTTTGTTTTTTTTTACTTTACTGAACAGTTATTTAACCTTAACTCTTAATCTGCTCTCCATCACCAGTAGAAAATATTTTGTTTAGAAAATGTTTTGTGTAGGCTAGGTGTGGTGACTCACGCCTGTAGTCCCAGCACTTTGGGAGGACGAGGCAGGTGGATCACAAGATCATGAGTTTGAGACCAGCCTGGCCAACATGGTGAAACCCCGTCTCTACTAAAGATACAAAAAATTAGCCGGGTGTGGTGGTGTGTGCTTATAATACCAGCTACTCGGGAAGCTGAGGCGGGAGAATCGCTTGAACCCGGGAGGCGGAGGTTGTAGTGAGCTGAGGTTGCACCACTGCACTCCAGCCTGGATGACAGGGTGAGACGCCACCTCAAAAAAAAAAAAAAATGTTTTGTGTAAAACCATATGACAGAATAGATCTGAGGAAACTGCATTTGTAGCCATAGGAGAAATCATAGATTTTGGTGGCTCTTTACCTATCACTGTGTTTTTTAAAAGAGTTATGTCTGAACCACCTATGTGTCCCGATTCATTTTGCCATTTCATCTACTGCTCTTCCTCCTGTTTTTATTTAAGACTATGAAGTTACTTTAGTGTAACTGCTGCTGTCACCTTTGCCCTTAGCTAATCAAATAGTTTACCTTGAGGGAAGCATTTATCTCCCACTTTCATTATTATTATTTTTGTAGCTGTAAAGATATATATTTTATGTCTGCAGAAGGCTGTAACAGTGAAACGAGGTATTGATCTGCTGTATTTAGCAATTTCTTTCCACCTTGCCATCAATAGCATGTCAGCATCTGTCTGTACCGTGGTTGACCTCACAAATAGCTCTTTATGCTCCCATTGGATTCAAATGATATAGTATGCTGAAAACTAAATCAATGAATGATTATAAAGTTTTTAGTATTATTTCATGACCTGGAGGCAACTGGTACTCCTTGCACTGACAGTTCAGTGTACAATGAATATGGTAAAATGAGTGTGTCTGGCCTTTGTTCTACTGAAAGGAGGAAAACGGGTCACCTGGTTGGGTCAGCTCATACTTCTAATGATCTCAAAGCACTTAGGCACTTCAGTTAAACATCTCACTTTACAGAATCAGGCAGAGAGAAGAGCAAGACTCCTATTTAACTTTATTCCCCATGCCTCATCACAAGTATGTAGCAAATGTTTCTAAAATTATTTGAGCTATAATCATATAGGCTTTTGCCTTCATTTATAAAAGAAAGACAAAAACCCAAAACTAGATGCTTTGTCACTGTCACCAAGGACCTAACGAAAAGGCACATGGTGGAAGGAGGGAGAGTGGTAACCTAGGTTTAGGTCTAAGGGGACTCTTGCTTGCTGTCAGCACCTGGTACAAATACCAAGATAGGGTTTTTGGGGCCACATTTTCCATTTGAGGGAGTTCCTACTCACCTCCACTGATCTGTGGAACACTGAAATAGCAGGAGTCACTAATTTGCCTGCTTTTGGATGTTGCTGAATTCAGCATCGTCTTGAAAAGTTCTTGCCGAATCATACATTCAGATGAAAGATGTTTTAGATATTAAACTTGACATTTGGGATATATGGAAAGATAGAACCAGGTGATGGTGGGTGAACAGGGAAAGTAGAACCCAGCAGTTGTCATCCTGATCTTTTGAGGATATGAATCAAATCTATTTATTTCTAAGAAATGCCATCCTGATGTACTCCTTTGTCCATCAGCCCAGTAGGAAGTTTGACAAGGAGTATTGGGGAGTTCACATACTAATTCATTCCCCAGACATTTGTTGGATGAATAATGTCTGAAAAATAGGGTATCTTGGCTGTATTCCTTACAGATGACGGGTTATCTCCTTTCCCCAGGGTCACTTAAGGAAGAGTGGATGATAGTGATCAGAGCTTAAAGGTGTTGGTCTACACCAGTGCTGCCACGAAGTCAGGAGTTTGAGACCAGTCTATAGTGCTGGTGTAGACCAACACCTGTATATAATGTTTATTTTCAAGTTCATTTGTACCACTAAATACTGTCTCTGATGGGGGCCACTAGGGCTCTATTTGTGATTAGAAATCCTATTGTTGAGAATTATTACTGTGTCCTGGGTTAGAGAGAATAGATATGAGGGCTAGCTCCTCCTCTTGAATGTTCATGGGAAACTGTCATGCTTGGCTTTAGCAAATCCAGAATGTGTCTACCTGCCTTTTTTGGCCAATTGCCATTATTCCCCCCAGTAAGATATTTGAATAGGGGAAATAATGGGTGGATTTTATGACCATTTCATGTCTGGTCAGTTTCTTTTCCTACATGAAAGGATGAAGTGGGGACTCTTCATGTAAAGCCACAGAGTCGGAAGCCCCGAGGAAGAAATTCAGCTTGGTCCTCTGAATCTGGGATTGAGAACAACAAACTGAGGCACCATACCCTCTATTTCCTGTAGTATAGGAAATTGCTGATAATTAATAATTTTAGCATTGAACTTATTCAAGTCCAGTAAAATTTTCTTAGGATCTGCTCAGGGATCTGCCTCTCCTAAATTCTTGGGTTACTTTTGTTATTCATTATGGATATGTGACTGATTAATCAGCTAAGCTGTTTTTGAAGTCATTTTAACTTTTGTTCTGTATTATCCTTTAGGAATATGAGTACCATTAGTACTTTGTGATGTCTACAGGAGTACTTCCTTTTCATTTGTCCTGTGGTGTCTGAAGGAGAACTTTCTTTTATCTTTCCTGTATTAGTTCACGTTATACTGTGAGGTTTGCAACTCAGGTCTAAATACAGGATTTGGGAAAGATGTTCCTGTCTCTCAATTCAGTCTTTGTGATTTTATGTACATATATGCCTGAATATTAGATAAGGAATTTTCCCACTCAGATTATGCTGCTGGAAAGAGAAGTCACTTCATATTCAAATCTTTCTCAAGTCTTTTGTATTGTAGAATGATCTTCATTGTGAACGGCATTATTTGGTCAGCTATCCAAATAGTATGTGAGTGTGTACTTATGGCTTGGAATATTTTTCTGGATCAAAACTATATGTAGTAATCTGGATTTATGCACCATAATTTCTATTTTTTGCCTAAGAGTGGAAGGTTGCTACATGCTCATATAGTACTTAAAATAATTTATGTTTTGCTGTCTGCAGATATATATTAGAAACTAGCTATATTCTTGTTGGTAGAGAATAGGGCAATTAGTTGACCTTTGTTCATATAAGCTTTGATAGTGGGATGTCTTGGCTTTGTTCCTTGTAGATGATGGGTTATTTCCTCTCCCCAGGCTCACTTAAGGATGGGTGGGTGGTAGTGATCAGGAATTAAAGAGTGACTAGTGTTGCCTCTGGTGTAGACCCACACTTTTATATAAAATCATTTTCAAGTTCAAACCTCTAAAGGCTGTGTCTGATGAGGGCCACTTAAGGCTCTGTTTCTTAGAAATCCTATTGTTGATGAAAAGGCTGTAAGAAGACCTGTCCAACTTAATTCTTGATCCTAGCTAGTCACTTAATGACAATCATGTGGCCTGTAAATGAGATAAGACATTTCTTTTTACTCAATTAAGATAAAGAAGAAACCTCTTTACAGGTTATATGTTAATGCACACACATCTTAATACAATCATGTATTTCTACTACATAGAAAAGCAATAAGAGCCCGAACTTAGAATTGTATAAGGAGGTATTTGTGTCATATACTGGACTCTGAATCATTTGTGGACTACGATTTTATAAACACTCTAAAAAAATATAAAACGTGTCGATGAACTACTGTGTACCTAAAGTTACATTATTTTTCATTAAATAAAATTCTATATACACACACTAATATTCACAGTTCTCATAATAGTATGGTTATATTATGTTGAAACTCGTCCTTCTTAAAGATTATTTTGTTTTGTAGACATGTAGGAACTTTCCTAGAAAATCTGTATCCAGTTTTTTTCTGTGCCATTTTGAATTAGAAACTCCCTAAAGAAGAATAAATTAACTTTGCATTTTCTTTCATTTTTTTAGGATCTGAGAATGTGTATGTGTCTGAGGCTACCTCTGTGTCTAAAAGCAGAGCATGCTTAAAACCATGGCTGAGGAGTTATGCTTAACGGTATACTTTGCATGCATTTGTGATTTGAAATAGGAAAAAAAGTCAAATTTGAGACAGCTTGAATGGCATGCTGTCAGTTTGGAGCTTCATGAATTGGCAATGGTCTCATTTAGGACCTTCAGATGTGTCTCTGCCTGGACAGAATGAGAACATTTTGCATGTTCAGAAGGAGACAGCCACTCCTTGCTGCTTCACAATAGGCAGTGGTGCATGACAGTTGCCCTTCATTGCTGGCTTCTTGGAGCTTAACCTCTGACCCTCCACTTAGTCACTGTGCAGCAGTTGGAGCAGGTTGGAGATGTTGGTGAATGACAGGCATTGGCCTGCAACATGCTTGTCATTATTTGACTGTCAAAAGGAGCCTGCCATTGGTTTCCATCAAGGTTTGAAACCTCTGTGCAGCAGTCCATATTACTTAACTTCCAAGGCTGTCAACAGGATGATCAAATGTGCATAAAAAAATCAGAGTGCTGAATATATCTTCAATCAGGAGAAAGAAGTTTCCCCTCTTCTTTTCTTTCTTTCTTTCTCTCTTTCTCTTTTTATTTTTCTTTTGGCTAAATATATTCAGATGACTTTCACAGGGCCAAGAGGTTGAATCTGTTGCTCCAGTGAGAAAAGTGAACTGTTGTCTCAAGTGGTCTAAGTTTCAAATAGCACAATTTAAATCTGAGCAGCTCTGCTGGCTAAATTCTCTGACTTGTCTGGCATATTCTATCAGCTTTCAGCTGTTAGTTTAAGGGACTAGATGCTAGTCCAGTGGTGCCTGGTGTTAGCTCACAGGATAAAACGTTTACTTTGGTCTCTATGTAGTGTTGCAAAGGGATGCAGACGTCTGTGTATGTGACTGCGAATGAAAGGGATGATTTTGGATGTATGATTACTATCTCATTTAAGACTCTTTTTTCCACATGGTAGGGTTCAAACTGGAATTTTAAGTGATCTGATCAAGTCTTAGAAACTTAACAGGTCAGTCTTATGCAATTTATTTTTTAGACATAGAAAAATATGACAGCAAAAGCCATTTTTTTTCTTGTAAATTTGAAACTTTGGTTTGAAAAGCATCTTGAAGTGGAAGAGGATGAACCTAACAGTATTCTGGAAGTGTATGGAAAGTGTTGGTTTGCTTCTAACATTGTGCAGTGGATGGTGTGGGAGTCACGAGACCTGAGTTTTAGTTTTGCTTCTGCCATTTTCCAGCAGTGTCACTGTGTGTAAGTCACTGAACCCCTTAGTCTCAGTTCTTCATATGGAAAAATAGAGATACTAATATGGTGAGGATGGAAGGAGGTACTGTTTGTAAAGTACTTGCTTTTGTTAAGTACTGTAGTCACTCAGTAGGCATTCCCTGATCTCCTTTTTATCCTTTTCTTTTACATCCAGTGTTAGCAGGAAAGACATCAAACAGTAGTAAGGGGCCAGGTACAGTGGTTCATGCCTGTAATTCCAGTGCTTTGGGGGGCTGAGGTGGGAGGATTTGAGGCTGGAAGTTCTACACCAGCCTGGGTAACATAGTGAGACCCTGTCTCTACATGAAATTAAAAAATTAGTCAGGTGTGGTGGTGTGCACCTGTAGTCCTAGCTACTTGGGAGGCTGAGGCAGGGGGATCCCTTGAGCCCAGGAGTTTGAGGTTACAGTGAGCTATGATCACGCCATTGCACTCCAGCCTGGGCAACAGTGCTAGACCCTGTCTCTTAAAAAAAAAAGTCAGAAGACAATACTTGAGCTGAATAAACATTCCAGAGCCTGACACAGTCAATCGTTGTGTTCCAACTCTTTTCTTCTCCCATAGTTCTGATTCTTGCTTATGACATCACGTTTTAGTCAAGCACTCAAACTACCAATCTGAGTAGGCTGCCTGCCTTCCTTTTTTCTCCTTCCCTTCCTTCCATTCATTCATTCACTCAACAGATATTTATAGAGCTCCTACTATGTGCCAGGCCCTGGTCTAAGTTCTAGGATACAGCCATGAACTAGATAGGTATCATTTGGCTATCATTAGGTATCTGGAGAGAGAGACAAAAAATAAACAAACAAATAATGACTTTTTGATAGTTCTAAATACTATTAAAAAATTAGTGTAAGAGGATAAAGAGTTATTTTGGTTGGTCACAGAAGAGCTTTCACTGTAGAGTTCTTTCCAGCAGAGAACTGTTTGAAGGAAGGAGAGGGCCCTGGGAAGATGGGGACAGTCTTCCAGACAAAAGGGGACCATACTTCTTTTTTTTTTTTTTTTGTCAGGGAGTCTCGCTCTGTCACCCAGACTGAAGTGCAGTGGTGTGATCTTGGCTTATAGCAACATCTGCCTCCTGGGTTCAAGTGATTCTCCTGCCTCAGCCTCCAAGTAGCTGGGACTACAGATGCCCACCATCATGACTGGTTTTTTTTTTTGTATTTTTAGTAGAGACAGGGTTTCACCATGTTGGCCAGGCTGGTCTCGAACTCCCGACCTCAAGTGATCCGCCCACCTTGGCCTCCCAAAGTGCTAGGATTACAGGTGTGAGCCACTGTGCCTGGCCAGGAGGCTGCACTTCTGTCTCCTGCTCCTCATCCAGTTAGTCACCTTTGTCCTAATGTCTTTCCTTCTTTCATCTCTTCATCTTCAGGCCACTGCTGTGTTCAGCCCCTTTAGATTTCCGTAGGCTCTTGGCCTGTTTCCATTCCACCCACTTCTACCTTGCCATCTTAAAAAATGTAAAATGGGCCAGGAGCCGTGGCTCATGCCTGTAATCCTAGCACTTTGGGAGGCCGAGGTGGGCAGATCACAAGGTCAGGAGATGGAGACCATCCTGGCCAACATGGTGAAACCCTGTCTGTATTAAAATACAAAAAATTAGCTGGGCTTGGTGGTGCGTGCCTGTATTCTAGCTACTCGGGAGGCAGAGGCAGGCTTGAACCTGGGAGGTGGAGATCTCGCCACTGCACTCCAGCCTGCGTGACAGACTGAGACTCCGTATCGGGGGGAAAAAAAAAGTAAAATGACCGTGTCACTCCACTGTTCACAATTTCGTGGAGATTTGCCACTGGCTGCATGTTAAAATTCAGACTCCTGGGCTTGCTGTATAGGTTCCTGTTTTTTCAGCCTTATTTATTGTCAGCTGGTAACCACGCCCCCAACCCCCAGCTTTCACCCCCATAATTTATACCTTATACTCCTACTGTTGGAAAGTGGTGACCCCTGAACATATGCCTCTGTCCTTTTCTCTTTCTAGACTCTTCTCCTCCCTTCTCATTGGCACCTAGAGAATGATGTATCTTTCAACAATGTCCACAAATGCCACCTCTTCTGAGACTTCTGTGATTCTGCCATCCTCAATGTTGTGTACACTTCCTTAGCTTTCCCCTCACTATAGCTGTTTGTCCATTACTTTCTCAGTCCCTGAGCTCTTTGAAGGCAAGAACTGCGCTTTTATTCCTCTCTTGTAATTGCAATATCTGGCTGAGTGTCTGGCATACAACAAGCACTTTATAAACTGTCACCTGTGATAGCCTAATCTTTAGAAATATTTAGGGATAGATTTATCATGGACTTCAAATGTAGATATAATCAGATTGGACAGTATACATTTTGAAGAGCTCTTCAGTCAAAATATTCCATGATTGATAGAGAGACTTCTTTCCTTAGGCCTAATTTAAATAAATATCATATTGAAAGGAGAGTGATGCATGAAAACATTAGAAACTAATAGAAATATTATATATACTAACTTCCCAAGAACACCAGGATATAGTGTCACTGAGCAAGTTAGCTTCAGATAAACTTTTATGTTGCTTTTTTTTTCTATAATCCAACATGTGATGTATCTTTTTTCAAAGAAGATAGTATTAAATTTTGTATTTCAATTCAGTAAGTAAATTTCATATTTTTTCTATCCATCCATTTATCTCTACATTTTTCCAATTATACTGTATAGCATTGTCATGATTTTTTTTGTAGTTTTCATTATTTTAGAAGGCTTTTTTTTTTGAGACAGGGTCTCACTCTCCTTGCCTAGGCTGAAGTGCAGTGGCACGATCATGGCTCACTGCAGCCTCAACTTCCCAGGCTCAGGTGATCCTCCCAACACAGCCTCGTGAGTAGCTGGGACTACAGGTGTGCACCACCATGCCCGGCTAATTTTTTGTATTTTTAGTAGAGACTTGGTTTCGCTATTATTGCCCAGGTTGGTCTTGAACTCCTGGGCTCAAGCGATCTGCCTGCCTTGGCCTCCCAAAGTGCTTGGATTACAGGCATGAGCCACCGAGCCCAGCCTATTAGAAGCAATTTAATGCCAAACCACAGTAGATTTGTCATATGAATAGAATAATTTATTTAAATAGTTTCCTCTATTGTTGACCAATTAGCTTGTTTCATTTATTTTATCAGCATAAATAATGCTGTGTTGAGTCAGTGGGTTTAAACATTTGTATGTGCATTTTTAAATGAATAAATTCCTAGAAACAGAACAACGGAGTTAAAGATAGGGATTTTTTAAGGCTCTTGATGCATATTGCCAAGTTGCCTTATGGAAAAGGTGTCCAGATGTTTGTAGAGATAGGTTGTAAAAAGGATCCTGCATTAGAATGTGTTTCTTAGATTACTTGTATGTGAATTTGGGATCTAACTGGGAATTTTATATTTGAGAGGACATTGGAGAGTTCAGTAATGGGCATAAAGAGAAGAAAGAGATAGAAGGAAAGGAAGAACAAAATCTAGTTTTGAACTTCTCAAATGGTGTGTAGGCTGTGGTTTAGTGATTTTCAGACTGTGTCCTGGCTACCTATAGGGATCTGCTTCTCCAGGTGGGGGCCTGAGAACAGCTTAGCTTCTGTTGATGTATTTGTTTATACTTTTGGATAAAAGTTCCTTCATATTAATACTTCCAAATTTGAAAAGTTTGAAAGCCACTTGGTAGGTCTCTATGTTTACTACTATCATTTTCAGACACATGATTCAAAAGGGAATTATCTTGTTCATGCCTCTGTTGTTTGAGATGTCAGCCTCCTAGTTCATTGTTACCTTCTTTTTTTAAAATTTAATTTAATTTAATTTAAATTTTTTGACATGGAGTCTCACTCTGTAGCCCAGGCTGGAGTGCGGTGGCATATCGGCTCACTGCAACCTCCGCCTGCCGGGTTCAAGTGATTCTCATGCCTCAGCCTCCCGAGTAGCTGGGACTACAGGACTACAGGCCTGCGCCACCACGCCCAACTAATGTTTGTACTTTTTTTTTTTTTTTTTGAGACGGAGTCTCCCTCTTTTGCCCAGGCTGGACTGCAGTGGCACTATCTCGGCTCACTGCAAGCTCCTCCTCCTGGGTTCACGCCATTCTCCTGCCTCAGCCTCCCGAGTAGCTGGGACTACAGGCTGTTTGTACTTTTTGTAGAGACAGGGTTTCACCATGTTGGCCCGGCTGGTCTCAAACTCCTAACCTTAGATAAACCGCCCACCTCGGCCTCCCAAAGTGCTGGGATTACAGGCGTGAGCCACCGCGCCCCAGCCCTCATTGTGGCCTTATTTTTTTTTTTTTTTTTTTTTTTTTGAGACGGAGTCTCGCTCTGTCGCCCAGGCTGGAGTGCAGTGGTGCGATCCCGGCTCACTGCAAGCTCTGCCTCCGGGCTTCATGCCATTCTCCTGCCTCAGCCTCCTGAGTAGCTGGGACTACAGGCGCCCGCCACCACGCCCGGCTAATTTCTTTTTGTATTTTTAGTAGAGACAGGGTTTCACCATGTTAGCCAGCATGGTCTCGATCTCCTGACCTCGTGATCCACCTGTGTTGGCCTCCCAAAGTGCTGGGATTACAAGCATGAGCCACCATGCCTGGCCCATTGTGGTCTTCTTAAAGGAACCATGTTGCTAACCCGAATGAGAGAGGAGTAACCTCCTGAATTAGGAGTTGTTACTGCACTTTACAAATATCCTGTTACCTCCTTCACCTCTGTATGGTTAAGGAAATGTGGTATCAAGTCACTTTCCAGTTCCTACTTCAGTGTGGGAACTGTGAAGTATCTTTTAGGCAAAGTAGAGGTTAAGGCACCTTAAGGGCAGGAACTTCTTATCTTGCTTTTATTAGCAGTCGTGTCAACATGCACTAAAATGTGATGACCCACTTTCCCTTCTGATAAAAGGAGAATGACCTGCTTGGCATGGATGGAGAGAGGTGCCTGAGGCAGATTACATTGTTACCGCTCATAATAACAGTAGGCATAAAGGAGGGGGGTGGTGGAAAGGCCAGCAGATTTCTGTTTACCCATGGAAATGTTTGACGTTTTTGGCTTCTGATGAAATGTGCTAAGAAGAGGGGGAAAAAGGAGCATTGTAGCAGGGGAAGGAATGAATGAGTAAGGAAAAGAAGGAATCTGGCATCAGGGAAGGAATGAATGAGTAAGGAAAAAAGGGAATCTGGTGTCATGTGAGACATGTGAAGCCACGAAGGGCCTTAAATCCCAGCCCTGTAGCCATCTATTGGCAGAGCCTTAAGACCTCAAACCATAGAGGGAGCCCCCCTTTTCTGTCTTTTTAAATTTAACCTATATTTGTTTAGAGCCAAGATCTCTGACATGGCTTGGCTGACTTTTCTAAAGATGAACTGAGGCCAGGCACAGTGGCTCACGCCTGTTATCCCAGCACTTTGGGAGGCCGAGGCGGGAGGATCACCTGAGGTCAGGAGTTCGAGACTAGCCTGCCAAACATGGCGAAACCCCTGTCTCTACTAAAGATACGAAAAATTAGCCAGGTGTGGTGGTGGGTGCCTGTAATCTCAGCTACTCGGGAGGTTGAGGCATGAGAATCACTTGAACCTGAGAGGCGGAGGTTGCAGTGAGCCGAGATCGCACAACTGCATTCCAGCCTGGGTAACAAGAGCAAAACTCCGTCTCCAAAAAAAGAAAAAATAAAAAAGAAGAAGAAGATGAGCTGAATACAGGGCGACCTGTACAGTTGATAGGCTCTGAGGAGATATCAACACGGAAAATTAGGGACGTAATTACCCACTCCTCAATGAAGGAGGATTCTTCTCAGTTAAGTTTATTTACTTACTTGGCTTTGAGACCAGAGTCTGATAACTCTGGGAAAAAGTTGTAGTTATTTTGAGATGGTCGATATAATTTAAGGCTTTTTTAAGAGAGTAATTGTGTGGTTTAACCTGTCATCTTGAAATATGAATTATACAGAGATAACATTAAAAAAGGTTATATGTGACATTTCTAGGTGTCTCAGAAAAAGATTTGAGTTTGTCTCATGTCTACCATGGCAACACTCTTGAGTTATTATAAAGAACATTATATAAGGATTTCCTCTAGAATTTTTAAATCTTAAAATGTAACTTACTTTAGCCAGAATAAAAAGAGGTTTAAATTAATGGAAAACTGACTGGAAGGAAGATATAAAACAAGAAACAATAACACAACAAAACTTCACTAAAGTACACAATTCTACAAATTATGCACACAAGCACACACATTTTACAAATTGAGGGTATTTGTAGAAATTCAACTCTCATTTGAATCAACTCATGACAAAACGTATTTACAAAGTAAGTAGAATGGAAAAGTACCAAAAAAGCATTTCTTGGGTTAATGGTATTACCCAGGTCAAATCCATTAAGGAAATTCTCTGCCAGACCTTTTCTTTTTTCTTAAGACATGAAGTTTTGCACTTGTTAGTATAATTTGGGAGTGGTCAAGAAGCTAGGTGATAGAACAACTTCAGATTCTGGATTTCTGGTCTATTATTTGGTTTTTTTTATGAATAAGAGATTCACTCTTTTCTTTAAAGGAAGTAATTTAGATTCCTAGCACTGTCATTTCTGTTCTGAATGTTATAAACTCTCTGTACAAAATTTGAAAGGAACAGACATGCTCTGATGATGTACAGAATCTTAATGTTTCAAAAACGATAGTTCTCTTCCCCTAGAATAGAAAAGTATAGCGTTCACCTGATTGCAGATCCCAAATGTCTACATCTGTGGTTGGGTGGCCAATATCACATGAAAGAGTTTTGTGCCTTTTTGCTCAATATATAAGTTTGAAAAATGTTGGCTGCAAGTAACAGAATTTCCATGTAACAGTGGATTAAACAGTAATGACATGACTTTTCCCACATCATAAGCTGTCTGGAAGGAGGAAGTTCTCATGGAACAGTGGCTTAATGATACAGTCAAATGCAGGTACTTTCCAGTTTTCTGCTCTGCCATTCTTCAGCACGTTGGCTTTTTCGTCTTTTGACTTGTAACCTAGTGATCACTGGGTTATAACAGTGCCAGGTATCATGTCCTCATGTAACTGTGTTCAGGGTAGGAAGAAGAGGATGGGAAGATAAAAGAGAGTTTTTATATTAGGAGGGAAATCCTTCCTGTAAGTCCCCTAGCACACTCCTTATTATGTCCTATTGGCCAGATCTGGATTTGTTGGTCATTCCTAGTTGCAAGGGAGACTGGGAAAAGAAGTGTCTGGCAAAAGGGAATGCGATTCCTACGCTTGGCTTAGAGAGCTCATGATCCATTCCTTGGAACTGGGCTCATGGCTGCCCCTGTTAGCAGGGAAGCAGAATGAATAGCTGTTGAGTAGGCAGCCAATGGCTTCTGCCATACTCAATTAATGTGTGACTGGAAATGAGATTTTTATCTTTTGTTCCACACTGGCCAAGGGATATGGCCTCTGTTACCATGTAATATAACCCTTTGAGACAAATACATTTAAGACCAGAATTGGAACTTTGAATTATCCATCCAATACATTTAATTAGCACTGACAGTGTTCTAGGTTATTGCTAGACACAGGAGATACTGCAGTGAATAAGATGGACAGTCTCTGAACTCATAGGGTTGATAGTCTAGTAGGACTGAGAGATTAGGAAGTAGTTTCAGTAGATATGGGGAAGGCACAGTTTGCTGTGCGGTGAATGCAAATCAGCTAACATGGACTCGGAGAGTCAGGGAGGGCCTCTTGGAGGAGGCTACATCCTCGCTGACTCCAGAGACACAGGATTCAGCTAATCTCAGAAAATGATGAGTTGATCACCCTCCTTTTTTAGGTATTCTTGGAAATCCAAGCAAAAACAAATCTGCTCTTAATGTGGAAACTGTGGCAACTTGAGAATTTTATGTGCTTCACGGAGTGAGTAATTCCAGCAGCAGCTCAGGAAGCAGCATAGCAGAGTGTAAATGGCATTGTCTTTGAAGCCTAGTTGGATAAGCTTTCTGCCTCAATCTATCTGTGTAAGGAACAGGGTTTCTCTGAAGGTATCTTTGAAATACTCTACCATCAGTTCATATTTCTACTTTCACCTAAGTCAATATTGAATCCTCTTTGGAAATCTTGGGGTCATCCTTCCTTTCTGTCACCTTCTATCTTCAGTCACCAAGTCTTTCTGTCTGTTAGCAGCTCTAAAATCTGACCCTTCCTTCTCCTTCTTACTGCCTCTGCTTTAGTTTCTTACTCTATAAAATGGAGATAATATATCACTGTGTAGATGCCATAATACAAATAGCAAGCTCTTATGGCACTAATAATTTTTTAATACATGTTAACCATATGAATAGGTCTTATTATTATTATGTCCATTTTATGGATGGAGAGGTTAAGTAATGTGTTCAAACTGCTCCAGCTAGCAGCTGGTAGAGTTGAGGGTTTGAATATAGGCTGAACATCTGGCTCCTGAATCTGTCCTCTGCATTGTACTGAGAACCCTGTATCGTACCGAGGTACGTCATCTGTGTTCTTCTGTACTCTCCTATTTTGGGCTAAACCAGGTCAAACTCCTATCTTAGTGTCTTTGAAATGCTCAAACCTGCACGTTGTGCACATGTACCCTAGGACTTAAAGTATAATTAAAAAAAAAAAAAAAGCTCCACCATCAATCTGTAGTTTCTGCCCTCACCCAAGTCAATATCGAGTTCTCTCTGGAAATCTCGGGGTCATCCTTCCTTTCTGTCACCTATCTTCTGTCACTCACCAAGTCTTTCAATCTGTCAGCAGATCTGAAATCTGACCCCTCCTTCTCATTTCCACTGCCTCTGCTTAAGTTTAGGGTGTCTCAAAATACCTCCTTCCAGCACAGTTGCAATAGTCTCAGAACTAATGTTCTTGCCTCTATTTTTCCCTTCTCCCCAACATCCTCTCTTTTTGCCAATTTCTGTTTCACATTGCTGACAAGTGGTTTTTCTTATTATTTAACTCTGGTTTGACTTTGATTCAATGTAGGTCTTAAATGTATCCCTTTTGGCTGTAGGATAAAAGGCCAAGTGCCACAGGTTTCCAGAGCACTATCTGACGTAACCAGCGTCTCCTCCCAGTTCTGACACTTTCCATCTCCCCGCTACCAGCTCCATCTATTTGCTGTGTAGTTTGTCAGGGATGCTGTCTTCCATACTCATTCCCCTCCCCCAGATTTATGTGGGGGAACTCCTTTTTAAGATTTAGCTCTAAAGTTTCTGCCTCTGCAAATCCTTCCCTTCCATTGTGCCCATTTATCACTTCAGCTTCTGGTCACTTTGTACTTGGCCATTGCGTTGGTATACTTGGTGTCTCTTTGATGGTGAGTCCTTGGAAGGCAGGAACCCTGTGTGCGCCTGTTTCTGCAGAGCACAGTGCAGTTTCTGCTAACAGAGGGCCTATCATAATACTTATGGAAGGGTTGATTGATGTCCTGAGAGTATGTTTTTAATTTTGCATGGTGGACACATTTTATATATTTATCTGTGGGAAGGAGATTCATGAATAAGTGTGTATATATCTCTATATACATACACACATATACAATCATGCATTGCTTAATGACAAGGATACATTCTGAGAAATGCATTGTTAGGCAGTTTCATCATGTGAACGTCATAGAGTGCACTTACACAAACCTAGATATGGTATAGCCTATTCTCTACTGCATCAGTACAGTTGCTGTTTCGTACAGTAACTTGCTATACAAGTAACTTGCTATACATTACTGTACTGAATACTGTAGGCAATTGTAGCACAATGGTAAGTATTTGTGTATCTAAACATATAAAAGGTGCAGTCAAAATACATTATTGTAATCTTATGGAAGTACTGTTGTATATGCGGTCCGTTGTTGTCTGAAATACCATTCTGCAATGCAAGACTGTGCATATGTGGATGTAAGAAGGATGCTCCTTGTCACCCAGCAGTAATATGAGCCATCACTTATTTTGCCTGTATAGTGCCCTCTTGGGAAACATGTTTATTGGCTCCCTTAGATTAACTTTATGACGAGAGAGTATGTACCCTTCACTCTACTCCTCCCCCCAGCCTACCCAATTAAAGATGACTAGTCTTTTAAAAATAGCGTTATTGAGATATAACTTACATCATATAAATGGAATCATACCGTGTGTGGTCTTTGTGACTGGCTTCTTCCACTTAGCATGATGTTTTCAAGGTTCATCTATGTTGTAGAATGTATAAGTTCTTTCTTTCTTTTTTTTCTTTTTTGAGACAAGGTTTCGCTCTGTCACCCAGGTTAGAATGCAGTTGCACAATCGTAGCTTTTTTTTTTTTTTTTTGAGATGGAGTTTTGCTCTTGTTGCCCAGGCTGGAGTGCAATGGCGTGATCTCAGCTCACAGCAACCTCCGCCTCCTGGGTTCAAGCGATTCTGCCTCAGCCTTCCGGGTAGCTGGGATTACAAGCATGCGCCACCACGCCCAGCTAATTTTGTATTTTTAGTAGAGACGGGGTTTCTCCATGTTGGTCAGGCTGGTCTCGAACTCCCCACCTCAGGTGATCTGCCCACCTCAGCTTCCCAAAGTGTTGGGATTACAGACATGAATTTCTTTTAACTTTTTATAGAGATGAGGTCTGGCTATGTTGCCTAGGCTGTTCTTGAACTCCTGGTGTCAGGCAGTCCTCCCTCCTCGGCCTCCCAAAGTGCACGGATTACAGGCAATACTTTATTTATTTTTATGGCTGAATAATATTCCATTATATGGACACATCCCACGTTATCTCATTCATTAGTTGATGGACATTGGGTTGTTTCCACTTTTTGGCTATTATGAAAAACGCTTCTATAAACATTTGTAAGGAGGTTTTTGTGTGGCCATATGTTTTCATTTCTCTTGAGCATATACCTGGAAGTGGAATTGCTGGGTCATATGGTAAGTCTATGTTTGGCAGTTTTTGAGGAACTGCCAAACTGTTTTCCAGAGTGACATTCCCACTAGAAATGTATTAGAGTTCCATTTTCTCTACACCCTTGCCAACACTTGTTATTGTCTATATAACACCATGTCACATTCCCACTGGCAGTGTATTAGAGTTCCAGTTTCTCTACATCTTTGCCAATACTTGTTATTGCCTATTTAAAAAAAATTTTTTTTTTGAGATAGGGTCTCACTCTGTCACCCAGGCTGGAGTGCAGTGGCAAGATCATGATTCACTGGAGCCTCAACCTCCGGGGCTCAAGCAGTCTTTCCACCTCAGCCTCCTGAGTAGCTGTAACCACAGGTGTGCTTTTAAAAAATTTTTTGTAGAGATAGGGTCTCCCCATATGTTGCCCAAACTGGTCTCAAACTCCTGGGCTCAAGTGATCCTCCAGCCTCGGCTGCCCAAACTGCTGGGATTACAAGTGTGAGCCATCGCAATCTGGCCCTTGTCTGTCTTTTTAATCTTTCTCATTTGATTCTTATAATTCTATTAGCCAAAGAAAAATATTCTTACTATTACTATTTATTTATTTATTTATTTGAGACGGAGTCTCGCTCTGTCGCCCAGGCTGGAGTGCAATGGCACGATGTCGGCTCACTGCAAGCTCTGCCTCCTGGGTTCACACCATTCTCCTGCTTCAGCCTCCCCAGTAGCTGGGACTATAGGCGCCCGCCACCACACCTGGCTGTTTTTTTTTTTTTTTTCTATTTTTAGTAGAGATGGGGTTTTACCGTGTTAGCCAGGATGGTCTTGATCTCCTGACCTTGTGATCCGCCCGCCTTGGCCTCCCAAAGTGCTGGGATTACAGGTGTGAGCCACTGTGCCTGGCCTACTATTACTTTTTAGATGAAAACCCCAAGGCAACAGACAGATTAAATGAGATGCCTCATATATGTGTGAATGGAAAGAAAGAAGTGGTGTGGATAATTCAAAACCACAGATTATCCAAAAGTAATTTAAAAGTTTTTGAATCAAACACTAAAGTATGTTTGATGTTGGAGATCATATTTCCCACTCCCACGTTAAAAGACAATTAGTATGATTGTATCTTTTTTGTCTGTGTTTTTTTTTAATCATTGAGGTATAATTCTCCTAATATAAAATGAACCATTTTAAAGTGTTTGAAATGATTACTCTGAGGATGCCTATTTTTTAGTGATTGTAATAGTTATATTGTCTTCAAAAATATTTGCATGTACTTAAAAACACTTAAAAAATAGAAGCAGTATAAAGTTTGATCTCCCAAGGAGCCATCATAGATCTATAGAGGGAACAAGAATAGAAGTACCACGAGGCAAACTGGAAGTCACTTGTTTTAAAGTAATTAAGATAACCATGTTGACTTTTATCCATACTTTATGTATAGCCTTTTCAAAATTAGAAGGCTGTGTCTTCCTTGTTATTCTGACATGAATATTTAGCAGTGCCATCTGTAACCCTAGGATCATATGGTAAATGTTAACAAGAAGCACCAGAACTTGTGTTTTCCCTGTCCTATTGTTTTTCTACAAGAATGCTGACAGCTAGAGTGGCTTTGTGACATTGTGCCCACAAAGCTGAATATTACATGTGTAGTTACCTGGGTAGGTGTAGAGTGTATTTTTTTTAAAGAGCAGGACATAGTGACTGGATGTCATCAGTTACATCTGTTTTATCGTACTAAAAATTTTACGTATATTTTGAAAACAGTTGCAAATTAGAATTTTCTAACTTGTATCTTCATGTTACGTTCCTGCTAAGTGAAGAAAATATTTTCTGAAAATATGAAACTTGTAATGTGCATACAGGATTGAAAATGTGCTGATAGAATATTTTCTGGTTTTTCTTGCCTTTCTGCTCAGTGTGTCATAATCTTATTTTTTGAGGGAAAACATGCACATTTTACAGTAGGTTCTCCCCATCTGTTTCAATTCTTCATCTTGTAATGCTTCCTTTCAAATAGCTACATGATTACCTTCCAGTTTAGGGGCACTGAAAATGTTATCTCTGGCTCAGTTGACAGTTTTTATTGATGATCTGGTGGGAACCAGGTCTGTGGCTTTTTCAGCACATTTCAATGTCCCAATACCACACAAGAAGCTTTTCTCTCTCCCCTGCACACCCCAGATGAATACAACTTTACTGTATATTCTAATAATAAAATACATAACCATAAATTAAGACAAGGCTGAAAGGTTTAAAGAAGAAAGTAAAAGTCAACCTTAATTTTACTTTCCAAACAACATAATCACTCCGGACATTTTGGCCTGTAACAGGGGTCAGCAAACTATTGTCTGTGGGCCACATCTGGCCTGCCACTTGTTTTTTAATCGACCTTGAGCTGAGAATGGTATTTACATTTTTGAATAGTTGAAAAACATTAAAGTAACAGTAACATTTTGTCACATGAGAAAATTGATATGAAATTTAAAATTGTTTCCCCAAATAAAGTTTTATTGAAACATAGCCATGCTCATTCATTTACATATTATCTAGACTGCTTTCATGCTAAAATGGCAGGTTTAGTAGTTAGTTATAGGCCTTCAAAGCCTGACGTGTTCATTATTACTATCTGGACCTTTATAGAAAAAAAATCTGCTGACCCTTGGTCTATACCCTTCAAGACTTTTTCTGTGCATTTGCGTGTGTGTGTTTACATTTTGAAACAATGAGGTTATTCTATGTGCTTTTGTAATTTACCCTTTTTGCTGAATAGTGTTTACAAGTAACTTCTATTGCATTGTTTGTTTATTCCATTGGATTATAATCTGTGAACCACTCTGTTGCTCTTTTATTTGTATTGTACAAACCCATTAGATGTTACCTAGGAACAGTAATAATAATAGTAGTAGTAGTAGTACTTACTATATGAATTAAAATTGATTTTAATTGTTTAATGAAATAAAACTTTATTTTTTTCACATAATCTGAATCATGACCTAGGTAGTGGTCAAGCTGCCCAAGAAGGTCATTGAGGAACCAGGATCTTTCCAGTGTCCTCTTCTGCCATTCTCAGCATGCAATTTCATAGAGAGAGGGTGACTAAACTCTGTTATTGTTGTGTATCAAGTTACCACAAGTCTTAGCAATCTGAAACGACAAATATTAATTACCTTACAATTTCTATGGGTCATGAGTCCAGATACAGCTTAGCTAGTTGTCTCTGGCTCAGGGTCTCACAAAGCTGTTGGCTGGGAAATCGCTTATTTCAAGACTTGACTGGGGTGGAGGGGATCTGATTCCAAGCTCACTCATGTAGGTTTTGGGAAGTGACAGACCCATACTGGCTGTTGGCTGGAGAATCAATTCCTTGCCACGTTTCTGTCTCCATAGGGCAGCTCACAACATGTTTGTTAGTTTCTCCCAGAGTATCTGGGGAGAGTGGGGGGTAGGTTACAGACTTTTTGTAACCTACTCTGGGAAGTAATATTCCATAACTTCTGCGGTATTCTGTTTGTTAGAAGTGAATTTCTAGGTCCAGCCTATACTGAAGGGGAGGAATTCCAGGAGGGTGGGAATATCAGGAGGCAGGGATTATTGAGGGTCTTCTTGGAGGCTGCTTTACTATGTGGTTTCATTTAAATGTGGTGGGTAGACCTTCAGGCATTGGCCTGGCAGGAAGGGTCAATACCAGCCCTTCCAGTTTTTCAATTAGAACTATGCCATATGGCCACCCCTAGCTGCAAGAAAGTCTGGGAAGGCAAGTTTTTTTTGGTGACACATTGTTGCCCAGGTCAAAATCAGGATTTTGTTGATAAGAAAAATTTCGATAATAGACACTGGGTGGACAACAGAAGGTATCTACTATCCCTGCCTTCTAAGGTGGTTATAAAGGTTCAGTGAGGCAATCCAGCACTGGTCTGGCTTATAATATTCACTCAGTTAAACAGGAGCTATGATTATTGCTGTTACTT
The DNA here is from genome assembly GCF_000001405.40 of Homo sapiens. Taxonomy (NCBI): domain Eukaryota; kingdom Metazoa; phylum Chordata; class Mammalia; order Primates; family Hominidae; genus Homo; species Homo sapiens. Next base: position 53,742,577 of record NC_000016.10, read on the forward strand.
AAAATCACATAATATAGCTTTGTAAATTAGCTTGTGACAAAACAGGATCCCTATGTGTTGATACTAAAAGAAGTAGCATAAAAGGAAGAAAAAAATACATTGATTGGGTGCATAGTATGTACCAGGCATTTTATTTACATGCAGTATCTGAGTTAATCTTCATCATAAACCTAACTGGGTATTGTTTGCCACACTTTATAGATAAAGAAAAGAAAGCCCAATAAGATTAACTAGGTTGTTGAAGGAGCGCTTTCCACTAGTGTGCCTTGAGTGGGTTATAGTTTGTGGAGATATTGGTTCCTTTAGTTCTTGGAATGGGCAGATGGGGACAGGGGTAACTGGAGCCCCTGGTCTCTTCATCTCTAACTCTGGGCAGCCTCTTCTGATTACTCCAGTGTGCCTTAAAAAATATAATTTTCTGCACACTCCATGATGTGGAAAAGGTTAGAGTGTATAACTCTATCCATGAGTAAGTGAATCCAGGTATGTATAATTCCAGCTGCCTGTCTCCTTTCCACTGTCAGGCTCTCAACAATCTATAGAAGCCTTGAATTTTCGTTAGCCTAAAATTTGAAATGCCCCTTCATTTGCTACAAAAATATTATATTTCTACATTTTCTTGGATTATAAAGTGATTTAAGTTAACATGATTTGAAGCTTCACTGTGGTCGGAATGAAAGCTTGCTTGGCCACTAGGTGGCTCCTTTTGGTTCTTTCTCCCAGTCGATGGTTGTGGCTTTGTCCTGTGCCACCTCTTAGAAGGAACCTAAATTGGACATAAGGAAGCCTAGACAACAAGGAGATCTGAAATGAATGGGACATGCACTCTGATGATTGCAGTTACCTTTTCATCCTTTACTTTCCACTCCTGTTCCTCCTGTGCTCATACGCTGATGTTTAGGTAACAGATCTAGTCCCTGGAGCCTCAGATGAGTCTTTGATATCTCTTTCTCACTTATAAAAGTGGGAAAGTGGGGTAAAGAACTTTTGTCCTCATCTAGTATGTTAGGTAATAAAATAATTGTAACATGTTTGCAGATAATTTTAGGCACAATTTTTAATACAGCTTATTATCGTGGGAATACTTGTGTTACTACGCAGATAATGATTGCACTATTAATATTAATTTCCCTATTCTTTAATTTAATAATACAAGCTTTAACTTACATGTATTATCTCCTATAATCCTCATAGGAACCCTGCCTAGTTACCATTTTTTTCCCCCTGATTTTAGAGATGAGGCAATTGAAGCTTAGAGAGATAGGTTAATTTGCTCCAAGTTTAATAGAGTTTGGTTGCTTTCAGATTTTTTCCTCTCCGTTTGGAAGTTGTTAATTCATTATAGTTGTGGGCAGAGTTTTGACTTAAGTCAATATATTTAAAATTCCTATGAAATAATTCAGTAGAAAGTACTTCTGGAACCATAGTTTGGTTGCAAGTACAGACATCATTTTCTCCAGTCGTCTTGTAGAAGTGAGCAGTAGCTGGAAGTGGGCTCCCTTCAGGAAGGCTACAGGCTCTTTGCAGAATTACAAATTGTATACACTCAGGGATCACTTCCTTTCTCTTGCCTACAAATGCAGCACCCATTATCATAGAAACTGCAGGGCATTTGACAGCTTAGGTTCAGACTCGGAGCTCATAGAATGGAACATTCTTCTTCTTCAATTAGAGACACACTAAAAAGATGGGAAGGCACCTAGGCCTAGGGTTTTCTTTGAGACTGCTGACTGATGTGTTCTCTTTTACCCAAATTTAGATTCTGCATTAATTTCCAAATTTCTCTGGTTGCCTTGAAAAAATAAATCGGCTCATGCTAGGTTTTCTTTAGTCACGAATAATTTAACTGTGCTTAGTATCTCTAGTTGACTCCCCAGTTGTGGTGGTGATTTCTGCAGACCATAGGAAAATGTATAACAAATGTGAGATGAGAGAGCCTTGTCAGGCAGGGGGCACTTACTCTGGGAAGTCAGAGCTGGCAGTGGGAGCAGTCCCCAGCACTAACAGGTACACCCACAAGATCTGCCTCCTACACTGTCACTTCTACCTCTTTGTTCCCCTTCCTGACTCACTTCCTGCCAGTGATTTGTGACATATTTCGTAGCTGATCAAATGAGCCCCTGACACCTGATTGCCGAGTGCTTCTTGTTTACAGTTGCTTTCCAAGGACACCTAGACAAGATGGAAAGCTTAACGTGAAGTAATTAAATTTGCATCTGCTCTGTGACAGGACTCTAAGGACTTTTCTTCCCCCCCCCCATATATGAATCTCATTGTAGAGCTCCTACCGTCTTTGACCATACAACATCTAAAAAAGGGAGGATGTGGACAGGTAAACAAACATTGGTTCAGTCTACTGCCTGTCATTATCATGATAAATATTAAATAAGATCACTGATATCCCTTTCTTATTTGGCTTTCTACTCTTTACCTACTTGTTTTGCCAGATTGGTAACTGATTTTCAACATAAGAACTGTAGCTTGGAGGTGATTTAAAAAGATATTTTTAAAGGAAAGCAAATATTGCCAAACAATCTGGTTTGGTTTAACACCCTTTGGATTGTACATTTCTCACAAATGCTTATGAATAATTCAGCAAAGCCAAATGCAATCTGCTGGTGGTATCTAGTGTTATTCACACTTGCTAATGAATAATTCCCTTTGGCTTTTATAGGGCGGCTCTAAGGAATGACTTCTGAGACTCAGATGAGTTATTATTGGGCTATTTGTCAGTGTCCTTGGGGCATTGCGAGCCAAAGCCCAACTTGGCTACCCACTCCACATACCTTCTGCAATTCTTCTGGGAAACATGCAGCTCTCTCTGTCCCAGCTTTTTAGCCCCAGAACGTTGCTATGAAAGAGACTCTAACAGAAGAGGAAATAAAAATGACAGAATTCAGCTCCACTGTGATTGCATTGGTTCAGTTCCTTCATTGTTTCATTCATATAAAGAAATGTTTATTGAGCACCTTAAAAGCATTGTATGTCCACAAAGATAAGATAGATTTTTATGTGCAATGTCCTCAAATAAACTAGAAAGTGTAGGGTGTATAGGAGAGGCATAGGATCCCAGAGGAGGATGGTCAGGGTCTTTTGTCAAAGTGATCAGTTACCATTTTCTCATCATGTTCTCAGGTATGCACTTAAATGCATATTTGCCATTTGTGGTGTTGGGTGAGGGTTCCGTTGCTTTGGATAAACCTAAGATTTGACTAATCTTGAAACTGCTTAAAGGATAAGCCCTATAATGTGATCCCAGATATGACTAAGTGGCCGTTGTTCATTTCTGTTGCTCTGAAGTCAGGAATGTGGTATGACCTGGCTTTACCAGCCTGGGCAATCTAAGGATGGTGAACGTGGATTTATTTATGCTTGGGTGGTTATATACTTATACCTTAGCAATCATACTGCATAATGTATAACCCTGAGGTCAGTGAGTGCATTCAGCCTTGGTGAGGTTGTTTCTGGCAGCCTGTATCCATTTCAGTTTTCTCTATGCAACTCCTAAGTTTTCCTCTAGAGGAGTGTAATCTTCCTCTGAGCACACTGGAAGATTACAGTTCCCAGCTTCCTTGCAGTTAGGTAGGATCATGTGATTAGTTCTAGCCAATGACGTGGAAGTGATGGGTATTATTTCCTGGTCAAGACATTAGGAGCTAGTGTGCCACTTGCATTCTTTCCCTTTCCCTGCCACAGTGACTTTGGGGGCCTTGTGTTTCAGATGGTGGGGTCTCCATTGGGCTGATCCAGGAAGGACTGAGTGGAGTAGAGTCCATTCCCTTCCCCCATCAACATATTAGACAGGTAACTTGAGCAAGACAAAGACCTTTGTTGCATTAAGTCCCTGAGATTTGGGGGTTTATTTATTACCACAGTGTAGCCTGGACCATTGTCACTAATATAGAGGGATTAGTACAGGAATAGCTGTGTGCTTGTTATTCAACATGATTTAGCCAGCTTTAGAGAATGTAGTTTCTTTTTTTTAAATCATTTTTTATTGTAAATTGCCAAATCATAGTTGTAAATATTATGGGATGCAAAGTGATGTTATAATTTATGAAAACAATGTGGAATAATTAACATATATATCAGGTCAAATACTTACCATTCCTTTGTGGTTAGAACATTTTAAATGAACTCTTGGTGATTTTGAAATATATAATATGTTATTATTTACTATATTCATCACACTGCAGTATATCTAAAGTAGAAAAAACCTCCCAAACTTACTCCTCCTGTCTAATTGAGGCTTTGTACCTTTTGGCCATCATCTCCCCAATCTTCTAACACTCCTAGCCTTGGGTACCCACCATTCTATTCTTTGCTTCTTTGAGTTCAGTTGTTTTTGATTCCACATGTAAGTGAGAATATGCAGTATTTGTCCTTCTGTACCTGGCTTATTTCACTTAGCATAATGTTCTCTCATTCCATCCAATGTTGCTGCAAATGACAAAATTTCTTTCTTTTTAAAGGCTGAGTGGTATTTACGGGCTGTGTATATATGTCACATTTTCTTTGTCCATTCATCTGTTGATGAACACTTTGGTTGATTCCATAAGTTGAATAGTGCATAGTGCTGCAGTGAACATGGGAGTGCAGACATCTCTTTGACATACCAATTTCAAGTATCCTGGGTAAATATCCAGAAGTGAAATTGCTGGATCATATGGTAATTCTATTGTTAGTTTTTTTGAGAACTCCATAATTGCTGTACTGATTCACATTCCCACCAACAGATTGCAGGGGTTCCCTTTTCTCAACATCCTCACTAAAACTTATTTTTATCTCTTTGACAGTAGTCCTTCTGGCTGGTGTGAGGGGATATCTCATTGTGGTTTTAATTTGCATTTCTTTAATGATTAGTAATGTTGAGCATTTTTTTCATGTATCTGGTGGCCATTTGTCTTCTTTTGAGAAATGTCTATTCAGGTACCTTCCCCATTTTTTAACTGGGTTATTAAATTTTTAATGTAGAGGTATTTGAGTTTAGATATTAATCAGATGTATAGCTTATAAATGTTTTCTCCCAATCTGTAGGTTGTCTCTTCACTTTTTTAATTGTTTCCTTTCTTGTGCAGAAGCTTTTTATTTTGATGTAATCCCATTTGTCTATTTTGCTTTTGTTGCCTTTGTTTTTAGGGGTCAGATATAAAAATAATTGCTCAGACGAATGTCCTGTAGTTTATCTACTATGTTGTCTTCTAGTAGTTTTGTAGTTTCAGGTCTTATGTTTAAGTCTGTAGTCCATTTGAGTTGATTTTAGTATATGGTGTGAGATAAGGGTTCAATTTTATTCTTTTGCATATGGATATCCAGTTTTCTCAACACCGTTTATTGAAGTGACTGTCCTTTCCCCAAAGTATATACTTGGCACGTTTGTCAAACCCACATACATGCATGGGTTCATTTCTGGGCTCTATTCTGTTCATTGGTTGATGAGCCCATTTTTCACTAGTACCATGCTGTTTTAATTACTATTGCTTTGTAATATGGTTGGAAATAAGGTAGTGTGATGCCTCCAGCTTTGTTCTTTTTGTGCATGATTATCTTGGATATTCAGGGTTTTTTCTTGTGTGTGTGGTTCCATATGAATTTTAGGATTATATTTTCTATTTGTATGAAAAATGACATTGGAATGTTGATAGGGATTGAATTGAATGTGTAGATTGCTTTGGGTAGTATGGACATTTTAACAATATTAATTCTTCTAGTCTATGACATGGGATATCATTTACTTAGTTGTATCATCTTCAGTATCTTTCATTAATGTTTTATTGTTTTCAGTGTATAGGTCTTTTACCTCCTTGGTATTAAATTTATTCCTAAGTATTATTTTTTCACAACTCACTCTTCATAGAACTATTTTTTATAGCTATTTTATTTATTTATTTATTTAGAGACAGAGTCTTTCTCTGTCACCCAGGCAGGAGTGCAGTGATGTGATCTTGGCTCACTGCAGCTTCCACCTCCTAGGTTCAAGCAATTCTCGTGCCTCAGCCTCCTGAGTAGCTGGGCCTACAGGTGTGCACCACCATGCCTGGCTAATTTTTTGTATATTTAGTACAGACAGGGTATCGCCATGTTGGCCAGGCTGGTCTTGAACTCCTGACGTCAGGTGATCCACCCACCTTGGCTGGGATTACAGGTGTGAGCCACTGTGCCTGGCCTGTAGCTATTTTATTTTATTATTTTATTTTATTTTTTTGAAACGGATTCTTGCTCTGTTGCCCAGGCTGGAGTGCAGTGGTGCGATTTCAGCTTACTGCAACCTCCGTCTCCTGAGTTCCAGCAATTCTCCAGCCTCAGCCTCCCCAGTAGCTGGGACTACAGGTACATGCCACCGTGCCCGGCCAACTTTTTTGTATTTTTAGTAGAGACGAGGTTTCACCATGTGGGCCAGGCTGGTCTCAAACTCCTGACCTCAGGTGATCCACCCGCCTCGGCTTCCCAAAGTGCTGGGATTACAGGCATGAGCCACCGTGCCCAGCCTTGTAGCTATTTTAAATGGGATTGTTTTCTTGATTTCTTTTTTATATAGTTCACTGTTAGCATATAGAAAGACTACTGATTTTTGTGTGTTGATTTTGTATCCTGCAGCTTAATTGTATTCATTTATTAGTTCTAACAGTATTTTGGTGGAATTTGTAGGGTTTTTAATATGTAGTGTAAGAGCATATCATCAGCAAACAGCAATAGTTTTACTTCTTCCTTTCCTATTTGGATGCTTTTTTTCTCTTTTTCTTGCCTGATTGCTCTGGCAATACTCTAATACTATATTCCACTTCTGTACTGAATAGAAGTGGCAAGAGTGGGTATCTTTGTCTTATTCTGAATCTTGGAGGAAAAGATTTTAATTCTTTTTTTCTTTTTTTTTTTTTTGAGACGAAGTCTTCGCTCTGTGGCCCACGCGGGAGTGCAGTGGCGCAATCTCGGGTCACTGCAAGCTCCGCCTCCCGGGTTCATGCCATTCTCCTGCCTCAGCCTCCCGAGTAGCTGGGACTACAGGCGCCCGCCATCACGCCCGGCCAATTTTTTTGTATTTTTAGTAGAGACGGGGTTTCACCGTGTTAGCCAGGATGGTCTCGATCTCCTGACCTCGTGATCCGCCCGCCTCGGCCTCCCAAAGTGCTGGGATCACAAGCGTGAGCCACTGCGCCCGGCCAAGATTTTAATTCTTTACCATTGAGTATAATGGTAGCTGTGGGCTTATGTATGGCCTTTATTGTGTTGAGGCACATTCCTTTTATACCTAAGGTATTGAGTGTTTTTATCATGAGAGGATATTGAATTCTCTCAAATGCTTTTTCTGCATCTAATGAGATGACCATCTGGTTTTTGTCCTTCATGTAGAATGTAATTTCAATTGGGAATCAAATGGCAGATCTAATTTAGGGGCAGAAAGAGAGTTTGTTTCATCAGTTATCAAAGAATCTGTGCAAGAAATAACATTGGTGAAAACAGAGTCATGGAAGTAAAAGAATAAGTAGTAAGAAGAGACAGAGTTGAATTGAGGCTATCATAACTGATATTAATGAATTTTAAATTGCATTTGGCATGTTTAATTGGTAAGATTATGAACCTGTAATTTTTCTCTTTGCTTATAACTTATATCAAAGTCTGGCCCTTGAGCTAAGAATGGCTTTTTTCTTTTTCTTTTTCTTTTCTTTTCTTTTTTTTTTGAGGCAGAGTCTCACTCTGTTTCCCAGGCTGGAGTGCAGTGGTGCGATCTTGGCTCACTGCAACCTCTGCCTCCCAGGTTCAAGCAATTCTCCTGCCTCAGCCTCCTGAGTAACTGGGATTACAGGTGCACGCCACCACACCTGGCGAATTTTTTGTATTTTTAGTAGAGATGGGGTTTTGCCATGTTGGTCAGGCTGTTCTCAAACTCCTGACCTCAGGTCATCTGCCCTCCTTGGCCTCCCAAAGTGCTGGGATTACAGGCATGAGCCACTGTGCTCGGCCAATAATGGCTTTTAAATTTTTAAAAGATTATAAAGAAAAACAAAGAAGAAGAAGAATATTTAATAGGGGCCATATGTGGCCTGCAAAGCCTGAAATGTTACTAGTTAGTCCTTTACAGAAGAAGTTTGCTGACCTTGGTAAGTTTGCTTACCATCTCTACAAACTATTATCAAAAAGGATCACACTTAACCAAAATGTGAGTTCCTGGAGAATTGGGAACTCATTGCTTTTATTAATCTCTGTGTCTTTCAGTCTAGCATGGTACATGGCAACACAGTAGAAGATCACAGCAATTTTACTTGATTGAATTGCACACAGAACATGGGCAATATGGAAGACAGTTTAGAGGATGAAAACCAAAAACAAATTACGAAGGTTGTAGGTCTAAAGAAATAGAACTGTTCTTCCTCTGTGCTTGTGGGTGGTGACATTCCTGGTTTGTTTAAACCTAAGTATGGACGTTTATTTAATTTTCATATTCATCTTCAAATAAAAGGAAGGTTTTAAAACAGATGTGTCCAATCTTTTGGCTTCCCTGGGCCACAATGGAAGAATTGTCCTGGGCCACACATAAAATACACTAACACTGGTCAGGAGTGGTGGCTCACACCTGTAATCCCAGCACTTTGGGAGGCCAAGGCGAGAGATCACTTGAGCTCAGGAGTTCGAGACCAGCCCAGGCAACATAGTGAGACCCTCTCTCTATTAAAAAAAAATTTACCATCCTGGCTAACACGGTGAAACCCCGTCTCTACTAAAAATACAAAAAATTAGCCGGGCGTGGTGGCCGGTGCCTGTAGTCCCAGCTATTTGGGAGGCTGAGGCAGGAGAATGGCATGAACCCGGGAGGCGAAGCTTGCAGTGAGCTGAGATCATGCCACTGCACTCCAGCCTGGGCTACAGAGCGAGACTCCATCTCAAAAAAAAAAATTTAAAAAGAATGAAGTATTGGCACATGCTACACCATGGACTAATGTTGAAAACATTATTCTAAGTGAAAGCCAGATATGGAAGACTAATATTATATGGTTCCATTTATATAAAATGTCTATAACAGGCAAATCTATGAAGATGGGAAGTAGGTGAGTGATTGCCCAGGGGTGGGGTGAGAATCAGGAGTGAGGGCTGATCGGTGCAGGGGTTTCTTTTTGGAGTGATAACAAAGTTCTAAACTTAGAATATGGTGATTGTTGAACAACTCTGTGGATATACTAAAAACCATTGAATCATATACTATAAGTTGGTGAATTTTATGTTACGTGAATTACATCTCAAAGATACTAACAAAAATAATGATGCAGTGGATTGCCTATTTCCTAGTGATGTTGCTGGTTATTTTTCTCTCTGATTCAAGCTGCAGTCAGGATTTGAATCGCTTACATTTTACCTTCTTGAAGTAAGATCTTCTAAAAACAAAATTGACTTATAGTCAAATCCTCTTTGACCCAGCTATGTTCTACTTACATGAATTTGCTCCATTTTTTGTACTGGCACATGGGCACAAAGACATATGTATAAGAATATTCATTGTGGCATTATTTGTAGTGGCAGAACACGAGCAATCTAAGTATCCATCAGTAGGGAACAGTTTAAATACATTAAGGGAGATGAAGCTAGTGAAGATGAAACTGTCTTCAAGACAATTAAAAGAACAAGGTGTAGAATACTGTTACTATTTGTGTAAAATGCTTGCATATAGACAGAATATGTTGTAAAGATTCAACAGTGGCTACCTCTTTGGGAGGCAAAGATTGGGCTGATCTAGTAATAGGAGAGGGACAGCCTATTGCAGGGTTGCACTTTAAAAAAAAATTATACTTTCTTTTCATGGAAGCATTATTCATAATTAAAAAGTGGAACCAATGCAAATGTCCACCAGCTGATGAATGGATAAACCAAATATGGTATAGCCATCCAGTCACGTAAGTAGGGTCAAAGGGGATTTGAATATAAATCAATTTCATTTTGAGGAAATCTTAATTCAAAAGGGTAGTGTTCAAATATTATCTTTAAAATTAAAAAAGTTGACTCCTAGACTATATCTCAGCAATCAATCTTGCATATCTTTTTGCATACTTCTTTTCAATCCATATGGAATAATTTGTCTTAAGACTCATCCCTTCAATTCACCCTCCAACCACTAATGATGCAGCAATTATGTGGTTCCACTGTAATTTTAACACTGTCTTCTAACCCAGCTGTGTGGCAGCAGTGTATCTGCAGGGCAAGAATGTGGCTTGCAAGGGTCAATATCACACTGCCCACAATTATTTTAATGTCTCCTCTGAAATGATAAATGAACTTTATAGTTATAATAAAAAGTAAACCCATTCCCCCTAAGGTATAAAGGGTGTACAATTTACATAGTCAGATATGACTGCCTTTTTTTTTTTTTTTAAAGAATCCTTCGTTGAGGGCTTTAAAAAAAAACAGGGTTAGGGATAGGAATAGGTGGCTCATGCCTGTAGTTCCAGCACTTTGGGAGGCTGAGGCAAGTGGATCACTTGAGCCCAGGAGTTTGAGACCAGCCTGGGCAACATGGTGAAACCTTGTCTCTACAAAATATTTGCTGTGCATGATGGCGTGCACATGTAGTCCCAGCTACTCAGGAGGCTGAGGTGGGAGGATCACCTGAGCCTAGGGAGTTGAGGTTGCAGTGAGCCGTGATCGCATCACTGCATTCCAGCATGGGCAACAGAGAGAGACCCTGTCTCAAAAAAAAAAAAAAAACAAAACAAAACAAAATGCAAAACCAGAAAAACCAGGGATGGGTTTTCAGTGTGGGCATTTATTTGATCCAGCCCAATAAACATGATTAAAATATGAAAATGTTATAGGATTTATAGCTGCTCCTCTAGGAACTTACACTTTTTTTTTTTTTGCTGTTGTTGGCATAATTGGAAGAAATTCTTCCAAGTTTTGCATCTGCATTGCTTGTCTTATAACACTAACTTCATGTAACTTACAAAATATTTGCTGGAAGTTTTCCTGGCCCTAGGAGGACCCATAATTTATAACTCCTGCTTTTTATTATTTGGTGCCACTTGTGGCTCGTGTCCTTCCTAATTATTGCAAATCCTCTAGCCTGCCCCCACATTCACTCAGTAAGACTGCCACCTTGAGACATGAGCTGTTGGTGTTTGCAGTATTTAACATAGCATCTACTACCATCATTTAGCTATCTCTGACAAAGAGCTCATTGGGCCCTCTTGCACCATTTCCTCAGCTGGGAAGTGTGGGATTGTAGAAGCTGCTTCCCTTCTCCCCACATCTGAAGCTTTGTCCTATCACATGAAGCTAGGATTTCCACGCTTTCTTTCTAGCTGCAGGAGAACTGGCTGCTCAGGGGTGCTGCGTTTTCTACCTTCTGACCCACAGCCAGAGGCAGCTCCCACTGCACTTTTTCATTTGCATTAGATGGCACTTTGCTTTATACAATTGACGTCTCCATTTAATTTTTATATCTTGCCTGTATCGTTAGAGAACGGGGTTTGGAGGTGTTCATGACTTATAGAAGCCCCACAGTTAGCCCTTTTATGATCCCTCTTTTAGCTAGGCCCTATTTACAAATTTTGTAAATTTAGATGGCTTCTTATTAAATGATGTAAACCCATCCATTTGTACTGTTAAAGCTGTCATGAATGGTATGGCATTTTTGAGTCAGGCCGTCCTATAGCACAGCTGAAGCACACTGAGGCCCAGAGAGTTTATTGGCTTCTTCAAGATTACAAAGCTACTTAATTACAGAGCTGAATTTGGAATTTAGAATTCCAGGTCCAGAACTTTTTCCATAAACTGAACTGAAGTAAAAGCTCCAGGCTGGGCGCGGTGGCTCACGCCTGTAATCCCAGCACTTTGGGAGGCTAAGGTGGGTGGATTACTTGAGCTTAGGAGTTCAAGATCAGTCTGGCCAACCTGGCGAAACCCCATCTCTACTAAAAATGCAAAAATTGGCCGGGCACGGTGGCGGATGCCTATAATCCCAGCTATTCGGGAGGCTGAGTCAGGAGAATCACTTGAACCCGGAAGGTGGCAGTTGCAGTGAGCTGAGATCGCACCACTGCACTCCAGCCTGGATGACAGAGCGAGACTTCGTCTCAAAAAAAAAAGCTCCATGATACCTTGAATTTAAGGGAAAATTAATGGTGAGTTAGGAAAGGCATGATACACAATGCACCAAACAACACTCCATGAAAATACCTCAACAACGAAGTACTTTGGAAAGAGATGACGCTGAGGTATTTAAAATTTTATTTACTTTCATGATTATCCAAGAAGTAACAAATCTTTTTTTAGATTATTTCTGATAGTCTTTACATGTTCTTCCAGGTACTTCTGTAGCAACTTAACAGATCGTATGACAATATGCTGATAGTGATTCTTCCTTTTGATAACGGTATTAGAGAAGACAGACAGTGCTAGGACAACTGTACAAACACCATTTCTCATCGCTATAGGCAAGCCAGAAGCCACATGTTTCCTAGGGAAAAGGGCTGACCTGTTACCATTGCTAGTTGTGTGTAAAACATGTGTTAGAAGAAGTAATTATGTTTAGCTGACTGACTATGACCAAGATTAATAGCTCTTGAAAGGGCTGTAATGAAAGGCTGCCCCAACTGGCTTCCACATTATTCTTTATTTATCCCGCTCTCATCCCTGTCACCTTTGGGCACCAGCCAAATGTCATTTATGTGAGATTTGCCCCTTGGATGTGAAAGGCCTCTCTTTCTTAATGATGGGAGGCGATTGGGCTGCAGGGCTGGAGAGCTTGGACGGTTGACATGACCCAGAGGAGATGCTCCAGGTCTGTGGGAGTCAGAGGCCTAGGACTCTCCCTCCTGAGGGAGAAAGAACATGAGGATATTCAGCTGTCTGATCCCGTCCATTGAGGTGTACTTGAGGGATTACAGGGAGTACTTCAAACACTCTGTTGTCAAGTCCATATATTTCGGTGGCTCTTCAGTTTGGAGCACTTGGAAGTTTCTTATTTTGAAGACCATTTGTTTGAATGAAATCATCAATCATTTCTAGTTTCGTAAAACTTGGAAGTCTCCTTGTGGTAGAGACTGCACAGATCCCTTCTTGCTTCTTTGAGTCATGGACTTTTCAGGCTGGACTGCTGCCCAAAATGCAGATTGCATTTCCCCAGCCTCCCCTGCAACGGGGTGTGGCCATGTGACTGAGAGAAGGTGTACTATGGGAGTCTCTGAGGTGTTTCTTTAAGAGAAAGCTGGTGTATGCCCTTTGCCCTTTGCTTCTTAGGCCCTTGCTTCTGTCCCGCTGCCTGGAATGTACATGCTGGACTTGGATCTTGAAGGTGAAGCCCAAGCCTTATGGGCTAAAAGGGGCCGGGCCTCTGAGAACTTCAGGAGAACCACTGTCCCAGCCTGGTTAAGCCACTGTTATTTTGGATTTTTTGTCACTTGTAGGCAAATCTAAACTTAGATAATACACTGTTTCTACACTTGCAGAAGATGAAAACGCCAAACCCTTGGATTGCCTTTTCCCTTCCTAAGTATTAATATCAAAACTTAAACAGGTTCCTTTCCCCTTCTTTCAACTCCTCTAAATTAAAACAACCTACAAAAAGATCATGCAGTAATTTATTTAAAAACTAAAGACATGAGAGAGATCTCAGTAAGAGAGATATATGAGAGGGAGATTAACAAGAAGGCTAGAAAGGAAAATAACACATTTAGGAAAATGATAACGAGGACTGGTCTTCATGGCCTTCTGTAATAGGTCAGGGAGCTCTCACTCCCTTCCAGTGTTGGTGGCAGCAACAGCTTCTTTTCTTAGATTATTAGAGGCCCTAGGGATTCGATTTCACCTGCTTTGTTAAGGCCATAGGAAGCTTTTTAAAATTTCAGATTTCAAATGTCAAGTCTCTATTCAGTGCTTTTGGGCCCCTTGCATCAGAGTGTTTATATTTTGCCTGACTCTTTGGTTTCCGGCCATAAAGTTTGCATGTTGTCATCTTTTCTCTAACATTATGTGTATTAGATAACATGTACTACAATAGCTATAGTGGGTTACAAAAGATTCTTAACACAACCCTTTTAAAAGAGTTGCAGAGATGCGTAATTATTTTTCATGATTTTCAAAACTTTTGAAAGAGAAAAGCAGCTGTTTGGTTCACTGTTCTCATTAGCATTTATATAGTAAACTAAGAGAGAGGTTTTCTGTGCAGTGTTTTTCCTTGCTGTTTCTTGCCTTTTAATTTGAAGAATAGCAGGATCTTGTCTTTTGTTCACATGAGTAGAAGTCCATTCAGCTGGAAAAAGAACAGTGCACTCTTTGTGTACTCAGAGCATTTGAATGCTTTTGGTCACACACTAGTTGCTGTTTAACTACAATAAAATTGTGACCAAAGGAGATAAACATTTAAAGGATAAATGACAGGCCTGTTAATCTGAAAGCAAGTTTTGTAGCGTTGTTGTTTTTAGCTAATAGGTGTATAGCCAGGAGTCACGGTGATGACTTTTAAATCTGAAACTGAGTGAAGTCTGTGTTTTCAACCAGTTTAAAAAATGTTGCCACTGGACCTTTTTAAAAAAATATTTTTAAAAATACGACAAAAATTTTATGTATTTATGGTATATACTATGATATTTTGACATGTATACATTGTAGAATGGCTAGATCAACCTAATTAACATATGCATTATCTCACATACTTTTTTGTGGTGAGAACACTTAAAATCTACTTTCTTAGCAATTTTCAAGTATATAATACATTGTTATTAACTGTAGTCACCATGTTGTACAAGAGATCTCTTGAACATCACTGAACATATTTATGGCTGATCATTTTGTGTTTTAACAATCATTTGAACATGTCTAAACTGTCTTTAGAAACTGGTAGGGATTTCCTTGCTGTGTTTGCTAAGCTTGGCCATGTCATCCACATAAATATCTGAATATATTCATATATGAATACATACTGTATATAATATGTGTGTATATATGAATACATAATACCTATATTTATATATAATATGTGTGTATATATGAATACATAATACCTATATTTATATATATAATATGTGCATATATAAAATGCCCAAGTATATTATCTAAGAAAAGAGCCACTGGGGCTTTTATAAGTCTATGATTTCAGAACTATGTCCATCTTTACACCTCTAAAGCGTTATGATTTACCTGATTTGGTGGAGGAAAGGTATTTTTGGTAATTTTCTGTCCCTATGGGAATTCAAAGGATAAATTTCAATCTCTTTTTCTTTCTTTCTCTCTCTGTCCATCTTATGCAGCTGAAAACTGGCATATGACTCTTTGAGAAGAGCTCAAACAGTTGTGGTAAGGGTGCTTAGATGTTGAGTGCTATCTGTTTTCTGGGGTGTGAAACATACAGGGTTTTACCAGTCTGTTGTTGCAGAGTGCTGGGTGTATTTTGCTTTAGCTGACTGTTCCGTTGGAGTATTCAGCCTTTCTTTAGGATAACAAAAAATAAAATTAATCAAAGGCATAATCAAGGACGTTTTCCTTTTGTACAGTCACATCTCATTATACAACATTAGTCTTAAGCTTTGCCCACCTGCCAGATAGGTGTAAGATGATTAATGAAAGCTGAAACTCTCAGTCTAGAGGAGACAGCAGGGACTGGTGGTGCTAGTGGTGAAGTAAGAAGTACATATGCTGCCTAAAGGGACTCTGGTTCAGTGTGTGAATGTCAGCCCAGTGTTGCAAATATTCTGACTTTTCAAAAGAAGCAGGACATCTAGATTTTTATTTGAAATCTCTTTATTTTAATAAGCCATCGACTAATTGAAATTTAAAACCTGTGTAGTCCAAATAGACCATATCTACAGGCTGGAAGGAATAGAGGGCCTGCCTTTTGTGACCTCTGTTGTTTGGGGAGGTTATGTAACCATTGTAACCAGGGAAGGATACATGAGGATTCCTCTTCAGGGAAGCTGACCAGCCCAATAAAAAATATATAGGTTGACATTTGGAGATATCTTAAAAGACGGCCAGGTTTCCATCATATCGCTCTGTAGTGAGGCCCACCAGTTGACAAACTAAGCTTCTGCACATTCAGCTTCTGATCTGTTTCATATTCCCTCACTGGAAATTATGAACTGATGGGCAAAGATCATTGAACATCCAGGAATGCCTCAAATAGGAATGACAAAATACAGAGCACAGAAACAGAAGAAAAGGAACCCAGAGGAACAGGAAAATGTGGAGAGCAGAAAACAATTTCAAAACAAATTATAATTAATATTCCCAGAGAGATGAGAGAAAATACACGAAACAGGAACAAGATGCTAATAAAAAGGAACCTTCACACTGTTAATTTTGTTAGTTGTGATAATGTATTGTTATACATTTTTAAAAATCTTATACATTTAAAAAAAAGTTGTCCTTAGTTATTAGAGATTTATGCTAAATAATTACAATTTGAATATTGTGATGTCTGGGATGTGATTTGAAATAATTCAGAAAAAAGGATAGAGTCGTGTGGGAGATAGATAAAATGAGATTGGCAAAATGTTGGTAATTGTTGAAGCATGCTGCGTAATGGGCGCATAGGGGTTCATTATATTATTATTTGTACTTTTGTGTGTTTGAAATTTTCCATTATACAACCTTAAAGAAAGGATCATTTAGAAAGCAAGAAAGAGCTTGCAAATTGAAAATATGATAGCAGAAATTAAATTTTCAACAGAAGTATTAGAAAATACAGTTGAAGACATTTGTCCAGAAATTAGCCCAAAACAAAGCAATGGAAAATAAGAAAGGAAAAATATGAAATTAGAGGATCAGTCCAGGTGGTCCAGTATTTAACTCTGGGAGTTACAGAATGAGAACCAAAATATCAGAAGGAAAGAGATTATCAAAGAAATAATACAGGCTGGGCACAGTGGCTCATGCCTGTAATCCCAGCACTTTGGGAGGCCCAGGCAGGAGGATCAGCTGAGGTCAAGAGTTCGAGACCAGCCTGGCCAACATGGCAAAACCCCATCTCTATTAAAAGTACAAAAATTAGCTGGGCATGGTGGTGGGCACCTGTAATCCCAGCTGCTTGGGAGGCTGAGGCAGGAGAATCACTTGAACCCAGGAGGTGGAGGCTGCAGTGAGCCGAGATCGTGCCACTGCACTCCAGCCTGGGTGACCGAAAAAGACTCCTTCTCAAAAAAAAAAAAAAAAAAAAAAAGAAAAAAGAAATAATACAGGGTCATTTCCTTGACCTAAAAGACATGAGTTTCCAGATCAAAAGAGCCCAGTGACCGCCCAGCACAACAGATGAAAAATGATCCCACTATGGCATTTTATCATGAAATTTCCTAACCCCAGAGGAAAAGAGAAGATTCTAAGAGCTCTCATTTGCATCCTGAGCTGGTCTAGGATCCAGGGTTTCCTTGGGCCAATGCTTCAGATAGTTAAACTCATCTTTTGCTTGGTCAGGGATGTGGTGGTTGCCTGGCTGTTGGGATTGAGAGAAAGAATCTAGGGTCTAACCTCTGCTCTTGACTTCCAACTAGTCTTCCTGTTTTCAGCTTCATGGTTGAAATGCACCTTCCTTCAGAAGTTCCTGGTTATTGTATTCCTGAGCCTTTCTGTAGATGGTGGCATGGGAGCTCACTTCTTATTGGTCTTCCCCTTTTCTCCCTCAATCCTGTCTACCAGTTAGTCTTCAGCTTTGGTGTGTGTGTGTGTGTGTGTGTGTGTGTGTGTGTGTGTGTGTGTGTGTGTGTGTGTTTTTTGGAGACAGGGTCTCACTTTGTCACCCAGGCTGGTGCAGTGGTGCGATCTTGGGTCACTGCAGCCTTGACCTCTGAGGTTCAAAATCCTCCTGCCTCAGCCTCCCAAATAGCTGGGACTACAGGTATGTACCACCATGCCCAGCTGATTTTTGTATTTTTTGTAGGGATGGGGTTTTGCCATGTTGCCCAGGTTGGTCTCAAACTCCTGGACTCAAGCCGTCTGCCCGCACTGGCCTCCCAAAGTACTGGGATTACAGGCGTGAGCCACCACACCTGGCTTTAGGATTCAGGTTTTGCTGTTACATTACTTGCCATTCCTTTTTCATCTTTTAACATCTCTCATCTGCTTGCTTTCTTTTTTTTTTTTTTTTTTTTCCTGAGACTGAGTCTGGCTCTGTTGCCCAGACTGGAGTGTAGTGGCATGATCTCAGCTCACTGCAACCTCCGCCTCCCAGGTTCAAGCGATTCTCCTGCCTCAGCCTCCCAAATAGCTAGGATTACAGGTATGCACCGCTATGCCCAGCTAGTTTTTGTATTTTTAGTAGAGACAGGGTTTCACCATGTTGGCCAGGCTGGTCTGAAACTCCTGACCTCAAGTGATCCACCTGCCTTGGCCTCCCAAAGTGCTGGGATTACAGGCGTGAGCCACTGCGCCTCATCTGCTCTTATCTTTCACATTGACTTTGACGATTTATTTTTATTGTTGTTATTGTTGTCTCCTTTTCTTTTTTCTTTTCTTTTCTTTCCTTTCTTTCCCTTTCCCTTTCCTTCTCCCTTCCTCCCTCCCTCCCTTCCTTTCTTCCTTCCTCGGTTCCTTTTCTTCCTTTTCTTTCTTTTCTTTTTTTCTGGAGACAGGGTCTTGCTCTGTTGCCCAGTCTGGTGTGCAGTGGCACAATCATAGCTCACTGCAGCATAAAACTCCTGGGCTGAAGGGATCCTCCTGCCTCAGCTTCCCAAGTAACTGGGACATCAGGCGCACACCACCACACCCAGCTCATTTTTTTTTTTTCAGTTTTGTAGAGATGGCACCTTATTATGTTTCCCAGGCTTGTTTCCAACTCCTGGGCTCAAGAGATTCTCCCACCTTGGCCTCCCAAAGTGCTGGGATTGCAGGTGTGAACCACTGCACCCAGTATATTGTTTTAATTTCTTTACAGGCGTTCCAGTGAGGTTTTGGGAAGGAGCCAAGTGCATGTTTTGAATCCACCATGTTAGAATGGAAGTTAATTTGTTGTGTTAATCATTAATTTGTATGTCAGAGTTTCTTTTCCTGAGGTTTATTTGAAAATCAACGTAAGAAAACAAAATTTAATATGGAGAAAATAATTTCCTCCTTCTTAAAGTCTCCTTTGACTATCCTCACGGAAATTGGTTTGTTTCTACTTTCTCTGAAATACTGTGGCCCTGGGAGACTCCTGCTCAGTTTAGCAAAGAATTCTCTACTGTTTTGGGTCTTAATCTAAGCACTGGATGTGTGCTTTTCACCCAACTAGATTATGGAGTCTCTGTGAACCTAGGGAGATATCTTAGTCTGCTCATTGATTACCTTACGGCTCCTTATGGATATGAATTGAATAAATACTTTGCTGATCAAAGTATACTACTCAAATTTGTATTACTTTATTTTTATATGTGTTATATGTGATTCTTTTAATGCCTTCTCAGCCTGTTGCTCAGAGATTAGTGGGAAGGAATAAATGTAACAAGTAGACTTTGGGGGTAATACTGATAAGTTAAAAATGTCATTGGTTTATAGCTTCAAGGGTATTTTACTGAAATTGCAAATGTTCTATTATATTTAGAAAGAGAAGGAATGGAAACCTGACTAGTCATTATACTGAGGTTGGGAAATCTGGAACTTGAGTTCTGAATCAGTTTTCTGTAGATAGCCTGTTTCACAGTGGATTTGCTTAATGTTTTACCGGTAAACAGGCACTCCTGTTTATTTTCAGCTCTTGCCTTTCAGCACAGGATAGCTACAATTGTTCAGAGTATGCCTCTCTTGTATAAATAACAATACTGTCATTTTCTCTAAAGTCATCCTTTTTATTAAAGAAACCCTTTAATAGTCCCACATATTCTGTAGTTATGCATTTCTGTGAGTGCTTACTGACCCCAGCACAGTGTTTAATAAATTATTGAACTTTGAAGAACCTTTGAGAAGCAAGGGCTTTATGTGACTGAGCAGCAGACATGAAAAAACGTTATCCTCCAGAGTATCTAACAGACAGAAATAGAGGCTTGATCAGACAATATAAGCACCGAGTGAATGATGGTAATACCATGAAATATTTACACCCATAGAGCATGCGAGGGTGGGGAGGAGAGTGTGGGTTTTTATCCTTTTGGGTTGAACCTGATGCCATACAACTCACCACTCTATGATCTTAAAAGCAAAACAGAAAGAGAATGAGAGAAAGAAAGGAAGAAAGGAAAAGGAAAATAAAGAAATGATGAATATTGATTTGGTGATATTTTGTTGTTTGCATTATCTTATCACAAAAGCAAGGCTCCTTTTGTAGACAGGAACCTTACTAAGAGTCAAGTTTTAATCAGTCCTTAACAGAAACTGAAGATATCTGAAGTGATTTCTTGCCACTACAAGTTTAAAGTTTTAATTTAATCAATATCTCATGATTTACCATGCCTCAAAAGCTGTCATTTTATTATCTGTAATAAATAGAGATTTGAAGAGTAAAGAACTGAATATAGCCTGATACGATCTTACTTTTAAACAGAAGATGCAATTTATTTATTTTTTCATGGGATGCTATTTTAAAGTGACTTGTGATTTCTTTAATAATGATCCACAGAGAAAATTAACATAAAGGAAGAAGTGTCTAATTATTTAGGAAAGGTTTGGAAGATGTTTATCCCGGCTAATATAGATAGAGAGTGTCTAATATCTTACAGCATAGAAAGGGGCTAAAACAAATGTGCCAACCAATTTGTTTTGCCCCTGTGCCCAGTATTTTATATATCCATTTTTTTAAATAAGGATGAACCTTTTAAGATTTCATGGTGTCATCTAACATTATTAAAAGTAATTATTGTTGATGATAAATAAAGGTTGACAATGATGTGCTTTATTGAATTTAATTTTACTCGTGGTTTATTTTAAAAACCCGCAGATTGTGTTTGGGAGATATTTTAATGTAGTATGTCTGTTTTTTGCTTTCTAGTTGTGGAAGAAAGAATCAAATTATGTATTAATAAGGAGGCTCAGATTGACCATAGACATTGGCCTTTCAAGGGGATCATCTGGTTTTAGAGGCTTTAGTCTCCTTTGAGTACCCTGGATGTTTGCTATGTATTATGCTAAACTAACGCATGATTACATTGACCCTATGATTATAGTGACCTAAATTGGCAAGTTTCTGTCACTTATAAAGTCAAGGTAGTAATGTTGGAAGGGAAACTGTAGTGAGACTCTCCTTTGCAACTGTAATGTTTTGTCTGTAGATTGCAAATGAGGGAATTTTATAAAGGCTTTATTATTTGTAATGTAGGAACCCATTGCATACAAAGAAATTTTTAGTCTAAGGACCCAGTATTAGTGAAATGTGACATAGATCTATTTGTGAAAGGGTGTACCCAGTTGAAACAGCAGGGGCAAGATTTTATTTGTATGTTTATTATTTTTGTTACCAAAGCGATGCCCTGGAAAGAATCGGGATTTTTGAGTGAGTGATGTGATGTGGATTTAAATCCTGTCTTTGCCACTTAGTTCTTTCACTTCCAGCAAGTCCTGAACCTAAGACTCAATTTTTTCTCTCAAAATGGGGCTCATGATGATTTACTTCGCAGATTTGTTAAAGCTTGTAAGCATTCAGCACGGCACCCAGAGTGTGGGAGGCACTCAATGAATATTAGCTCCTTTCTCCTTCCTTTTCAGCTAAACCAAAAAGGCTTTATCTAGGAGGTGAGACTTGTAGAAACTCTTGATTGATGGAAGGAATGAGTCAGTGAACTAGAAGAAGGGTATTCGAGGCCTGTGGATAACCATGTGAGAAGGTGAGAAGTGAGTGTGTAGTGATGGGAGAGTGTGGCTGGACAGATGGACAGATAAAGAAAAGAGGGTGTGGCTGGGCGCGGTGGCTCATGCCTGTAATCCCAGCACTTTGGGAGGCCGAGGCGGGCGGATCACTAGGTCAGGAGATCAAAACCATCCTGGCTAACATGGTGAAACCCCATCTCTACTAAAAATACAAAAAAAAAAAAAAAAGAAAAGAGGGGCTGAATTAACTGACTTGTAGAGGCAAATGTGATATTGGTGTTGGGACACATCATCTGAACTTCCACTGTCATTATCTGCTTCTCAAAATTGGAGTTGAGAGCATGTGCGAACTTGAGAATTTATTCTTCTTGTCTACTTGAACATCTCTCTTTTAAAAAATGCAAAATGTTAGAAATGTTTGATCCAATATAGGGCAAATAAAAATTGGTCTGTTCTTTTTTTTTAAATTTTTTTTTGAGACACAGTTTCACTGTAGCCCAGGCTGGAGTACAGTGGCATGATCTTGGTTCACTGCAACCTCTGCCTCCAGGGTTCAAGCAATTCTTGTGCCTCAGCCTCCCGAATAGCTGGGATTACAGGCGCATGTCACCATGCCTGGCTAATTTTTGTATTTTTAGTAGAGACAGGGTTTCACCATGTTGGCCAGGCTGGTCTCGATTTCCTGACCTCAAATGATCTGCCCGCTTCGGCCTCCCAAAGTGCTGGGATTACAGGCATGAGCCACCATGCCCAACCTGTCTGTTGTTAAATTCTACCTCTGATCGTAATACTTCGATGGAGAATACATTGCTATTACTTTTAGCATGATGGGTACCAATATGAGATTTCCAGTTGCTTCCCGCATGTTCATTTTGCAGATTTTAACTGAGGCTTATATATGCTCAGGGCTGTACTGTACTCTGGGGATTCAGTAGTAACAGACGAGAGTCCCTCTTCTCATGGAGATTAATATTCTATTAGAGGAAGAATGCTAGTAAATAAGTAAACAGTGGCTGGGCATGGTGGCTCATGCCTGTAATCCTAGCACTTTGGAAGGCCAAGGCAGGTGGATCACCTGAGGTCAGGAGTTCGAGACCAGCCTGGGCAATATGGTGAAACCCGGTCTACTAAAAATACAAAAATTAGCTGGGGGTGGTGGCAGGTGCCTGTAATCCCAGCTACTCGGGAGGCTGAAGCAGGAGAATCGCTTGATCCTGGGAGGCAGAGGTTGCAGTGAGCCGAGAGATCACGCCATTGCACTCCAGCCTGGGCAACAAGAGCGAAACTCCGTCTCAAAAAAAAAAAAAAAGAAAGTAAACATATTTAAGGTCGTAAATAAGGCCATGTCTAATAGTGATAAACAGTATGTTGTGTTAATGACTGAGGGGAGGGGACTGCTTTAGATACAGTGGTCTGAGGTCACCTTTGATGTGAACTCCAAAGGATGACAAGGGCATACATTTCAGCCTCAGAGACAAAGCTCTGAGGTGCTAAAGAGCTTAGCATGTAGAAGGAACAGAGGTGGTCAGTGGCCAGAACTTAAAGAGAAGGAAACGAAAGGGCAAAGGAATGAGGCCAGATCATGAGGGTAGGGACTTTAGACTGCGGTAGATTTCGATTTTATTCCAAGTCCCATTGGAAATCACTGGAGTGTTTTAAGGTAGGGAGCGTGTGTGTGGAGTGACTTACTCTGATTTGATTTCTATAAAGATCACTGTGGCTCTGCGTGAGGAATATTGGAAGGCCAGAGTAGAATTAGGGAGAAATATTGGGAAAGGAATGTTCTGATGGCTTGGCCCAGTTGGTGACTGTGCAGATAGACTGAAGGGGAAGGATTTAAGATACATTTTGTAGGCAAAGCTGCCAGGATTTACTTTTAGACAGCATAAGAAGTTTGAAAGAAAAGAACAATCAAGGAAAATTTCCAGGCTTTTAGCTTGAGTAACTAGATTGGTTTTGTTTGCTTGTTGTTTCTTTTTGGAGATGGGGTCTCACTCTGTTGCCCAGGCCGGAGTGCAGTGGCGCGATCGTGGCTCACTGCAGCCTTGACCTCCCAGGCTTCAGCGATCCTCTCACCTTAGTCTCCTGAGTAGCTGTGACTACAGGCGTACATCACTACTCCTGGCTAATTTTTTCGTTATCCGTGAAGATGCCTCACTGCATTGCCCAGGCTGGTCTCCAACTCCTGGGCTCAAGTGATTTACCCATTTCAGTGCTCCAAAGTGCTGGGATTACAGGTGTGAGCCTCTGCCCTGGCCTGAGCAACTAGATTGTGACCATTTACTGAGATAAGAAAACTGAGGACGAAGCAGGTCTGGGGTGAATCAGGTGCTATCCCTTTGGACAGTCACATGACTGGTGTCTGTTCAGCACCCAAGGGACCATCAAAGAGGCTGTTGTGGAGAGGGAATCCGAAGGTCAGGGCCAGAGATAGAAATCTGGGGAGTCATCCACTATATAGGTGATGGGTTAAAGCCTTAGAACTCTTCTTTTCATGAATCATTGTTGTTCTTTAGGTTGTAATGAAGTTTTAGGCCTCAGCTTCCCTGAACTGGAGTGTTTTTCCTTCACCTTTTCCGGTCTCTGGGTTGCATCGCCAGACTGTCTCTAAGCCCAACAAACGCGTTCCTTCCAGGCAAAAGCAGGAGATGACACACACCATGAGCCAGATTTTCCATGGCAGACTTGTAAGGAACAAGATAATCTCATTGTTCCTCCTGCTACTTAAAATAAAGGTAATATTGATTTTATAGTAGCAGTTCAGGTCCTAAGGCATGATATTGATTAAGTGTCTGATGAGAATTTGTAGGGTAGTCTCCCAGACCTGCAGCTACAGGGCATCTCCCCACTGGGCCAGGCCTCTGTGCTGACCTCCACTGTTATAAGTGGTGTTTTTCTTAGGAATCCTTAGCCCTGTTTAGTCTACGCACTGTCCAGAAGCATTTATTTAACCTGATGGATGGCTCAATCCAACCCATCACCTTAATCTGACCTTAAAGATGGGAACCTAATGTTTTTGTTCTTAGTAAATGTGAAGACTAATTTTGACACTGTTTAGAATTATTTTCTTATTAGTAGCAGTAGATTTCATGAATTTTCTGCTGTGAAATTTCCTATTAAAATACTATAATCTAATGTTAAATGACGAGTTAATGGGTGCAGCACACCAGCATGGCACATGTATACATATGTAACTAACCTGCACGTTGTGCACATGTACCCTAAAACTTAAAGTATAATAAAAAAAATAAAAAATAAATAAAATACTATAATCTGACTTTTTTATTTTTACTTTTTTACTTTGGAGCCTGGCTTTATGAATTTTTTTTTTAAACAGGGGAAGGTACCTCTTTTCAAGGTGTCATTATTAAGCCCATGGGACTCTTCAATTTTAATGTTATATCAAAGAGAGTAAATTTCTTGTGATTATTGTGATATGATGCATTCAACTTGCAGGTCAGGTTTTATATCATTTATAGATCAGATTCTGAAGATATCTTCAGTCAAATTTAATAACAATCAAGGAATATATTATTCACCGGCCTGAAGTATAGAAAGAGTTCCCAGAAATCATCTAAAAATAACTGTTTCATATAAAACATTTTGACTTTCTATTGTAATAAGATTAATATATTTTTCTCCCATGTCTAATTCTGGCTGGATTGTTCATGGGGTTGATGTGAGGATTCAGTGAGTTAATATAGGCTAAGGTGCATAATATAATGCCTGACACATAGTAGATGCTCAATTTATGTTAACTACTGTTAGCTGCTTTAGCCTGTTGTTAACTGCAAACTCCTTTTACATTACCTAGCACAGGCCTGGGCACAAGTATGATATTTAAGTAGATGCTTAGTGACTGATTGATGTCTCCAAACATTTGGGATTTCCTTCCACATTTGCCATAGCACAGCTTGTTTTATGTCTTTTCTAAAATGGTCTAGGTACCTGACATCCTTTGATCCTTCATATGGTTACACTCAAAAGGAGCCATATGAATTTTGACCATTTGCACATCTGCCTGTCTTTTTGGTTAGCTGCCAGATAGAGCTCAGGTTTTAAATCCTTTGCAGTTAAAAGAGATAATAAATGTTAACATTCCTAGTACAGTGCCTGGCACAGAATGTGTAAATATCATTTGATTCGGAAACATGACTGCTGGTCAATTCGGCCTCCAGGGAGACAAAACTAAGGGGTGGGGTTGTGGCTTTTTTTGAGGTAGGGGATGGAATAGATATTTCTTACCCGAGTA
This sequence comes from Homo sapiens, assembly GCF_000001405.40. Classification (NCBI taxonomy): domain Eukaryota; kingdom Metazoa; phylum Chordata; class Mammalia; order Primates; family Hominidae; genus Homo; species Homo sapiens. Next base: position 53,768,516 of record NC_000016.10, read on the forward strand.
GAAGATGATGCCGGGGGATCTAATGCTTCTTTTAAATTTCCCTTTTGATGCACAAAGGGGCAACTCCGTGTAGCAGGACCTTGGTGGGATGGATAGGCAGCTTTGTAAGTGGAGAAATGGCCTCTGTTTAGCTTATGAGCACAGAGTCATTTTGGGGGTGGTTTATGAGTCATCTGAAATATGCATTTAATCTAGATTTGTGGCCTGCTTGGTGAGGCTGCTGCTTTTTTATGATCTCAAGTGTCTTGTCCATGTCAAAACTTGCCTTGTTTTTTTGTTTACTTTGAATCAGAAAAATGTTCACAACCACCCTTGGAATTCCTCCTCAAGTGTGCGTTTGGTCACATCACCCCTGGCTACCACCAGTACATGACTGTTTATTTTGGATGTCCTTTTCTGATGTTCAGCTAATTTAACCCACAATGAAGTTAATCCTTGCTTCTTTGGAAAAGTACAGATTTACTTATTAGCTGCCTTCCAGAGACATTTGCATTTTCATGAAAGCGAGTATATAATTACATTGACTTTTGGACTCATCTACCCACATATGTGGTGGGCGCCTTTTGAAAGTCAGGATTCAGAGTAAATCAGAACTGTCTTGAGTTAGCTGAAGTTCTCTTTAAGGTTAACAATAAATGTATCTATGACAAACATGGGGATGTGGTATTGCATATTCGATTATGTCCATTTATCTTTCCTTCTTCTGGGTGAGAGGGGAGATGAAAATGGAGCTACCTTGGAGTTCATGTTTTCACCTTGATTCTCCGCATTTATAGCATACTGATTGAAAGCATGGCTGCCAGAACCATATTACTTGGGCTTGAGTACTAGCTCTGTCACTTACTCATTGTTTAACTTTGGGCGGGGTACTTAATTTCTCTGTACCTCAGTTTCATAATCTGTCAAGTGGGGATAATTATGGTAACCACCACTGAGCATTGTTATGAAGATCAAATAAGTTAATTCATGTAAAATATTTAGAGCAGAACTTAGTATATAGCAACTGCGATACAAGTGTTAGATATCATTTTTATTAGGGTTTAGTAATTGCATAAATAAAAGAGATGAAAGTCTAAATTATTAATCAGGGCCATTTATCTATGAGACACTACAGGCATTGTGTCTAGCCCTGTGGGTTTACATTAGTTAGGGTAGGTTATTGCTGCAACGTACCCTAACTTGATATGATTTTTGCTGCAAAAATCATATCAAAATAGTCTATAATGGCTTAAACATAATAAAATGCATTTCTTGTTTATGTAACAGTAATGAGTAGGTAAACAGGGTGGTAGGACATTTTCCTCTCTGTATTCATTTAGGGATCTAAGCTGAAGGAGGCTCTGCCATCTTCCACACAAGGTTTCTAAGGTCACCTTAGGTTATCTCTATTCCAGCCAGCAAGAAGGGGAAAAGAGCTGCAGAAATGTGTTTAGGGGTTTTTTATGGGCCAGACCTGGAAGTGGCACTCATCACTTCTGTTCACATTCCATTGGCCAGAACTCAGCAGGAAGAGGAGGAAAACAGCTGCCACTCATCTCAGCCACAGAGTTTTTCAGGGGTCTCTAAAAATGTATGAGACTTGAAAAAAATGTATTGACTCCAAACTCCAGACATAAAATTGCAGAATTGAAATGAATAAATGTTTAACTAAATGCTTATAAAATGGAGCCTTATATCAGCTTCCAAAGTTGTTACAGTTTGTATGGAAAAAAATGTAATTTCTTCCTAACGAACCTCCTTGCTTCTTTCCCTGCCTTCTCTACTATATTTGAAAAGATTTTGTAAGTTGGAATTTGGAATTTCCAAGAATTCCCAAGTACTATCCAGTGATTGCTGAGAAATTATAATTAGTCATAAATGAGTTTCTCAAGGCCAAATAAATTCAAACGAAAAATCTTCTCAAATTATTTTGCATTGCAGAGAAACCTTTTAATGTGAAATATGAATACAATTTAATATGTTTATTTTGATGTTGAGTGAGGCCTTCAAAAGTAGCAGGATCATGGCCTACAGAGGTCTTAACATTCCTATTGTATGCAGACACATTTCAATTGCTTTGAAAAGGTGTATGTTGAAGGTAACTAAACACATTTTGCATTTCAAGCTCAGAAAATTTCCCCTTTAGATTCCCTTTTCTTTTCTCCTTTTATTTTCTAATAAAATATTTACTGCTGTGATATCCAAGAACATGAATGATACTGCATTGAATAACCCAGGTGCTTGGTCTGGTGGATGCCAGTGCCAGAGAAGAAAAGTGCCCTATTTTTTCAGTTATCATGTTTGAAGGCGAGGCTTTGGTCTGCCTTCTGAGTCATTCTTGGCTTCTTGGATGATAGATTTCTTAAATTCTTCTATTCTCCTAACTCAAGGCACTTCTGAATGGGTGTTTGCGAGACGTTGTTTGAAAAACCACTTATCGTGATGGATTTTTGTTCTTCTATTTTTTGCTCTCTTACACACTTTGCTGTTGTCCTGCCAATTGGAATTTGATTTGTTAATTACAAAAGCAAACTATCCAGGATGGCTCTAAAGGGACTTCGCTATAGGTTGGGGCTATGATAGAGACTTTCGCGAAAGGGATTGGCAATTAAGAAATATAGCAACTGCTTCTGATGATTAAACATTTCAAGCAACTCTGAAGGTAGAATGTGGGGAATCTCCAGAGAAGGAAGGAAATAGAGAGGGAACTAATATTTATAGTTACTCCTATAGTCATCTCCATCTCAGTACAGGACATCTTCATCCTTCCAGTTGTTCAGACCAAAAACCCTGGAAACATCCTTGACTTCGTCTTTCCCATTCCACATTTCACCCATCAGCAAATTCTGTTGCATCTGTCTTCAGAATATATTCAGAATCCAACCACTTCTTACAACGTCTCCTTCTGCCATCCTTCTCCAAGCCACTAGCATCACTCTCCTGGATCATCGCAATTTCTTCCTATCTAGTCTCCTTGCTTCTTTCCTTGCCTTTCCCTACATAGCAATCAAAGTTTAGTCTTCAAAACACAACAAAACAAATCTCTTTTCTGTTCAAACTCTTTTATGTTTCCTCAAAATGTTATACGTAGAGTTACCATATAACCCGGCAATTCCACTCCTAGTTACCCAAGAGAAATGACAATGTATGTCCACACAAAACCTGTACATGAATGTTCACAGCAGCGTTATTCATGATAGCCAAAAGTGGAAAAAACCCAAACGCCCATCAATGATGAATGTACAATTAAAATGTGGCATAACCATACAATGGAATATTATTTGTCAATAAAAAGAATGAAGTACTGGTACCATGCTATAAAATGGTTGAACTTTGAAACCATATGCTCCGTAAAAGAAGCCAGTGACAAAAGGCCACATATTACATGATTCCATGTACAGAATAGACAAATCCATAGAGACTGGAAATAGATTAGTGATTGCCAGGAGCTGGGGAGAGAGGAATGGGGAGTGACTGCTAATGGATGCAGGGTTTCTTTTTCTTTTGTGGTAGTGAAAATGTTCTGAAATTAAGTAGTGGTGACGATTGCATAACTCTATGAATATACTTTCTGGCTTGTATACTTTTTTGAAGGGGAAAATTGTGTGGTATGTTAACGATATCTCAATAAAGCTGCTATTACAACAAAAACAACTTCTTTGGCTTTCTTTCTGATCTTTTTCCCTGAATCGTTTCTGACCTCTTCCCCTACTCTTCTTCTCTTTCTTTTTAACCCACTCAGACTGGCCCCTATTTTGTTCCTCTAACAGGGCAAGTGCTTCCTGCCATGGGCCTTTGTATTTTCTCTTCTCTCTTTTTGTAGAACTTTCTTCCCCCAGGTATCTGCGTGGCTGGTTCACTTGCTTCCTTTAGCTCTCTATTTAAACATCCTATTCTCAGGAGACTTTCTCTGATTACCCGAAAATAGTACTCCCTACTTCATGGCCTGCTGGCGTTCTCTGTTTCTTTCATCCTGTTTTATTTTTCTCTGTATCATCAACATGTGATACACTGTTTTCTTGTTTGTTTTTTATCTGTCTTCCAACATTAAAATGTAAACTCCATGAGGCAGTAACTAGGCTTTGTTTGTGACTGTATCTGCAGTAATACATACCACACCTCTTTTCACTAGACCATTAGCTTGAGGAAGACATGGATTTCCTTGGCACTGGTGTTGAATTGGGACTAACTGTATTTGCAGGAGGAATATTCAGTGTGTCTATTAGATGCTACATTAGAAATCATCAGCTTGGAAGCAGTCTCCATGGGAAAAGTAATTTTGATTCAAAGGGTAGAATGGAACTACTCAGGTTACATGGTCTTTTATTGTCATATAAATCTTTGTACAGAGTTCCTACTTTTTAAACCATTAGCATTATGCTAATATACAAAGTTTGCTACTTTTCATATTTGTCTTACAGATTCAAAGCCTTTAGTTCTTTTCAGTCTTAATTTACCACCTGTCTGCTCTCTCCTTTTCTCCCTTGGAATGTTCTTAAGATTTAATTTTGAAGGAACTTTCTGTCAGATGATTATTGGTAAAGTAAAATGTATTTCTGGGAAGCAGCTGATTACTTGGGCCTTTGATTTATTTATTTATTTTTTTTTTTGAGGAGTTCATATTGCGATATACCTATTTGGTGGTTATTTAGAAAGGCCAAGGTAGGGAGAAAAAGGAAAGAATAAAATATATGTATGCTTTAAAAAAAAGCAAGCATTTAGTTTGGGGAGCCCTCCAAATGTGATTTCTTCTACTCCTGTTTTCCTGCTTCCAAGCATAGGTGGAAGATATTGTCAGTTTCTCTGAACTCCTAAGTTGAAATGTGCAAGTCACTAGGTGGCACTGAAGTATCATTCTCCACACAGCCACGCCATAGAACACTTTTGTTATCTTGCTCCAGCTGACTGGATTTCTAGGTGTCAGGGAAATTGTTTTATTGGTACAGGGCATAGTGTAATATATTCCTCTCCACCCTAGGCAGCTACTTAACGCCCTGAAACATGCACCTCTTGTGGTCATGGCCTGTTAACTATGCTTATTTGGTGTAATAATTAGCAGAATTTCTCACTAACAGGGGTACTTACCAACACCTCACATCTTCACTGTGTTTTTGTACGTGATGGATTGTACATTCTGTGGAGAAAGTTGGGAAGGTCAAAGCTTAACCTCTGCCTAACAGGACTAGTTTTCGCACATTTGTTCAGAATAGGTTTATATTAACTGGCTTTTGAGCTTCTTCAGACCAGAATTGTGTGTAACGTAAACATATTTGAGCTTTTATGTAAGGACCTAGTGAAGGTTTGTAAACACAACACTGTTAATTTTCCAACTCATAGAATGACAGAAAAATAAATGAATAGCTGCTGGAATAATTGGACGACACTTGTTACTCAGAACTGTGAGTGTTGGAAGCGTGTCATAGGAACAGTGGGCCTGCCACAAGCACCACATTTTAGGTTAAAATCGGAGAAGAAAATTACACATGGAATTTTAATTTTTTCCATGGTCGTAAGTTCGGCCCCATTTAATTCTTTGTGGTTTTTACAAGCCCTCTTAGGCTCCTAATATTTCTATAGCAACAATTTCAACGTTTATTTTAGAATGTGGTCAGAATTAACCGACAGAAGACCAAACAGGATAAAATAGGTTTAAAGCAGGAAATACTTTAGCTGGACCACTAACTTACCCTCTATGACCTTAGGCAAACTGTTTGCCGTCTCTGTGCTTTGATTCTCTCATTTCTTAAAATGGAGATTATAATACGCACCCTTGTGTGTCTCCTCCACCAGGTAAAAGTGAAACAATAACTTCTCAATATACCTTTGCTTATATTCAAAGCTCCAGGTAAATATAAGATGTTGCTATAATTACCTAAGAAAGCTAGGAAGATTTTTCTTTGTTGATTCCAAGGTGAGTTGTAGAAATTCCAGAAGATGGATTAATGTAGTCTGAGGGCTCAGACTTCTGCATCTGTGTAGATAGTACCTATTTTCATATACTGTGGCCTGGCTCTGTTTCTGGCCTGGCTCTGTTTCCAAGGTTTAAGTTCCATTCTTTTAACTGTGTATCAACTATTTTCACTTGGTTGTTCTACTTTTACTTAAACCCTTTATATATGTCTGGATTTAGTTGTAGGAAACAGAAACTATGTGAGATAGGGAAATAGGTTGATATAAAGTCATCAGGAGGACCAGAGAAATGGGCTGAAGGTGGAGCCTCCAGAGATGGGCTTCTGAAACAATATTACAGATTGGCTTGCCAGGGTAGCCGCTCATCTGTCACACTCGGGAAGGGCTAAGAATCAGGAGTCATTCCTAGAACTGTTGATTTGTAAGAACACACAACCATAGTTGTAGTTGGGATCAGGAAGGTACCACCATTACAACTGGCATTTGAGAACTACAAAGTGAATGGCCAGATTCTGGAATGTTATTGCCTCATGACTATGTTGCCTGCAGAAAAAGTTGAAACAGCAAGGTGATGGCCTCCATTTTATTTTTGACTTCTGATTCTCACATGCCGCCATTAAATTGGTGAAGCTTATTTCTCATCCAGAACTCCTAGCTGCAAAAGGGTCTGAGAAATAATAGTGTTTACCTTTTCATCCTCTGCACCATAGGAAGGCACAATAAGAGGAGATTGGAAGGGTGCTGAGTGCCACCATATCTACCTCTTCCCCCAGCATGTTTAAAATAAAATATCTTTACCTCCAACTCATATTGCATTTTCTGTCCAGCACAGCAACTAGCTTAGTGGGCCCTCAGTAGATGTGTTAATGACATTGACTTCCTTATTTCTTATATGGCCCCACCTTTCCTAGTCACGTGTCTTGGTACTATGTGAGATTTCAGATCCACCTGCCTACCTGTAACTCTTGATTCCTTTTCATTTCCATTGCTGTCTCCTTGTTCAGGTCCAGCTCCTGTCTGCCTGGGCTTTTGCAGTAGTCTCCTTATCTGGCTTTTGGTTTCTTTCACCGTAACCATATTATAAGTAGATTGGTGTTTAAAAATCAGAACAACAAATAACAAACATCCTTCCACTGTGCTCCTGTCCTTCTCAAAAGCTTTCTGAGGCTCCTCATTACATGCAGGATAGAATCCAGACTCCTTAGCTTGACTTTCAGGACCTTCCATAATCAGGGTGCAATCTATCATTCCAGGCTTATCTTTCATTTTCCCCCTGCTGGAACTGAATTTTAGCCAAAAGGTCTAATCACTGATGTCAGAGTGTCTTGTCCTTTACTAACTTTTCAGCTCTGCTATCCTTTTGCCTGCTTTTAATAGTCTGTTTTCTTTCTCATTTGTTTATTCCTTTGATCACTTAGGCACAGAGTTTTTTTCTCCTTTCTTCATACTTATAGCATGGTTTACTAAGGCATTTTAATTTTATTACCTATATCGTTAGTTTTCTTTTTATGACTATATACTCTCCGCTCCTTTTTATGTCGACAATGTAAATATTTGTTGTGGATTGATTTGTTGATTTTTCATGGTTTAGACATCTACTTGCTTGGGAAAAAGGGGATGGTGGAGGGTCAATCTGGGGGCTGAAGCGGTACTCTAGCTGTGTGATTTTGTCTTTTTGATTACTACTGAAATTAACTATTTGCTTTGAGCAAACTAATGCTGAGTTTTGTGGATTTAGTGTTTGAAAAGGGCCCTGAGAGGGAAAACCCTGGAGTTGAGCTCCTTATCCCCGTTTGCCAGGCTGGATGAGCTCCATGTCCATACCACTGCATTGCAGTTTGCTGAAGTGTGTGTTGTGAAATAGCAATGGAATTTGTCTGTGGTTTCTTGCCAGCGAGGAGGAGGAAGAAGGATTCTGAGTAAATCAGACATGTAAATTAGTAAGGCCCATGGGCCTTAAGCGAATTACACAATAAAGCCCAAAGAAATTCACTTTGGCTTCTTTCTGCTTTTTGTGTGTGTGAGAAGGCAGCTATTATGTGTTTGCTTTAGGCCAGAGGTTCACAAATTTTTTGGCTTCAGAACCCTTTTATACTCCTAAAAATTGTTGAGGACTCAAAAAGCTTTTGTTTATATGGGTTAAACCTATCAATATTTACTGTACTGGGAACTAAAACAGGAACTTTTAAAAGCCTTTATTGATTTAAAAATAGCAAAACCCCTTCATTACAAGTTAATGTAACATTTTTTATGAAAAATAACTCTTTTCCAATGTAAAAAATTAGCAAGAAGTGTGCCATTGTTTTACTTTTCTGCACATCTCTTTACTGTCTAGCTTGATGCTTGATTCTTATACTTTTTTGTTTAGTTGTTGAAATATGTTGTTTTGGTTGAAGTATATGAACAAAATCTGGCCTCAGACATTAATGGAAAAAGGGAGTATTTTAATTGCTTCTTCAGCTATTAAATGTAGATATTCTTCTTTGATATTATTCCAAAACTTGTCAAGTGATAGCTTCTATTTTAAAACATTTTTGTTTTTAATTGACAATAATTATCTATATTTATGGGGCATGCTGTGATGTTCCATGTACACATTGTGGCATGATTAAATCAAGCTAATTAACATATCTGTCACCACACATACTTATTATTTCTTTGTGGTGAGAATACTTAAAATCTACTATTTTAGCAAATTTGAAATATACATTACTGTTTACTAGTCAGCATGCTGTGCAACAGATCACTAGAACTTAGGTCTCCTGTCAAACTGAATTTTTTACCCTTTGACTAACATCTCCCCTTTCTCTGCTCTATCCCACCAAACTCTGGCAATTACTGTTCTGCTCTCTACTTCTATGAGTTTGACTTTTTTAGATTCCATATTTTAGGGAGATCTGTACCTGGCTTATTTCACTTAGCATAATGCCCTCTAGATTCAAGATTCATCCATGTTGTCACAGATGACAGAATTTCCTTTTGTAAGGCTGAATATTATTCCATTTTCTTTAGACAAGTGATAATATCTTAAAGCTTACTTGCAGTGTGGAATCCGAAGCTATCTCAATTAACTTTTCTTACTTTGTTATATTAAAATCTGTTGATCTCTTTTGCACTTTGAATGCATCTTTTACATTCAAATGATTTTGTAACATTACGTTTTGATCATTTGGAAAATTATCATGTCACTGAGTTATACAGATCTTCCAAATGTTGATGCATTTCATTATACAGTGTAAAAAAAGGTCACACTCATCAGTATCACCACTGATCTTATACAAGTTTTTAAGTATTGAAAAGCCCCAAGCTCAAGGTAGCAAATACAAATTTTCTAAATTTCTGATTTTTCTTGACAACCTGAAGTTTATCATTGGCAGCAAATATGGTCAGTTGTTTTTCTTGAAGTGGCAAGCTCACTTGATTAATTGTTGAGAAAAAGTCTGCCAAATACTCAAGTCCGATTAACCAGAAAAATGTCAGTCAGCTATTTTTTCAAGTAAAAATGGTGTTCCATGGGGCAAATTCAGCCCAGAACTCAAATCACACATGTACTTTTGTTTGAGACAACCATTTTACTTTAGTATTTATCAGAAGTACTTTATGTATGTTTACTATTTTGTCACACAGTATAGTAAAAAGATAGCTACTTAAAGCTCAAGATTTAATAGAATTAATAATTTTTCCTGCTTCACCAAGGACATGCTTAAGTGAAACTAACTTCCTTTTTCTTTCTCTTTTAAATGGAATGCATGGTAAAGAACATAGCAACTAGTAAGTTTTTGAGGTCTATTAAAACAGCCTGCTCACTATAGTTAATAATAATGTATATTTCAAAATTGCTAAAATGGTAGATTTTAAATGCTTTCACCACAAAGTATGTGAGGTGATGGATAAGTTAATTAGCTTGATTTAATCATTCCACAATGTATACAAATGTCAAAACATCACATTGTACTCCATAAATATGTATTACTTGTCAATTAAAAATAGATGTTAAAAAAACTGAATACTAGTTTAGTTTGGTACCGCTGGCTTGATTAGTGACAAGGCACCTGCAGTTTTACCCAGCATTCTTTAAACCGTCAGTGGAAATGTCCACACGGTGAAAAAAGCAAGTAATAGTATTATTCTGAAAATAGTATTGATCTTGTGGAACCTTTGCCAATCTACTGCACTATGCCAATTAGGAAGATTTGAGTAGCTAAAAATTCCAAGAGTGGAATAATAGTTTTATTAGTTATATCTTGAAGGCCAATTTCCTTTTTTACCCTGGAACTTAGGCTAAGTGAGGCAACCTGGAGGAGAAAATTTCTCTCCTGTCCTGAGATTGCTGTTAGCCCAGGGTCGGAATTCCTGGGGCCTGATTTTTTGAGTTTAAGAAGCACAGGGAGGATTTTTTTTTAACCTGCCTTTGGTGATAATAAATGTTTAACCTAAATCAATGTGATTGTGGATTTTTTTTTTTTTTTTGAATTGTTGTTTCTGTTAGAAAAATAATGAATGACAAGTGCCGCAGAGATCAGTTGTTTGTGAGATGACTGAGAAGGTAATAGGACCTCCTATTTGGGACATTAAGGAAAGCCTTCTCTAAAAAAAGAACCCATTTTGAGCAACATGCGAAAATTCTTTGAGTCAGTTGGCCTCATTTGTAAGCCTTTGATTGCTTTATTTGTTTGTTTGCTTGCTTGTTTATTTATTTATATTTGGAAGGCAATCTTTCTGCTTCCTGACTGGCTGTCAGATCTCCCAAATAACATCATCCCTTTGCTGGTGTGAATATAGCCTAGACTTGAGGCAGCAATTAACTGATCATGTAATAGAAGAATCCCAATCTTCCAGTTTCTTTTTTTAACTTCTTGGGTGGTTGGGGCACATCATTGCAACAATTATTACATTTACTCAAGAGTTTGTCTTTTCTATTAAAAAAAAAATTCCATCTAAGTGCCTTACGGTGAAGAGGAGGAGATTGTGTAACTGGAGTCTCCCCTTAACTGGTCTTTATTGTTAAAGAAGAGTGATCCCTTTGTGTTTCAGCTTGGCACACAGAAACTGTTTTAATTTAACAGTCCAGCTCCTTTAATAGATCAATTCTCTATTGTGGTTTGAATTTGGTGCACTCCCAATTTACTCTAAACTTCTACGGGCTTCCTTGGAGAAACTGGGGCAGAGATGCCGAAGACTCATTTCGGGTACAATTTAGAGTTTGTTTATTTATATAAATGTAAGGGGTACCAGTGCAGTTTTGTTACATGGATATATTGTGTAGTGGTAAAGTCTGGGTCAGCTTTTAGTGTAACTCATCTGAATAATGCACATTATATCCATTAATTTATAGTTTTATCTCAAACCTCTTATTAATTAATGCTAGCCATGGAAGCTAGCTAGCGCTTGTAAATGCCTGCTGTGTGTTAGATGCTCTAGTAGGTGTTTTAGACACCCTCATCTAATCTTCATGGTGATTTTCTGATATATCCTGAACCTGTACAATTTTCTCCACTTCTGTCACTACTACTACAGGCCAAGCCACCATCATTTCTTGCACAGACTTCTGCACCCTCAATGTGGCCTCCCTACTTCAAGTTTTAACAGTCTTCTCCCTCTCATAATCCACTTTCCAGACATAAGTTGGATTTATTTTAAAAATATATATCAAGTGATGTCACCTCACTGCCTATAAGACTCTTCAGTGACTTAATGACAAACAGAATGAGATCCTTCTCCTGCTCTGGCTGACAAGACCAGAACAACCTGGGTTCTATAGCTCTGAGAGCTCACCAGCCACTCTGTCCTTGCTCGTTCACTGTGCTCCAGACTCACTGGCTTGCTTTCTGTCCCTGGAAGCCACCAGACTGGTTCTTCCTTAGGGCCTTTGTACCAGCTGTTCTTCCTGCTTGGGACACTCTCTCCCCAGATCTTTAGTCTGGGCCTGGCTTCTTGTGATTTGTGTCTTGCCTAAAATGACACCCACTCAATGTGCCTTCCCTGACCAGCTGAGCTACAGCGGTTTCCCTCTACCGCATCACTAGATTTTACTTTCTTTCTTTTTGTTTGAGATGGAGTTTTGCTCTTGTTGCCCAGGCTGGAGTGCAGTGGCATGATCTGGGCTCACTGTAACCACCTCCTGGGTTCAAGCGATTTTCCCACCTGTAGAGACGGGGTTTTGCCATATTGGTCAGGCTGGTCTTGAACTCCTGACCTCAGGTGATTCACCCACCTCGGCCTCCCAAAGTGCTAGGATTACAGGCAGGAGCCACTGAGCCACCACATTCAGCCTAGATTTTATTTTCATTAAATCGCTTGATGCAGTGCAGAGTGAGTTTCTGCTATTAGACTGTCTGGATTTCAATCATGGCCTCGTCATTTACTGGCTGTGTGATTTTGGAGAAGTTACTTAACTTTTCAGGACTTTCATCTTCTTCTTTATAAAATGGAAATATTATTATATCCCTCCATTGTAAGAATTGAATAAGGTAGTACTTAGCATCTTTTATGGTTTCTGACACATTGTACATAATCAAAAAATGTTAAATATTGCTATTTTAATGTAATGTTATTAAAATCATTGCATATTTTATAGCTTATTTATTTGGCTATTTTTCTGTCTCTTCTACCAGGAATATAAGCTTTATGAGGGAAAGAATCTTATGTGTCACATTCCCAACTGTGCCCCTAGAGCTTAGAACAGTGCTTAGCACATAGTAGGCATTCACTAAATCTTTGCTGATTATTAAAATCTGAGATATAATTATCCCTATTTTTCCAATTGAGTAATCAGGGTTCAGAGAGGTAAAGTAACTTACCCAAGGCTACGCAGCTACTAAATGCTAGTAGTTCCTGGTATTTGTACTGAATGCTGATTACAAAGACCATGTTCTTTCTGTTATGCCACAATACATAAGTGGATCTTTATTTCAGATTCTGTCATTTATAGCAGATGATTTTCAGGTTGCCTTTTTATGTAAATGTAACATGACTCATGAAATGTAAACAGCCATTTGTGTGAACATGAAAGGTCAGAGCCAAGAGTTAGGCCACAGGCAAGTTAGGAAAGTGAGATATAGCACACCCACCACATTCAGTGGTGGAAGAAAAGTTACCTGATTCCTGCCTTGGAGATGTGTAGGGTAGTGACCTTGGGGTTGGGCTGCCTGAGGAGGTTCCTATGCTTTGATTTCTGAATGGACAGGATCCCTAAAGTCATCGACCCTAGTTTGGGCTCTTGTACTTCTTCTATCATCTTATTCTAGTTGGTGGAGGCAGAGGTTGAAAAATCAAAATGTTGGCTCCTTCAGCCTCTAAAAAGTAATAGGCTTGAATTTGCTTTTGTCACTAACATGATTATGGTGCTTGGTCTGTGGGGGCTTCACTGATGCATTCTTTTTAACAGCCCTGTTTGTTTGTTTGTTTGTTTGTTTATAAGTGAGCATAGCACAGAGGAAAAAATATAGGTTTTGGAGACTGGCACATCAGGGTTCAGATTTCTGCTGTGCTACTTCTTGGCTGTGTTTTGGCACGTGAACTTCTCTACACCTCAGTTTCTTTGTTTATGTAATGGGGATTCATATGACAATTAAAGAGAGAGCTTGTCTAAAGTGTCTTATGTAGTAGTATCCCCAGTTTGACCCTTTTGAGAATCTGATGACAGTTATGGAACCCTCTCCCCAGACAAGTGCCCGTATACCCAGAACTTTGTATTTAATTTCATGGGGTTCATGAAGCCTCTGAAACTCAGCTTAAGAGTCCATACCAACCAAGGTCCTTATAGGAAGAGCTTGTGTTTTTGTTTTGTTTTGGCTTTCTGCAGTCTCTTAATAATGTTTATTGAATGAGAGAATTTAACTAATTTCCGGTTTCCATAATCACTTTAAACTCGGTATTTGATTTCCTTTTCCCTGGGACCTGTGACAGTGCCAGCTTCATAGCCTAGTCTAGGCATGCCAGTTGCCCACTGTGGCAATCAATATCTGAGCCTGTGGTTTTTGCCTTAGGTAAACTGTAGAGATGGACTCATGGAATGCTTGGAAAATTTTTCAGTTTATGATAATGTGTAAATGTCGAGAGCCAATTATTGAGGAATGGCACCTCAAAGTATTTGGGTACTCTAGATCAGACATGACCATCTTGGTGTGTGAAATTTTGCTAATGCATCTTTCCTAATAGAATATACAATCTCAGGGCTAGAAAGTCTTAGAGATCATTTAATTTAATTCCTCCAGATTGATTAAGTGGTTTGTCCAAGGTCATTCAACTGGTATAGTGGCAGAGCTCAGGCTGTACAAATCAGGTGAGTATTCTTCAGCTCCTCAGAAGCCAGTAACTTCCACTCACTTGTGTGTGTCTGAAATTCATTAAACCTTCGACACAAAGTGCAGCCATTTTAATGCTGAATGATATTCATCACTGTCTGAAATGGGCTTATTTATGTACGAATGTTTATTCCTATCTCTTCCTCCATTCTCCCAAAATGTAAACCCCATAAGAACAGGAATCTTGTCTGTCTTAGTCACACTCAGTATCCTTAGAGCCTTGTGTGTAGTAGGTGTGTAGTGAATTTTGGTTGAATGAGTGGCAGTTCTAATAATGTCAGAAGAATTGGAATTTCTTTACAGAAATCTTTATCAGTAATTTAACAAACATCGATTGAACCTATTATGTATCAGGCACTATACCAGGCACAGGTACGAATGAGATATGGTGCTCAGCTTCAAGGAGTTACAGTCTAAATACCAAAATAACAGAATCAAGAGCAGCAGACTAAATTGGGCCCACTGTATTTTTTAAAAATTTAATTTGACTGCTGGGTGCGGTGGCTCACTCCTGTAATCCCAGCACTTCGGGAGCCTGAGGTGGGTGAATCATGAGGTCAGGAGTCCGAGACCAACCCGGCCAAGTTGGTGAAACACTGTCTCTACTAAAAAAAAATACAGGCCAGGTGTGGTGGCTCACGCCTATAATCCCAGCGCTTTGGGAGGCCGAGGCGGGCGGGTCACGAGGAGATCGAGGCCATCCTGGCTAACACGGTGAAACCCCGTCTCTACTAAAAATACAAAAAATTAGCCAGGGCGTGGTGGCGGGCGCCTGTAGTCCCAGCTACTCGAGAGGCTGAGGCAAGAGAATGGCGTGAACCCGGGAGGCGGAGCTTGCAGTGAAACGAGGTTGCGCCACGGCACTCCAGCCTGGGTGACAGAGCAAGACTCCATAAAAAAAAAAAAAAAAAAAAAAAGTAAAAGAAAATTAGCCGGGCGTGGTGGCACGTGCCTATAATCCCAGCTACTCGGGAGGCTGAGGCAGGAGAATCACTTGAACCCGAAAGGTGGAGGTTGCAGTGAGCTGAGATCGCGCCACTGCACTCCGGCCTGGGTGACAGAGTGAGACTTTGTCTCGGAAAAAAAAAAAATTAATTTGAATGCATGCTCCATTATATCCTATGTCTTTTACCTTCCTGCTTTGCTCATTTAACTGCCTGATTTCTGATGACATTTAAGTTCAGGTCTTAGGTTCTGTAGATCAGTGGTTTCTAAACCTGGTTGATCATCACCTCACCTCACTGGCCTTAGAAACAATACAGACCCTACTTCTGGAGATTCTAAACCAGGGCTGAGATGGGCCCTTGGAAACTGTATTGAAAAACAGTAACTCTATAGTCACTTACAATGAGCAGCCAAATCTAGCTAGATGCCCCTGCTTTATGGGTGAGTGTTGAGCATGAGGGTTTCGTCTTAAAACCTGGACTTGATATTCTATATTCATAGCATCTTTCATATCCTTAAAGATTCTATGTACTTTTCAGCACATTGTTCTGTTTCAAGGGGCTCTGCAAAGTATACTTGCTGTCTGTACATTTCCACTGTGAAAACTCCTTGAAATCATGTAGACAAATGAAAGCTAAACATCAAATAAATAACCTAAACTGGTAATACTCCCATTTGGCTCTCCTTGTGTCTTTTCATGTGGGTTAGCTCTTCAACCAGATTCAGCATATAAATTGAGTATGTATGGTTATATGGTGACTTTCAAAAGTAAATACTTTTTCTGTGGAACAAAAGAGATGGATTTGTGGTTTTCCAGGATTCCTTTTCCCTGACTTGGTAGAAAGATAGCCAGGCATAGCTCAGCAGACCTGAAAATAGGTGAGCTGTCAAGGTGTTGGCAGGGAGAGGCTCCTCTGGGTGGGACTTGGGGCATCCTACCAGCGAAAAAGAGACTAAGTTTAAGTGATTTCACATTTGGGCTTTACTTACTATAATTGCTGAAGTGCTAAATTGAGTGTGACAAATCTAACAGGTAATTGCCAAGTAGGTTTCATTACCAGTCATTGCATAGATAAATGATGTTCCTTATGTTAAAAAATAAAACCAAACTAAAGAAAAAAAATTGGACTATATTTGGAGGTAGAATTCAGATATTGCAGATATGTTCATATACATCAAAGCTGTTTCAATGTGTCAACGAACTCAGTTCATTTACCTCTGCCAAGGTGGTATAGTGTATGTGGGAGTGCAGAGTGGGGGAAAGTGAGGAGGGGTTGTGATTTATGAGAAACTGTAAAAGAGGTTAGAATTGGGAAACAAGTTTTTTTCTTAGAGGAGTGGCAAATAGTAAGTAGCATTTGGACCTCACTCAGCTCTAATAGTTAAAGCTAAGCTTTTTGACATTATCATTATATATTAATAATATATATGTGTGACCAGCCTCAATAGATTTTATTCATTAGTAACTTGGTTGATTTAATGAAAATAGTTTTAAAAGGCATACTGAAGCACAGTAAAACCTAAGGCTCACATCACTGTCTGGGGAGTCAGTGAGGAACAGGGCAGAGTGCCAGTGCATATGAAGAGGGATTTTTTTGCCTTCTTGGTTCACTGCATATTCCCAGTAATTGGAACAATGCCTGACATGAAGTAGACATAAAATAATTACTGAATGAAAGTGGAAAGGAAAGTATACTTAGTCTCTGCTTTCATGGAGCTTATATGCTAGTGGGAGAGAGACAAAAATTAAGTACAAATAAATAAACAGAATATATGATAGCAACTAGGGTGAGAGTGCTGTTTTTGATAGGATGGCAGGGATTGGGCCATTTGGGGAATGAATTGATGAGAAAGAGAAAGTTGTGCAAAGCTGGGAGAGGAAACATCATTTGAAGGACAGAAAGAAGGCCTACATGATTTGAGAATGGTGGAGAGAGAGATTTGAGGGACAGACTTGCTATGATTAAGAAAGATAGCTGGGCGCGGTGGCTCATGCCTGTAATCCCAGCACTTTGGGAGGATGAGGCGGGTGGATCATGAGGTCAAGAGATCAAGACCATCCTGACCAACATGGTGAAACCCGGTCTCTACTAAAAATACAAAAATTAGCTGGGCGTGGTGACATGCGCCTGTAGTCCCAGCTACTCGGGAGGCTGAGGCAGGAGAATTGCTTGAACCCGGGAGGCGGAGGTTGCAGTTAGCCGAGATTCCGCCGCTGCACTCCAGCCTGGTGACAGAGCGAGACTCCATCTCAAAAAGAAAAAAAAAAAAAAAAGAAAGTCATGATAAAGAGTGTGGATTTTATTTTACGCAAAGTGGGAGCTCATTAAGAAGGTAAAAGTTTTTAAGCAAGGGAATGACATGATTTGACCTACTTTTTAAAGGAGGTTGCTCTGACGGCTGTAGAGGATAGACCATAGGCAGGGGACAATAGAGAGACCAGGAGGAGGCTGTTGGAGTGTGTTAGGCGAGATATGGTGAGTGGTTTCAGAGGCTTGTGTGAGAAAGTTGATACACTGCCCCTACCCCATGCAAACACACACTTTCTTTTCTTATGATGACCTTTCTTTAAAAGCATTTGTTGGAATATGAGATTATAGGCCATAAGTGAGAAAACAACTCTTTTTGAGCTGTGAGGAATACTAGGAGAGGAGAAAGTGAGCTGTGTGTGCTGCCCATGGTGGTACGCTGCTATGGTTCTACAGTTCCAGTCATTTTTGACAGCATGGATTCAATGCAAAATGGCAACACACACTCTGTATCTTTTGGCAGATCAGAACATAATGAAAATAAAATAAAAAAATTCAAAACTGGCTCTTGAATGAAATAGGATTCAGAAGAGATGATCTCAAATCTACTTTATGAGATAATGTCCTTTTTAAAAATAAACACTAACATCAGTTATGCATTTAGAATGTCTGAATTATTATTCTAGGTTCCTTGCGACTGCTGTGAATTTTGTGATGCACTTGGATAGTCTCTGTTACTCTAAAGTTTTAATAGGTAACAGTCAGAAATGGAGTGGGAGAGCATAAAAGCAAACTGAAATGCAAATAGCTGGTACCCTGAAGCCATTAACTTTAAGCTGGTTATTCCTGACCTACTGTTTGGACATAAGATGGTAGAGAGGCTGAGTGTGACTTGAACATTTGTTCCTTAGAAACACCATCCTTGGGCTGGGCGCAGTGGCTCACGCCTGTGTTTCCAGGACTTTGGGAGGCTGAGGCGGGCAGATCATGAGGTCAATAGATCGAAACTATCCTGGCTAACACGGTGAAATCCCATCTCTACTAAAAATACAAAAAATTAGCCAGGTGTGGTGGCGGGTGCCTGTAGTCCCAGCTACTCGGGAGGCTGAGGCAGGAGAATTGCTTGAACCCAGGAGGCAGAGGTTGCAGTGAGCCAAGGTCGCACCACTGCACTCTAGCCTGGGCAACAGAGTGAGACTCCTTCTCAAAAAAAAAAAAAAAAAAAAAAAAAAAAAAAAGAAAAAGAAACACCATCCTTGTAAAGAGAGCGCATACACCTTCAATTTCTAGGGCAGCAGCGTTTGCTTTACAACTTCTATGTCTTGGTGGGAGTAGCACTATCTATCACCTTATGGGCCAAAGGGAAAAAGTCCAGTGAAAATGGCTCTGATGTTGTTGGAAGTGGGAAAGCAGGTTAATAGGTTCTTCTTAATGGAAAATGCAGCCAATATTGGCCAACTTACTTTGATTTCGGTAGTCATAACACCACCCTGGAAGGCACCCTAGATAGAGGTCACTTGCTACCACTCATTTTACAGATCAGGATACTAAGGATTTTCCTGATTTTAAGCATTAAGTATGGATATCCCTGTTGGTTGAAGTTAAATTGGTCAACTAGAATTTAAAAGCAAAAATTAAAAAAAAATTATTTTGTATTAGGTTTCAAAGGAATTGTTGTCAGTAGGAGAAGCCTGATTGTTCCTTTTACGCTGACTCATACAGTTTCAGCAGATTACATTTGAGGCCTAATGTTGAAATCTCATCTGTAAGTCTGGTATATCTAACTAATCATATAAACATCTTTCATCTTAGACTGTGTAGCATGTCCCTAGTAGACCAGGTGGGCCAAATGACATTATAGTTAAATCAAGCCAATAAATATATGAGAAAGAAGGCAAATGAGCGTAGACTCCATAGTGAATGATGGAGGTTCCGACGAGTCAAAGACACTGAACTATTCATTGCTATTGGTTTATGGAAGAGCAAACCCAGATATGTGTTATGCTGATTCTGTGTGATTGGCTACTTCCAGGATTGACCCTGTTCTCCTGTCCTGCTCAAGTCTCCTTCCTTCACTTAACCATATATTGTGGGTACTCAGAAATGCCATGCTTTTGTTTAGAGTAGCAGGATTGGTGTTGAAGATCAACAAGAAAAAGCAAAATGGGCTTGTCTGTCCCATCAAGTGATGTGCTGTCAACATATGTAGAATATGTGCCCTGAATTAGGAGAAAAAAGTAGAGATTCCTGAGTTTAGGAAATTATAATCTGATGCATCTTCTTCAGACTCAAGCCTTACCTAAAGTTTGTAAATTCTTTCTCTTTCGTCTTTATTCTTTCTCTACTCTTAACATTTTTTTCCCCCACCTCTTTGGCTATATGCTGTTCTGCTTTTGATACAGAATTGACCTTATTTGGCCAGATGGGGTGGCTCATGCCTGTAATCCCAGCACTTTGGGACGCTGAGGTGGGCGGCTCACTTGAGGCCAGGAGTACGAGACCAGCCTGGCCAACATGGTGAAACTCCGTCTCTACTAAAAATACAAAAATTAGCCGGACATGGTGGTGGGCGCCTGTAATCCCATCTACTAAGGAGGCTGAGGCAGGAGAATTGCTTGAACCCGGGAGGTGGAAATTGCAGTGAGCTGAGATCAGGCCACTGCACTCCAGCCTGGGCGACAGAGCTAGACTCTGTCTCAAAAAAAAAAAAAAAAAAAAAATTGACCTTTTTCATGCCCAACCTCTATCTCCATTATCTCCTAGCTTTTTGGAAAATATTTAGTACTGGCATTTCTTCTTCACTGATTTTTCATTCTACCTGTCTTTAGTATCATAGGGGTAGTTACCTCAGCGGGGGTAGGGAGACCTTGGGTGTCTCTTACTTGTACATACTCTGTCCTCTATAAGTAAGTGTGTAAATACACTGTATTTTCCCATTCAGACATATTGTGTAAGTAATAGGAACCAGGTGTTTGAATAAATTAACCAAGTGCCAAATTTCATTTTGGAAATGAAATATTTTAGTTTAAGACTCTAGGACATTTATAAAGCTGAAATACATTGCAAAGTGATGAAAGCTTTCTTAAATTCTGTTATAGTCATGCACCTTAAAATTATTCATTGTTACTTATAGTTATTATCTGTCTGTATATGCTCATCTACATATGTAAAACATGAAGATATTCTCTCAAGTGAGGACTTCATGTGCCAGATTTTTCAGCCTGGATTGAATTTTATGGATGAGAGAGATACCCTGGAAATGGAACCATTGGCATAACCTTGTGTCTAATATAATAACAGAGCTCTAATGAACTGCAACATGAGCTCAGATCTGCAAAATATTCAGAGGATATAGGCAAAGAGCAGTTTTTTCCTCCTTATGAGCTAGGTTGTTCTCCAAAAGCAACAAGTACTACTTGTCTTTTCAGAGCGCTGTCATGGAGCTGTAAGTCTCTTTGTGGTTTAGACTTAATGTGAGTAAGATTCCTCTGCATTCTCAGCCTAGAAAAACTTGACCGTTCTCTTGGAATTTGGTGAAAGTTTCCTAACTTTGAAGCTAGAGAATACTCTCATTTCAGATTAGGCAATTATTAACATTTTTTTCTGTTCTAATTTCATGATGCCAAAAAATCATGTATGGTTGATCTATTTGGAGAACAATATGTAGCCTCAGACACTTAAGATCATATGTAGTTTAGAAATAATGTCAATTGCATATGAATGTTTTGATGTTTTTCCCCCAGCCTTTCTGAATTTTTTGATTTCTTCAAATTGTACCTGGTTTTTTATTTTTGTTTCTGTTTTTGTTTTTGACTTTCACATAAACTGTTTATAGTGTCTGGAACATACATATATATATATATACACACACACACACATATATGTATGTATGTATACATGTGTACATGTATATAAACATGTATATGTATGTATATTCCAGACAAATTATATAAATGTATGTATATATATACAAATTATATATACATATACGTATATATATACAAATTATATATATACATATACGTATATACACAAAAATTATAACACAAATTATATATACATATATTTTGTACATATACAAATATATAATATGTTTGTGTATGTATAGTTATATATACACATAAATATTTTGTATTTTGTATATATGTATACATATACATTTTGTAATATATACGTATATATTACTATATGTATTTTTAATTGTAAAATACACATAGGATAAAATTTATAATTTTAGTCCTTAGCCATTTTTTTTAACCATTTAACAAGTGGTATTAAGTTCATCCTCATTATTGTGGAACCCATCACCACTATCCATCTTCAAAACTTTTCCAGCAGCCCATACTGAAACTGTACCAATTAAACAATAACTCCTTGTTTCTAGCTTCCCCCAGCCCCTGGCAACCACCATTCTATTTTCTGTCTCTACAAATTCAACTATTTCAGGTAACACATATAAGTAGAATCATACAGTATTTGTCCTTTTGTGGCTGGCTAGTGACGACATTAAGATTAAAATCAGGAGAAACAGGGTGGGCATGTTGGCTCACACCTGTAATCCCAGCACTTTGGGAGCCTGAGGCAGGAGGATTGCTTGAGCCTAGGAGTTTGAGACCAGCCTGGGCAACAGAGTAAGACCCCCATCTCTATAAAGAAAACAAAACCAAAATAAAGCAAAAAAAAAAAAAAAAAAAAAGGAGAAACAGATTTAAGACAGTCAGGAAAGAAAAATATTGACTTTGATTTTGGTCTTATTGAATCTTAGGTGCTGGCAGGTGAGGACTTTCATGTTGTAATATCCTGAAGACAGTTTCAAATATAGGTTTGGAATGGAGATGAGGACTTCAGAGTTATCGGTAATGAACTCATTTTAAGAAGATGAGATTGCCTAAAGGAAGAATGTTTTGTAGAGTTAGAAGAGTGGGATTTACCTGATGATCTTAGGAATTCTGGACATTTATCTTAAATTGCTCTTTAGGAAGTTTAGTAGAAAAAGAAAGGATGCAGATAGTGTCTGCTATTAAAGGCAGAGGAAGAAAGACCTGAAACAGAGACAGAGAAGAAGGGAGCTTAGGTTATAGGAATAAAAGGGAGAGGATGTCATAGAAACGAAGGGAAATGAGGATTTTGAGAAAGAGATGCAAGTGACTGTGCCCAGTGTTTCCCTAATGACCAAGAGGATAGTTCTGGGTTTTAGCAAGTATGAGTTGGCCATTGGCCTTGGGAAGAATAGTTTCAGCAGAATGGTAGTGGTTGAAGCCAGATCCTCATAGGGGTTAGGGCCAAAAGAAACAGTAGGAATTCTAGGCATTTATCTGAAATTGCTCTTTAGGAAGTTTGGTGGGGAAAGAAAGGATGCAGATAGGGAATCTCAGGCACATAGAGGTTAAGTAACTTGCTCAAGGTCACACAGTAACCTTAAGTAGGCAGGATAAGCTCTGGTTCTGGAGCTGGTGCTCTTCATCATTATTTTAGGCTGTACTCTCCCACCTTTTTTTCTTTGTGGTTGTAGGTGGTTGTAGGCTACTTAAAGAGATACCTATACACCTGCAGTTAAAATCCAAGTAACTCAGTGGAGAGCCTGGTCCTTCGTTATTATGTCTCAGATTGAAGTTTTATATTTTACAGCATGATGAAATTACATATATGATGGTTAGGTTAGGTTGCAAGTCTTGGAATATATGCAGAGGAATAACTTTATTACAATGACTATTTACTTTTTATAAGACAATCCAGCAATGGTAATTTTTCATTAGTGATATAATTGCAAGAGGAAACTTGAGAACAGAAAATGGACATATTGAAATAAGATTAAATACATGCTGATGAAGTTACAGAGTTTTATGCAACGTTTCAATCAAGAAAGCATGATAATAAAGCGTGTATAGGCCGGGCGCGGTGGCTCACGCTTGTAATCCCAGCACTTTGGGAGGCCGAGGCGGGCGGATCACGAGGTCAGGAGATCGAGACCATCCTGGCTAACACGGTGAAAACCCCGTCTCTACTAAAAATACAAAAAAAATTATCCGGGCGTGATGGCGGGCGCCTGTAGTCCCAGCTACTCGGGAGGCTGAGGCAGGAGAATGGCGTGAACCCTGGAGGCGGAGCTTGCAGTGAGCCGAGATTGCGCCACTGCACTCCCGCCTGGGCCACAGAGCGAGACTTCGTCTCAAAAAAAAAAAAAAAAAATAAAAATAAAAAAAATAAAGCGTGTATATTGACTTTCCAGAATCTTGAGAATGGATAAATGGAAACAAAGAGAAATACCTATTTTGTATTATAAACCTCTAAAATAGTTACTAAATAAGTTATTCTTTTAGGTATTTTTCTTTCACTTTTCATCGCTATTAGGCAAAACTGATAGTCGATGTAGCTGTGTCAGTAGCTAAGGGATTTTTGTTGTTGTTGTTAAACTAACATGTCATATCTTGTATAATTCAGCTGTGACTATACAGGGGAAAGTATTTAATGTCTGATGATTATACAGCCTGTGCTTTGGAAACAGCCGAAAGCCAGACAGCGACAGTAGAGGGCAAAGGATTATTAAATGGATAGTCACTGAGGTCACTTATAGTGACTTTACTGCAACACCGTGTGCATCTCCTTTCCCATGGCAGGTTGTTTGATCATGGCTTAATGGCTAAAGCTTTGTAAAATTATAAAAAAAGCCAGAAATCCTGCTGATCTCAAGTGTTATTTACAGTTGGATGCTTGGCAGGAAAGTGCTAAGTCTGATCATACTAATGCTAAGTCAGGCAGAACACGTGGTGAAATCTCATGGAGCTCTATCCTCTGAACCTTGAGAAGACTACCAAAGTATAAGATTTCAGGGTGGAAAGTATGCTGCAATATGATTGAGAGAATTTGGCTTTTTCATCTGAACAGGTGTGGCCAAGTGGAGGAGTTTCTCCTCTTGGAAATGTCAAGGGGTGTATCATTAGGTCCTTGGAGCTAGAATGTAGGTAGAATGGCAAGGAAGGAATTTTAATTAGTTCTGTTATCTTTCTTTTATGGTTTGGAATGGTATTTTCTTTGGTCATCTATTCACTTACAAAATTATGGACAGTATTTGATTGTGAGGAAGAATCTTGGGTAAGTGTTATCTTTGTTTTCAGTAGAATTACTTGGAGCTGGCTCAAGGAAATTATATTAGTAGTTTGCAAGTGAGTTACAGCTAATGGAGTCAAAAGAAGTTTGAAAAGGGTCAAAAGAAGTTAGAATTGTTCCATCTGAGTCTTTGGCCCTTAGTAAAGGATCCAGCATTTTGTTTTGTTTTTGCTTATGTCTTTGATATTAATATATTTTTCAGAATATTATAAACCACCCTTCCCCAAAGTTTTATTTCCGCAATCACTCCCTAATCTTTATTTCTTTTTTGCTTCGCATCATATACATTTTTCTCTTCAGGACACCTTCTTTTCCCTTTTGAAACTTGGACTATGTTCTTAAAATTGACGATTATAGGTAAGAAGACCAAGTTTGTGAGACAAATAGAATTTGATATTCAAATTATCTGAAGAACTGAAGTACATTATTTTGTACTTGTTTTTATTTATTAAAAAAAATTTCCCTTGGAAAAGAAATTGGTGAGATTAAGGAATGCTATAGCTAACTTTGTAGGATATTTGGAAAACTATGAGTTATAGTGAAAGGTGCTGTCTTAGGGAGTACATTTTAAAAGTGCTAGAAAATATAATATTACAGCTTGAATCAAGAGAAGTGAACTCTGCTAGGGACTAAGTACTTTGTTAGAAAGGTGCTCATAATAGAATGGCGTGAACGCGGGAGACGGAGCTTTCAGTGAGCCGAGAGCGAGACTCCGTCTCAAAACAAACAAACAAACAAACAAACAAAAATAAAATAGAAAGGTGCTCATAATAAAATGAGAAATAAAAAAAATTCTAACTGATCAAATGGGACAAAACCCAGATTCACGGTCTTTATATGCAAATAAAGTATAGATTCTTAGATTCAGAACAGTAAAAGAAAAATACCTAGAAAACAATAAACAAAAGGCATGAACAGGCATTTCACAAAAGAGCTACTGCAAAGTCACAAACATATTAAAAGTTACTCATCCTAACTAACAATCAAATAAATGTAAATTAGAGCAAGCAAACTTGTTTTTCCATTTATGAACTTGCCAAAGATTTAAAAGTTTGATAATAATGAATGTTTGAGTATATGAAGAACTGGGTATTATTTGTTGATGGACATGTACCATAGCATTTTTCTGGAGCGTAATTTCACAATGTGAATCAGAAGTCTTAATAGTGCATACGTTTTGACCTAGTGAATCTCCTGCTAAGACTTTTTATCCTAAAGAAGTCATCTGTGCCTTCTTGTCAAGATGGTACTGTAAGCTCACAGTTTGTACATACCTTCTGCTCTAAATTCATAGGAATGGCAGATATAATGCATTAAAAGAATTAAAGAAAAAAGTCGTAGCTGGGCTTACAGACAAGATAGTGTTGTAGACCCGAAAGCTAACTAAACATAAAGGGCTAGTAAGCTGGATTGAAGCGATGGTGCTGCAGAGGCTCTGGATGGAGAAACAGAAAGCTAGATTTAGCTCCCATAGAGTGCTAGGACTGAAAGTTTACCACTTGAAATGGGACCATAACTAAGCTCACTGCTTAAAGCCAGGGGCAGGGATGAAGTTGTCAATCCTATAAAAGGAAACTAAATAAAGGCTCCACATGGAGGCTCCAGTTTATATGGAGCTGTGGGTCTTGAGGGGCAGGAGGAGATAGATTCAATTTCAAGAATAGCAACTGAATCAGGCTGACTGTGAGGAGACAATAATGAGAAAATGTGGTGTTCCATGTTACAATTATGAGGTTTGGTCCTGGACAGTAGCACAGGGATCCTGGTGGAGGCAGCTGCAGAAACACTATGGAGGGAAAGGTGAGCACAGGTGGAGAGAAAGGGGAGTAAGAGAAGCAAAGAAGAAAAGCCTTTCACTTAGAATTAGCCTTCAAAATGCAATACCAAAATACTGGAAGAAAATAAATACCAAGAAAGATAGCTAACAAAATCAACAATGAGAACAAAAATTTATCCCAGATGAGATGAATTTTTACAGAAAAGTCAGTCAAAAATTAAAAGAATCATGTTCAGAATACTCAAGGGGATAAATAAAGGCATTACATTGATGAAAAATGATGTTTAAAAATACTCCCAAGATATGCAGAAATGGAAGAGGAACAACGACATGAAAAAGAACCAGTTACAAATTTTGGAAATGAAAAATATGGTCATAGAAATAATAAACTTAATAGAGGGGATGGACTTTAGACCTCACACAATTAAAAAGAGAATTGATGAATTAGAAGAGAATACTAAGGAATTCATTCAGAATGTATCATAAAGAGACAAAAGATTTTTTAAAAGGCATTTAGGAGATTTGAAGGATAGATGGAGTTCCAACATATGTCTAATAAGAGAACACAGCCTTGAACTTTTGGCCTCAAGTGATCTTCCTGCCTCAGCCTCCTGAGTAGCTGGGACTACAGGCACATGACACCAGACCCTGCTAATACATTTGTGTGTGTGTGTGTGTGCGTGCGTGTGTGTGTGTGTAGAGACCAGATTCTCGCGATGTTGCCCAGGCTGGTCTCAAACTCCTAGGCTCAAGCCATCCACCTGAGGTCTCAGCCTCCCACAAGTGTTGGGATTACAGGCATGAGCCTCTATACCTGGCCAAGAAGCAAAATGTAAAGAGCCAAGAATTGAGAATTTTCCTATTTAAAGAATGATGAGTTTAGATATATTGAGTAGTATCATCATGTTGACGTTGTAGAATTTAAGGGATATAGAGGAAAAAACATTTTTGAGATACAAAACAAAAAAATGCCAATTACCTACGAAAGAAAGATTAGCAACAATAGATGCTAGAAGACAGGAGAATAATATACTAATATATTCAAAATGCTAAGGGGAAGTTATAGTTAATTTTGATTTTTAAACCCAGTTAGTCTTTGATTCAAAAGTGAAGGAAAAATACAGATACTTTCAGATATAAAGAAAGACCAAGAGAGTTACCATCCATGGAATCTCACCAGGGAAACTGTTAAATGCTGCTCTTTAGCAAGAAGAAAAGTGAAACCAGAAGTAAGGTTTTGTTTTTTTTCTTTCTTTCTTTCTTTTTTTTTTTTTTTTGGAGACGGAGTCTCACTCTGTTGTGTAGGCTGGAGTGCAATGGCGCAATGCTGACTGCAACCTCCGCCTCCCAGGTTCAAGTGATTCTCCTGCCTCAGCCTCCCGAGTAGCTGGGATTACAGACATGTGCCACCATGCCCAGCTAATTTTGAATTTTTAGTAGAGATGGGGTTTTGCAATGTCGGCCAGGCTAATCTGGAACTCCTGACCTCAGGTGATCGGCCCGCATTGGCCTCCCAAAGTGCCGGGACTGTAGGAGCGAGCCACTGCTCCTGGCCTAGTTTTTAATTAAAACAAGTGAACAAACAAAGGTGGGCATAGAGATTGATAAAGTGTATTGGAAAATTCACTAAGTTATTGGTTTAAATACTACTTTTTGTTCTAAAATGAATATAAAGCTAAAACTCTGGAGAATGATGAGAATGTAAGAAGGGAGAAGTAAATTATGTGTGATCCAATATTAGGGACACAAAAAGGGACATACTACATGAATTACTAATATCTAAGAAAATATGATACATTTGAGAACTTAGATGAAGTTGATACATACCTAGAAAGATAGGCATTACTTAAATTGCTTCAAGAAGTAGAAAATCTGAATAAAACAATGAACGAAATTGAATGATAATGAAAAGTCCATCTGTCAAATGACAGCAGGCCCAGTTTTATAGGCACGTTAAACCAAATTTAAGTAATCCTTACTTACTCTTCTTCCCTTTTTAAAGAGTTTTATTGGGGTATAATTGATATAGAATAAACTGCACATATTTAAAGTTTTGACATACGTATATACTGGTTAAACCACCAAAATCAAGATTAGGAGACATGTTCATTATCACTCCTAATTTGTGTCCCTCAGAAATCCTTTTCTCCTTCTCTCCCCTAGTGGTTCTGGGCAGCTACTAATCTGCTTTCTGTCACTATTGACTAGTTGGCATTTTCTCGAATTTTGCATAAATGGAATCAATCAAACAGTATGTGCTTTTGCACTCGCTCTCTCTTTCTCTCTCCCTTTTAAAAAATAGATTCTGGTTTTTTAGAGTAGGTTTAGGTTCTGGCAAAATTGTGAGACAGGCACAGAGATTTCCCATATACTCCCTACCTCCACACATGCTCTGTTACACACACTCCACTATTATCAATATCTGCCATTAGAGTGGTACATCTGCTACACATCATTATCACCTAATGTCCATAAGTTTAATAAACCATTAGGGTTTACTTTTGGTGGTATATATTGTTGCTTGGGACAAATGTATAGTGACATGTACTTACCACTGTGTTATAGTATCACACAAAGCAGTTTCACTGCCCTAAAGATTCTCTGCACTGTGTGCTCTTTTTTGGAGGTTTAGGGGGAGGCCTGTCTTCCGTCACTCAGCATTGTGATTTTGAGATCCATCATGTTGTTGTATGCTTCACTAATTCATTCCTTTTTATTGCTGATTGGTGAGTTATTATATGGATATACCATAATTTCTTTTTCTTTTTTTCAATATACTGCGATTTCTTTATCTGTGCACTTGTTGATGGACATTTGGGTTGTTTCCAGTTTTGGGTAATTACAAATGAAGCTGCTGTGAACATTCATGTGCAGATTTTTATGTAGACATGTGCAATCATGTTGTAGGTGTTTAATATATATATTTTTATGAAAGTTCCAGATTGTCTTCCAAAGTAGTTGACCATTTTGTTTTCATGAGAGCAGTGTATAAGAGTTCTAGTTTTGAGAGCAGATTTTCTTAAATTTCATGAAGTTTATCCTTTTTTTCTTTTATGGATTTTACTTCTGGGTTCATTTCTCTGAAATCTCTGCCTTGTGTAACTTAAATACTAAAAGAGTTTCGTATGTTTTCTAATACTAGTTTTATAGTTTTAAGGTTTTATATTAGGTTTTATATTGATGTATTTATTAATTTTGAGATATTTTTGTGTATGCACAAGGTGTGGATTGGAGTTCTTTAAAAGATATAGATATCTAATTCTTCAAGTACTATTTGTTAGGACTCTTCTTTCTCCATTTGAATCTTTGTCAAAAATCAATGAAACATAAATATCTGGGTCTATTGTGGACCTCTATTTTGTTCCATTTATCTGTTTGTTTAGTATTATATCAATACAGCACTGTCTTGATTTCTGTAGTTTTATACTAAGTCTTGAAGTTAGGTAGTGAAGTCCTTCAACTTTATTTTACTTTTTCAAAGATGTTTTGTCACTTTAAGTCTTTGCGTTTCTAAGTGAATTTTAGAAATAGAATGTCAATTTTTACAAAAAAAACCTGCAGGGATCTTAGTTTGAGATTGCATCAATTTGGGGACAGTGAAATATTTTATCGAGTCTTCCAGTCCACTAACATGGCATATCTCTTTGTTTAATTTCGGTAGTGTTTTTTAAATTTTCTTTGTATAAGTGTGGAAAACCTTTTGTCCAGTTTATCTCTGAGTACTTTATAATTTTTGTTAAGGTACATGGTATTTAAAAAAACTTCAATTTCAGATTGTTGGTTGCTAGCATATAAAAATAATTTTTGTATATTGATATTGCAGTGTAGCTAAACTTATTTATTAGCTCTAATAGCTGTTTTGCAAATTCTGTAGAATTTTCTACATAGATGCTTATGTCGTATTTAAATAATGACATTTTTACCTTTTAAAAATTTATTCTCAATCCGGATACTTTTCACTTCTTTTTCTTGCCTTGTTGCACGGGCTAGAACCTTCAGTACAATCTGGCATAGAGGGGGTGATGGGAAACATCCTTGGCTTTTTTCCTCATTTTAGGGTAAAATCATTCACTCTTTTACCACTAGGTAGGGTTTCATTGATTCCTTTATTAAGATGAAGAAATTCCGTAGTTTACCGAGTGTGTTTATCAGGGTCATTGTTGGGTATTGTCTAATGCTCTTACATCTATTCAGGTGACCCTCTAGTTTTTCTTTCTTAGCCTGATAATATGATGGATTTATGTAGATTTTTGAATGTTAAACCAACCTGGCGTTCTGGGGGTAACACTTGGTTATTATATATTGTCCTTTTTATGTGTTGTTGGATTCAGTCTGCTAACATTTTGTTAATACTTTTTACATTTATATGCATGAGGGATATTGGTCTGTAGTTTTCTTGTAATATTTCTGCTTGCCTTTGGGATTGAAAGCCATTAATTTTCTGGATTAATTTATGTAGAATTATTATTATTTCTTTCTTAAATGCTTTGTAGACTTTATCAGTGAAGGCTTTGGATTTGGAGTTTTGTTTGTGGGAAGTTTTTGAAATACAAATTCAATTTCATTAATAGATATAGGACTATCTATGTCTACTAAAAAGGGGCTATCCTTTTCTTTTTCTTTTTTTTCTTTGAGAGCAAGGCCTATGTCTTGATCACCATTTTGTTCCAAGCATATCCCTGGCATATAGTGGGTCAGGAGTAAATGTTTGGTGAATGGATGAATGAATGAGGCAAACTCAGGGAGAGGAAGTGGGGACTGTGTCTGTTCTTGGCCCAGTGTGGGGTTGTTTGTGGATGACATCTCATTCTCATCCTGTAGTAGAGGGATAACACAAAAGTATGGAGTCTCAGGGCTCCAGAGTCCTCATCCTCTGAGCTACATCTCCTACTTAGCCGAGGTCTTTTCACTCTCTGGGCAAGTCTCCTCACTTTGCTGAAATGGCAGCGTTCCTGGTACATGCCCGGTTTAGCCTAGGCTAACCTCTTCTTGAGTGAACCTAGGTAATTTGTGTCTTTCAAGGAATTTGTCTATTTTATCTAAGTTCTAGAATTTATTAGCATAAAGTTTATAACATCCCCTTATTATCCTTTTAATTGGTATGTTGAAACTTCTGTGTGTATTTTTAAATCATTCTGGCTAGGGATTTTAAATTTTCTTTTCTCAAAGAACTAGCTTTTGGCTTCATTTTTTTTTAACTTTTCTGTTTTCTATTTCATTGATTTCTGTTGTGGTCTTTTATTATTTTCTCCTGTGTATTGTATTTGTTCTTCTTTTTCGAGTTTCTCCAAGTGGAAGCTAAGGTAATTGATTTGTGACCATTTTTCTTTTTTATTATAGGCATTCAGTGCCATAAATTTCCCTCAGTTTACTAGTTTAGGTGCATCCTACAAATTTTGAAATTTGTATTTTCATTTTTGTTCAACTTAAAATACTTTCTCATTTCTCGATTGTTTTCTTCTTTGACTCATGTATTATTTAGGAATCAATTATTTAGTTTTCAAATATTTGGGGATTTTCTAGATGTATATCTGTTATTATTTTAAGTTTAACTCCATTTTATCACAGAATATATTTTTTATGATTTCAATCCTTATAAATGTATTGAGACCCAGAGATGGTCTGTCTTAGCAAATATTGTATGTGTATTTGAAACAAATGTCTATTTTGCTGTTGTTTGGTGGAGTGCTATCTACATGTCAGTTAGTTCAAGCTGGTTGATGGTGTTGTTCAAATCTCTTATGGTGCTTTTGTCTACTTGTTCTACCAGTTATTAAGACAAGGATATTGAAATCTTAGACTATTAATTATGGAATTACCTATTTCTTTTTGTTCTTTCAGTTTTTGCTGCATGTTTGAAGACCTGTTATTAGGTGTATATATGTTTAAGATTTTTATGTTCTTGATGATTTGACTCCTTTATCATTATGAAATGACTTTTTCTCTTGTAATATTTTTTGTTCTGAATTCCATTTTGTCTGATATCAATATAGCCACTTCAACTTTCTTTTAATTAGTATTACTGGGTAAATTTTTTTCCAACTTTTTACTTCTTTACAAATCTTTTTTTATTGCAGTAGAATGTACATAACATATAATTTATCATTTTAACCATTTTAAAGTATACACTTATGTGGCATTAAATACAATTTCACAATGTCTTGTCCATCCTTTTACTTTAAATCAATTTGTTTCTTTACATTTGAAGAATATTTTTTATAGGCAACCTATGGTTGCATACTGCTTTTAAAAAAATCCAATTTGACAGTTTCTCCCCTTTAATTGGGTTATTTAGATCATTTACAGTTATTGTGATTGTTTCTATGGTTGGATTTAATTCTACCACTTTTGTCTATTCTTTGATCCCTTTTTTTCTTGATTTCTGCCTTTTTTGGATTTTTTTATAATTCCATTTTATCTCTTTTGTTGGCTTATTACTTGTAATTTTTTGGTTTTTTTTTTATGTTGGTTTTAGGGTTTCTGGTATCCATCTTTATCGTATCGGAATCTTTCTTGAAGTATTACTGTGCTTCACATGTAGCATAAAAATTTTTACCACAATATACTTTTCATATCTCTTTGGCCATTGTGATGTTGCTATCATACATTTTATTTCTACATATGTTATGAATCCCAGAATGTACTACTCTTGTTTTTGCTTTAGTCAATTATCTTTTATAAAGACTTAGTGAGAAGTCTTTTATATTTCCCATATAGTTACCATTTCTGATACTCTTCATTCTCTTAAGTATTCAGATTTTTATCTATTGTCCTTTTCTTTCCACCTGAAGATCTTCCATTATCAGTTCTTATCTTGAAGATCTGCTGGTGTTGAATTCTTTCTGCTTTTGTGTGTCTGAAAAAATATTTATTTCTCCTTTATTGTTGAAATACATTATAGCATTTCCCCACTGTCTTCTGTCTTCCGGCAACCATTTTTTTTTTTTTTACAATGAGCTATTTGGTGTTATTCTTTTTTTTCTTTTTTTGAAACAGAGTCTGACTCAGTCACCCAGGCTGGAGTGCAGTGGTGTGAACTCGGCTCACTGCAACCTCCACCTCCCAGGTTCAAGTGATTATTGTGCCTCAGCCTCCCCAGTAGCTGGGATTACAGGTGTGCGCCACCACACCCAGCTAATTTTTGTATTTTTAGTATAGACGAGGTTTCGCCATGTTGGCCAGGCTGGTCTTGAACTCCTGGCCTCAAGTTATCCACCCGCCCACCTCGGCCTCCCAAAGTGCTGGGATTACAGGTGTGAGCCACCACACGCAGTCTTATTTGGTTTTATTTTTATAGTTTTTTTGGGTACATAGTACCTTCATCTCTTGCTATCTGTGGGGGATTGGTTCCAGGACCCCTGCAAATATAAAAATTCATGGATTCTCAAGTCACTTATATAAAATGGCATGTCGCATTTGCATATAACCTATGCACATCTTCCTATGTACTTTAAATCATCTTTAGATTACTTATAGTACCTAATACAATATAAATGCTATATAAATAGTTGTTATATTTCATTGTTTAGGGAATAATGATAAGAAAAAAGTCTGCACATGTTTGGTATAGCTGCAACCATCCATTTTTTTTTTCAGCAATATTTTTTATCTGACATTGTTTGAATCCATAAATGGGAAACCCATATATATGGAGGGCCAACTGTATTTTCTTTTGTCTGACTGCTTTTAAGACTTTATCTTTTTCACTGGATTTAAGTAATTCGATTATGTTGCGTTTTAGTGTTATTTCCTCTTGATTTTTGTGATTGAAGTCCTTTGAACATCTTAAATCTGTGGATTGATGGTTTTCATCAAATTTGGAAAATATTTGGCCACTTCTTTTTCTGTCTTCCAATCTCTCTCCTTTCCTTTGGTAACTCCAATTACATGTATTAATCTGCTTAAAATCATCCCATAGCTCACTGATGCTCTGTTAACCTTTTTCTCCTGTCTTTTTCCTCTCTGTATTTCATTTTGGATAATTTGCCTTGCTGTGTCTTCAGGTTCATTATTCTTTTCTTCTATTATAACTAATTTGTGTTGAATTATTATTATCCAGTGTATCTTGCCTCTCAGATATTGTGGATTTACTCTAGAAGCTTGATTTAACGTTATTTCTGTTTCTCTACTTACCATGCTCAATCTTTTCTCAACTTTTTGAACTTGTGAACTATAGCTATACTTACTGTTTCAGTGTACTTGTCTACTCATTTCATCATCTGTTCTGTTTTTGCACCAGTTTCAATTAGTTGATTTTTCTCTTCATTATCAGTCATATTGTCTTGCCTTGTAGTATTCTCTTAGAAACTTCCATGCCTTGTTGCTTTTGATTGGATGACAAACATTGTAAATTTTTAACATTTAAGTGCTGGATTTTGTGCTTGCTGTTCCTTTAAGTAACTCATTTATGTTACTTGGAAACAGTTGAATCTTTTCAGGTGTTGCATTTAATTAGAAAGGAACAGTGTGACATTGAGTCTAGGGCTATCGCACCACTGCTGAGGTGAAGTCCTTCTGAGTGTTCTTCCTGATGTTTTCTAAATTATGACATTTTCTATCCAGGCTAGATTTTTTTGTATGTTGTAGTGTTGGCTCCCATTATTGGAAACAGAACAAGACTTGCTAAGTATTAATTAAAAAGATCTCTTTTGAAAGCCTTGTGGAGCTACCAAAGCAGCCAGGACTTGAGGGTCCAAGAGCAGTGGCTGTAAGTATTGGTTTTAAAAATTTATAAGTAGGATTGATTTTAATTAAAAACTTTTAAAAAAATGTTGTGTATGTTGTTTTTCAGTTAAAAATTAAACAATTCTTAAGAGAGATGATTTCTCTTGCCTCAGGGATGGTGTGGTGTAGTGGGTGTGGCCTTGTACCTGGGAACTAAGAATGTGAGTTGTGATTCTTTCATAAGCAGCAGTATAGTCTCTTGCCAGTCACTTCATAGCTCTGGATGGGCCTTAGTTTCTTTATATGTTCTAAAATTATGCAATTTTGTCATATTAAAAAGTAGGTGATCACCACAACATAGTTAATTGACACATTTTATATATGTAAACTTTTATGGGAAGTTTTTATACATTTCTCCTGTAGATCACTGAGGCTAATTAATATCTGGATTCTTATTAATCCAGTGGCATTAATCTGTGGCCTAAAGTATAATTTGATGTGGTACACATAGATTCCTGTATAAGTAATTTATAACTAGGAAATAAAACTGTCCTTTCCAGACATGAGTAAATAACAACAACGAATGGTTGCCAAAATGTATTGAGGGGCTGTTTATGTGCCAGACACTGTTCTTAGAGCTTTATGTATTAATATCATTTACATCTCACAGGGAGATAAGAAACTAGTTGCAAATCATGCACCTAGACTGGTAGAACTGGCATTGGAATTCAAGAGTTTGGCTCCTTAGGCTATACACACATAACAAAGGAGTTTGCTTTGTTATACAGACCCCTGCCTCACTGTTTGAATGCTATTTGCCTAATATCTGCATAGTTTATAGTTTGCAAAAGGCACTAATATGTATGAATAATTTTATTTTATCATCACAACTCTATGAAACAGTGTCCTTACAGATGAGGAAATTGAGAATGAGCGAGTTTGCTTCCGATGTGGTACCGCATCGAGGAAGTGAAAGAGTCTCCATTCAAAATTCTACTTTCGCCTCCAAATCCAGTTTACTTTTACTGTGCCATATTTTCATGGAGAGGGAAGTTTTTCGTAGGACAAGGAATGCTAAATTTGTTGAAATGGTTGAAATACTTTTTTTCTTCTTATCTAAAGCAAATATGGTATATGTGAAATATTTACACTTTTTTGGTTTAGCTACTTCTTATTGATCTTTTTTTTTTTTTTTTTTGAGAAAGAACCATGCTGTGTCACCATGCAGCGGTGACTCACTGCAACCTCCATCTGCCAGGTTCAAGCGATTCTCTTGCCTCAGCCACCCTAGAAGCTGGAATTACAGGTGTGCGCCACCATGGCCGGCTAATTTTTGTATTTTTGGTAGAGACGGGGTTCCCTTTGATGGCCAGGCTGGTCTTGAACTCCTGGCCTCAAGTGATCCGTCTTCCTTGGCCTCCCATAGTGCTGGGCTTACAGGTGTGAGCCACCGCGCCTGGCTCTTAATGATCTTTCTAGTGTTAGTTTAGATATGTCTTCCTTGCCCACCAAGCACCCTGCTTAAGGACTAGGTCATTTTCCCACTTAAAACCCTCATAAGATCATGCAGTTATTTTCACAATGAACATTCATTAGCCATTATTCATCACTGTATTTTGAAAAGACTCAGGTAACAAAATTAAATTTTTACTGAACCTGACACAATAGGATGCATAGTTGAAGAAGTATTATGTGGAAAATGATAAATGGATAAAGAATAAGTGTCATTAGCAGCATAATCTTGACACGGCTGAAGAGTCAGGAGTGGGATGAAAAATACACTTCATTTGTAGGTGAGATACACCCTTACATGATGAGTCATAATCCACTTAATCTTTTTATGTAATTACTGTAAGACTCTCAAACCATATCTCTATGTGACAAGATATACAAGCTCAGATACAGCTTAACTTTTTCACAGTAAAGCAGAGGCTTAGGGCTGGTGTAGTTTCTGATATCTAACTTTAAACCCTTATGAGTTTGAGTTGTGGTTTTTTTTTTTTTTTTTTTTGAGACAGAGAGTCTTATTCTGTCACACAGGCTGGAGTGCAGTGGCGTGATCTCGGCTCACTGCAACCTCTGCCTCCCAGGCTCAAGTGGATCCTCCTACCTCAGCCTCCTGAGTTGCTGGGACTGCAAGTGCACACCACCACGCCTGGCTAGTTTTTGTATTTTTTCGTAGAGACGGGTTTTTACCATTTTCCCCAAGCTGGTCTCGAACTCCTGAGCTCAGGTGATCGTCCTGCCTCCACCTCCCAAAGTGCTGGGATTACAGGTGTGAGCCACTGCAACTGGCTGTGGTGTGTTTCACATAGGTCTTTTGTCCTCTTTTACTTTGCTAGAGCTGTGGAAATGGGTGGTAGCCTGTGTGCAGGGGTCTTCATCTGCCCCTCCTGCCAGGTAGGAGAGCTGAGGCTTCACGCTCTCTCTGGCTCTCCGTGTGGCATTTGTGAGCAGCTTGATGTATTTGACACAAGTGTGACAGCAAAGAAGTGTGTGAGCAGAGCAGTGTGCTGCAGGGCCCAGCTGTGTGGATTTATCTGTACATCAGGCTGAGGAGCAGCAGTTAGCCAGATCTGACAGTCAAACGTGAGCTCCTTCTACCTGTGCTCCAGAGCGCATTTTAATGTTGTGTGTTTTTACTGTGGTTGGCATTTGACACAAAGAAAATTGTCAGAGCTGTTTTTTTCCTCTCCTCTTTAGTGTGCTAGTCTGCAATAGTTTTCCAAATAAATACTTCATTGTACATGGACAAAAGAAGGCACTTTCTAAAACAATGCCAAAAATCATGTTGTCTTCATCTTTATACTGAATTTCATGTGAGGAATTAGTAGGTTAGATGTTTGAATTGGTAATAGGTAAGACGTTTACATAGTGCAAAAATCAAAACAATATAAAATGGAATATTTTGAGTAGTCTTGGCTCTGCCTTGCTCCTTTCTAGTCATTTCCCACCTCTATTGACAGATAATCACTTTAATAGTCTGTCATTTATCCTTTGTGTTTCTGTATGCAAATACAAGCAGAGTTTTGTGCCTTGCTTTTTACTTCCCAATATCTTCTGGAGAGCTTTTTAGTTCATAAACAGAGAGCGTCCTTGTTTTTGTTTACTGTTGCTTTATACTTCATCATGTGGATGTCCTGTAGTTTATTCCACTGTCCCCTGTGGCTGGAGATTTGCATTGTTTCTAATCTTATTGTTTTATTGAGATAATAATTTCCATATCATAAAATTCACCATTTTAAAGTGTACAGTTCAGTGGTTTTTAGTGTGATTCCAAGCTTTTTTTCTACAAGTAATGATGTAATGAGTATCCTCATGCATATATTCTTCTGAACATGGTACAAGTGTATTAGAAGGATAAATCAGAAGTAGGATCACTGGCTCACATGGGAAATGCATTTGAATTTTGAAAGGAGTTGACTGGTTACCCTCTCTAAGTATGGTTTTGTTTTGCCCTCCTGACAGCAGAGAATGAAAGGGCCTGTTTCTCTTAGTCTTGCCCATAGTGACCTCGCTTTTCATAAAGCAATCTTAATATTTGTTTTTTTATAAAGCAGTTAAGAATTTTTAATTTTGATGTTTATGAGCTACCAATTTACTATTGATATCTGATTGATTTCACCGATGTAAGCATGACCAAAACTTCTCTTTATGTTTGTAAATATTGTTATTTAATACTTGATCTTGTCAGTTACTTCGTAAAATTGCAAGTACTGAGTGTTGGTGTTCAGAGCAGATTTTTATCTGTAGGGTCTTAAGCTGGATGATTTTCTGGTCCCCATTCTCTGCTGTCATGTAGATACAACAGTACTCACAGGATTAAAATGAAAATTCCTAGTGGAAGATCAATTATATGCTGCTTGCTCTAGAGTAGGAAAAATCTTGTCAAATTTTATCCTTTTGATACAGCCTTATAAGTTACAATGTTTTATACCTGTCTGATGCTCAGTTCCGAAATGAACTGAGAAGTGGTGGTTGTTACAAGAATTTAGCTGAAGCATTAATTATAAGCAGAGGTTCAGCCTACATTGGCACTTGTCGACCTATGGGACAGGTCTGTTGCTGTTTCATCTGATTTAGGTGGAGTATGTAATTACTTTTGGGAATCCATGCTTTTGTGCTCCTCTTTATATGTAGATTAGCTTTACTGATGGACTCTCATGAAGAGATCTTAAGGTGGTGTTTGCAAGGTGGAGACATTTCAAGGTTTGAGAAATGTGTGTTTGAATTATTCAAGGCTTACCTTTTTTGGCATTTATAAATATTCTGGCACTTTGTGTCTATAAAAAAGACTAAGAATTGATAAAATATTCATAGGAAAATGGAGGCTTTTCTGAGCTTGAAGTAAAAATTGAGGTATAGATTTTGATTAAATTTATGATGGAGTGGAGAAATGTACAAGTATGGCATGGAAATATCATTGGTTCTTTCTATGGCCCAAATAATAGTTAATACTGAAAAATAGATAAATCAATTAACCAATAGTGAATTATCCAAACTGGTTTGTCGATTATCTGTAATGGTGTGTGTTACATTAGTATTATAACTATAAAAGTATCATAATTTAGGCCAGGTATGGTAGCTCACTTCTGTAATCCCAGCACTTTGGGAGGCCAAGGCGGGCAGATCATTTGAGGCCAAGGCGGGCAGATCATTTGAGCCCAGGGGTTTGAGACCAGCCTGGGGAACATACTGAGGCCTCATCTCTACAAAAAAAGTAAAACAAAACTAGCCAGGCATGGTGGCATTGCACCTTTAGTCCCAGCTACTTGCGAGGCTGAGTTGGGAGAATCATCTGAGCCCAGGAAGTCAAGGCTGCAGTGAGCTGTGATTGGGCCACTACACTTCAGCCTGTGGGACAGAATGAAACCCTGTCTCCAAAAAAAAAAAAAATTTCTTTGTTTAACTGGTAAGTCAACCTTTTCGTTGTAAATGAGAAAACACCTATAGTCAAAACAAAGGCTTTGACTAAATAAATATAATAGAATTATGCCTAAGAGTAGAATTTGGTTTTGTGTCTCTCAGGGTCAATTGGTTGCTATACTTCTATTCCCTTTCTCTTTCCTCACTTTTAGGTAATGATACAAAAAAGGTCCAGAAAGAATTTGTGTTTTACCCAAAAGGAAGTTTCCTCTGACTACTCTGATTGTGATGGGTTTGTGAGAGAAGGCTGCTATTTGGGGTGGGAGAGGGTAGTATGCAGGGCTGCCACATCTGGTTAAGTAGGTTGTGCACTTTATAAAGACATTGGGCATTGGAGCAGGTGGAGCCTGAAATCCAGTTTGTGTTTACCAAGCTATATTCTTATTGAGTGGGACTATATCGGCCCAGAGCAAAGTGTACCGTTATCTAATTTTTATAAATGTGACTTACTGGCTGACAGTAGCTTTGGTGATGCATTTAATTGCATTTTTATTTGAAACCCAGTTGTTTCTGCTGTTTTTGCTTTCTTTCTTACAGATAATGTCTGTTGTATGTACCTGTCTATGTGTATATGTGTCTGTGAGTGTATATGCACATTTATGCCTTTTATATGCCACGTACACACGAAAACTCCATATATTCTTGAATGTAAGGTCAGATATTCTTTGAAAAATATCCCTCAGAAGGACGGAGGTGCCCTATATGTATCTGATTTCTTATAAGATACTTTATAATATGAGATCGTCTTTCAGTTACTTTGTTTGAATAGCACAGTACTGTTTGGGGAAAACATAGTCTCTTGAAACAGCCTCAGACAATGCTGGCTTTGAGTGCTTAAAAAGGCTGCTTCATGGAATTGGAAAAGAGAAGAAACAAAGATGTTTAACACAGATTTATTAATTATTGTAGAGATGATAGATCACTCTAAAAAAGCAATACCGTAAGTGGATATGATCTCAAATAAATGTTTACAAGATGAATAACTCTTCCACATATGCTGACATTATGCAAATGGATACTTGTGGCTTGGTTTGGTATTTCCAGTGATAGTACCATAAAAGGATTTACAAGCTACTATGTCTCAAGCAGATTATACAGACAGGCGTTTGCTCTGGAAAACTGTGTTGGATGAGTTGTAAGCTGACTCTAGTGATGAAAAAGACCCGGTTGTCAACAATACATGTGAAGAGTGAATCAAATTGTCTCATGAAATGTGAGAGTGAATAAAATTATTTCTAAATTTATGCTTCATACCGTGTGTAATTTAGTATATATGTAATTGACTGGGTGCCATGACTCATGCCTGTAATCCCAGCACTGTAGGAGGCCAAGGTGGGAGGATTGCTTGAGGCCAGAAGTTTGAGACCAGCCTGGGCAACATAGCGAGACCTTGTCCCTACTAAAAATAAAGACAATTATCCAAGCATGGTGGCACCGCTGTAGTCCCAGCTACTTGGGAGGATGAGATGGGAGGATCACTTGAGCCCAGGAGTTTGATGTTATAGTGAGTTGTGATCACACCACTGTATTCCAGCCAAGGTGACAGAGCGAGACTCTGTCTCTAAAAGAAAAGAAAAAAAAAGATGTATGTAATTTAATTAATATATTTTATAATTGAGATTTGACTAATTTCTATCTCTAAAAGATTATAAATTCAAAGTTGGCTAAAATTTGTTTGTATTCTCTTATTGGAAAAATAAGAGAGTGTCTTACTTTGGGTTATTGCATATTCACTTATATGTAATTATTATTTTCAAACAGAAACTGAGGCTTCTTGAAGAGCTTGAAGACACTTGGCTCCCTTATCTGACCCCCAAAGATGATGAATTCTATCAGCAGGTAAGGTATTTTAATATTTTTATCAGTTTCAGTGATGTGTTCTGATCAACCTTATTTTACCTATGAGGAAGCTGGGCTAGAGAGGTTAAATGACAGGTGAAAAGGTCAAATTAGATCACCCATGACTTCTCATGGCCTACAGAGCATGTACATTTCTTCAGAATCGGCTTTTTGCTGTGAATTTAATGCTTTAGCATAGTGACTGTTTTTATTTCCTCGGACATTCCACACTTCCTTGCCTCTGCTCATGCTGTTTCTTCTGCCTAGCTCCTCCTCCTTCCTTTTGCTCCTTATCCTGTTGCAGATGGCTAATTCTTCAAGAGTTCAGTTAAACATCACCTCCTTTGTGAACATTTTCCCAGCTTACCCTACCTACAAGTCAAGTTGATTGCACTCCCGGTAAATAACTCTATACCACCTAGCACATGGTATTGCAATTACAGAATTCCGTGTCTCTGTCTCTGAATTAGACACCACTGTTTCAATTACAAATGACAAAAACCCAAATCAAACTCACAGTGGCAAAAAATAAGGGGAATTTATTGACTTGCCTTAGAAGTCTAGGAGTACATGGCTAAATCCAACTTTACAAAAGATGTCACCCGATCACTGTTTTTTCCTATTTTTCTTGGCTTAGCTTTCCTCAGTGTGATCTCATGCTCAATAGGCTCTCATCTGA
Source organism: Homo sapiens (assembly GCF_000001405.40). Classification (NCBI taxonomy): domain Eukaryota; kingdom Metazoa; phylum Chordata; class Mammalia; order Primates; family Hominidae; genus Homo; species Homo sapiens. Next base: position 53,810,897 of record NC_000016.10, read on the forward strand.
GAGCATAGCAGGACTCTGACAGCCCAAGGGGTATGTGGCCTTTGGCATCTGGGATCTTAGAAAAAGTTAGTGAGTTCTTTTTCCCTGGTTCCATCAAATTATCCAGGAAGTAATCCTGTTGGCCTGGTTGGAGTCATGTGCTTATTACTGAACTAGTCATCATGTTCAGGAGAGTCAAATGCTCCTGTTTGCCCAGCCTAGTTCATGCACCTACTCTTGGAGTGGGGTTGGAGTGAGAGTACTCCCACCAAACTGTATGCACTATGTGAGTTAGACATGGGTGGCTCTCCCAAAGGAAAATCAGAGTCCTGTTTCCAAAGAAGGAAGAGTAGGCCCTCTGGGCATGTAAAAATAATAAATTTTCACCTCTTTTTTCCTACTACAATGTGAAGTCTTGAAGCAGAGGGTTGCCGTGAAAATCAGAATAGGAATTAGGTCACAGCATCTTTGTATCTCTAGCACCTGCATGTACATAGCTGACCATCAGTAACCAAGGAAGGAAGAGAGGAAGGAAGGACTTTACCCATCTAGAATCCAGGTCAATATGATTTCTGTGACTTCTAGCTCAATATTATTTCTAGGCCACTGTCTCTTATCTCCATTCCCATTTGATCTGCACCATCTTTCCTCTTCACTGTCAGTCCTCTTATAGGTCTGTCTAGTTTTCCTCTTTGCCCCCCTTCATCCTTGAAGCTATAGTATTTTCTAACCAAGATGTAAATCTGAGCATGGCAACCCTCTGCTTCAAATCCCACATCATTGACTGGCTCCTACATTTTCAGCCTCATCTCCCCTGCTCTTACACCTTTTATCCACACTGGATTTTTGCAGTACTTTAAATTTGCTATGAGTTTCATCTTTGGGGCCTTCTTGCTACGTCCTCTGCTGACGTACCTCCTTCTCTTTATCTGTCTCTTCTTTTTTTTTATTTTTTGACAGAGGATCTCACTCTGTCACCCAGACTGGAATGCAGTGGTGTAATCTGGATTCACTGCAACCTCTGCCCCCTGGGCCCATGCGATTCTCCCACCTCAGCCTCCCAAGTAGCTGAGACCACTGGCATGTGCCACCACGCCTGGCTAATTTTTTGTATTTTTGTAGAGACAGGGTTTCACCATGCTGCCCAGACTGGTCTTGAACTCCTGAGCTCAAGCGATCCACACACCTTGGGCTCACAAAGTGCTGGGGTTACAGGCATGACCCACCATGCCCAGCCTGTCTCTTGTTTCCTTGGTGAACTTCTGTGTTACCTGTTAGTAACAGCTCATATGTCATCTCCTGTAGGAAGCTTCCCTGACACCTCTACAACCAGAGAGTTGTCTCTGCTTCCTCTCATACTTTATCTATACCTTTATCAGCACTTAATCTCACTTAATTTTTTTTTTTTTTTGAGATAGAGTCTAGCTGTGTTGTGTGCAGGCTGGAGTGCAGTGGCGCGATCTGAGCTCACTGCACCCTCTGCCTCCTGGGTTCAAGCAAGTGCATCTGGCTAATTTTTATATTTTTAGTAGAGACATGGTTTCACCATGTTGGCCAGGCTGGTCTCGAACTCCTGACCTCAAGTGATTTGGCGTCCCAAAGTGCTAGGATTACAGGCATGAGCCATCACATCTGGCATTAATCTCACTTAATTGTAATGAATTTTTGTGTGTGCTGGCTTCCCTTATCCTCTGTACTTCGTTCAGTGCCGGGTACCTATCAGGTGCTGAATGAGTTTGCTTCAATGCATGCACCCAATAGTTAATTTGGAAAACCAGTTATATATAATAATAATGAGTTTAGTATGATTTGAATTTTGCTTCTACACACGTACACACTTCCCCAGGGATTTGGCATCTGGAAAGATTTGACAGATGTGTACAGAAATGTCATACTGCATAGTGATAGGGTGGGTGTTCTCTTTTGAACTTTCCCAGTTTTCCAGATTATCTGCAGTGAAGGTATATTCTTTTGCAATCAGGGAAAAAATAATTTTTAAAAGTACCCTTAAGACAGGTAAACCCACAAAAATGCAATTAGTTCTGAAATGCTTACTAAATTTTCATAGCTATAAGCCTTCTGGTGCATGATTACATGCATTGTCACAAAGCAACTGCCAAGCCATTTCAGCTTTTGTCGTGTGAAAATGGTACAGGAAGAATGAGATACAAAAGGTTATCAGCCCACTGTGCTCTGAACCAGCCATCCACTGAGGGATAAAAGGAAACCCAAATGCAAACAGAACAACTATCAAGACTTCTCTGTTATCTTTCCAAGGCCCGCAACAAACCCTGATACTAATATCTAATCACTCTAAGTGCACCTTGCTGTTTTTCTTTTCTTTTTTTTTTTTTGAGACAGCATCTCACTCTGTTGCCCAGGCTGGAGTGCAGTGGTGCAATATCAGCTCACTGCAACCTCTGCCTCCCAGATTCAAGCGATTCTCCTGCCTCAGCCTCCTGAGTAGCTGGGATTACAGGCACCTGCCACCATGCCTGCCTAATTTTTGTAAGTTTAGTAGAGATGGGGTTTCACCATGTTGGCCAGGCTGGTCTCAAACTCCTGACCTCACATTATCCACCTGCCTCGGCCTCCCAAAGTGCTGGGATTAGAGGTGTGAGCCACTGCGCCTGGCCAAAGTACACCTTCTAGGAAGGCTTAGTACTTCAATAAAACCTTAGTAAAAGTAAACCTCTTCTCTTAAAAGATGAAGTGAAAATACTTTTTAATGACATGAGTAAATAGAAAGTTCAGACCTGACACTGGGTCCCTTAAACAGGCCCTCACCACAGGAATGCCAATCCAGCTGCCAGTCATAAACACAGGAGTCTGTTCAGCTTCCATTTTGGGTCTGTCGATTGATCCTTACAGTGTGCTAGGCTTTGTGCTACATGTTTTATGCATGCTCTCACATGCAATCCCCACAACAGCCTCATTCATTGTATTCAGCAACTACTTTTCTTCAGGCTTGAGGTACTTGAGGTAGGTATTTCTGTTTTAGAAATCAAGAGAGGAACCAGGCACAACTGTAAGTTCCACCTACTTGGGAGGCTGAGGTGGGAGGATCATTTGAGCCCAGGAATTGGAGTTCAGCCTGCCTCTCATAACAAGATTAAAAAAGGAGGAAATCAGGAGAGACTAAGTTAGTTATCTGAGTGGGAGAGCTGGAGTTCAGCCCATATTTGTCTGACTCTGAAGGCCCATGCTCTTTCTGCTGTATTGTCCACCTCTTGGTCTACCATGCTCCAATTCAAAACACCTTCAGAGAAGTTTTGCAGTTTCTTTTAATAGGACCGTAGAGAAAAGCAAAACCAAACCACCAAGGGTCAAAGCAGAAAAGCAGAGAGAACTTCTGTTAGCTCATCATGGAACACAAGGAAACGAGGAATTACATAGTCAGAAAACAAACTCTGACTTCCAGAAATATGAATGCAGCCCCTTTTATCCAAAGAAAATGAGACCATCCTCAGTAACCCCCTTGCTGTCACTGATTGTGTGCTAGCTGTGTGCCAGGTTGTTCTGCTGCTACTTTAAGTGCATTACACGTGTGAGCTCACTGAAATCTTGCTATATGCTTCTGAGACAGGTGTTACTAAAACCCTATTTTAGAGATGAGGAAACCGAGGGACAGAGAGGTTCAAAAATTTGTTTAAGACTTATGTGCAGGATATGTTGGGACTAGGATTTAAGTCTGGGCTGTTGGCTTTTGGGTCTCCACTCTTAAGTCCTATACTGCTTCTCTCTTCCCTTGTGTCTCTTCATCCTTCTGAGATAACTCTGCTCTTGTCTCAAAGGTTCCAGACCTCTGTCCCCATCCCAGCTCTCCCTGTGACCTCCAGCTCTCCACTTCCAACTGCCTACGGAGTGGCTCTACCTGAAAGTCTTCCAGCTACATCTAACTCAACATGATTCATATTCATTAAGTTACTTACTCCATTAAACAAATGGATTTCACTCCCCGACTCTGTGCCAGGTACTGTTTTAGGCATTAGAAATGAAGTTGTGAAAACTGACAAGAGATTCGTGTCTTCTTTGAGCTTATTTCTTGTGGGGCAGGTGATGTAGGAGCAAGCCATGTAGATACTTGTTGGAAGAATGTTCTGGGCCTACAGAACAGCAAAGCCTCAGGTATACTTGACAGGAAAAGCACCCGAGGCCAACATACCTGGAGCAGAGGGAGACAGCTGGTGAGAGCAGGGGAGACGGTCAGAGAGAGAGAGAGAGAGAGAGAGAGGCCCGGTTATACGAGAACTTATAGTCTGTAAGTTCTGTAAGAAGAGCATTGGCGGTTACTCTGAGATGAGGAGGCATGAGAAGGCTTGGAGCAAAGCGTGACAGGATGTCACTTACATTTTAATAAGGATTCTTTCTACAAGGCTCTTCCCATTCAGCCTCTTCTCTAACGGTATCCCCTAGTCCCATTCTTGAGATTAGAAAGCTCACCACCCTCAACTTCTATCCATTGCTTTCTTCCCTCATTTAGTCACTGGGTCCCTGGTGGTTTTACCTCTTTAGAATCTCTCAAATTGTTTTTTCTTTTTCCATCCCACAGACACTGCCTCAACTATGTAGGCCACATTGATCACTTTCTGCCTCCGCAGTTTTAGCATCCTCCTGATTAGCGTTCCTCATGCCCTCCCCAGTGCCATCAGAACTGACTTGTACCTCCTTGTTTTATAAATTTTGTTGAGTCGCCTTTGCTTCCAAGATCAAGTTCAAATTCCTCAGCATATCCACCCTATAAGGCCATTGACTTTCTTGTTTTTTTTTTTTTTTTTTTTTTTTTTTTTTGAGACAGAGTCCCGCTCTGTCACCCAGACTGGAATGTAGTGGTGCGGTCTTGGCTCACTGTAACCTCCGCTTCCCAGGTTCAAGCGATTCTCCTGCCTCAGCCTCCCGAATAGCTGGGACTACAGGCGCGCGTCACCATGCCTGGCCAATTTTTGTATTTTTAGTAGAAACAGGGTTTCGCCTTGTTGGCCAGGCTGGTCTCAAACTCCTGACCTCAAGTGATCCGCCTGCCTCGGCCTCCCAAAGTGCTGGGATTACAGGTGTGAGCCACTGCACCCAGCTGCCATTGACTTTCTGACCCTAAACTACCTCTCTGGTGTAATCTCATCCCATGGCCTAAAATGGCGCCCAATCATAAACTCTCGTCATAGGGAGTTCTTGGTTCCACCCTGACTCTGCTGTGCCCTCTTATCCTTCCTTGCCTTTGTGCCCACTAGTACTCTCTTCCCTTTTCTGTCTGGTGAGCATCTACTCTTAAAGACTTTACTTAAACACTACATGTTCTGTGAAGGCTTCAGAAAATCCCTTCTGTTCTAAAATGTATGAAAAATCTGACTGCTTCTCACCACCTCTGCTTCTTACACCGTGGCCAAAACTGCCATCATCTCTGTTGCAACAGCCTCCTGACTGGTTCTGCCTCCTTCCCCTGGTCTAGTTTAACACAGCATCCGGAATGATCTTTGAAAACATAAATCAGCTCATTACACTTTCTTGCTCAAAGCCCTTGAATAGCTTCCCATCAGCCTAGGACCTGACATGCACCCACAAAGCTCTACATGCTTGGGTTCCTAACTGCTTCCCTCACCTCATTTCCTGCCCCTGCCCACTCCCCACCCCCCCTCACACTTTTCTTCCTATTCTGGCACTTTACTCTTCCTGGAATAAACCAAGCTCACTCCTGCCCCAAGGCCTTTGCACTGAATGTTCCCTCAACCTGGAACTCTCTCATCCCCCCAGGCATCTGCAGATATTGTATCCTTGTTTCTTGCTTTCTTCTGCTCTGATGTCACTGTATCTAGAGGCCTTCCCTTACCACCCTGTGGAAAGTAGGCATACTTACCCCAGCACTCCCTATCCTACTTTCTCGGCTTTATTTTTCCCCGTAGACTTATCATCATCTAAAATACCGTATATTTTACTTATTTATATGCTTATTGTCTGGCTCACCTTGCTAGGACATGAGCTTCTAGAGAGAAAATAGACGTTTCGCTCTCTTCCATATTCTCAGCACCCAAGTGCTTTGCAAATAGTATGTGCTCAATACATATGTATTCAGTACCTAAGGGTTTTCCAGCTTTTCCTTCCCAATTATTCCCTGCTCCCACAGCAGTATACTCACACTTCTATTGTAGGACATTCTTCTCTTTTGGTTTCCATTTTGGTTTATACTGTTAAATTATGAGATGCTGTCAAATAGGACCTATCTTCTTTTAATCCTTGTATGTCTGGCACTTTATACAGTGCCTGGTACATAGGAAGTATTTGAGAAATGTTAAATAAACAAAATGAAATGAAGTATTGAATGAATGAATGAATGAATGAACGAGGATCTCTGTGTCATTTTGTAGCAAAGCACATGTTACCTCAAGTCTTGTGATAGCTGTGGCAGAGTCTGAACAGTGACTCCAGAAGTGTATCCCTTCTGGAGCTCTAGTTTGCATCATGCAGGCAGAGTCTGGGTCAGACGAGTGTTTAGCCCGTTAGTCATCGGATGGCTGCCAAGTCGCAAGCATTTTACAACAAAAATTATATAGAAAATGAGTGATAGGGTGCAAATTGCTGAGTGCAAAATAGAAAGTGTTAGGAGCAAAATCTATTAACAGCTAGATTAGAAATACAGTCCTCTAAAATCAGAATATTCTAGTACTTCTAAGTGAAGGGTATTTCCCAAGTTACTTGAATATTTAAATTTTTTTTTTCTCTCTACCCAAGGTTGAGTTCCACTGGGCTTCATTTAAGTGAGCCTCTGGTAAACTGGTATCTTACTTGTTTAAAAACCATATCTGACTTCCCTGTGTGATGAAATCTTTCAGAAGCATCTCTTGATATGGGAGGAAAAGGTAGAATTTTTATATAATGGCTTAAAATAGACAGAAAATGAAGCCTGATCTCCAGAGAGCTTAGCTTTCCACATCTTTCAGCCATTGACAAAGGCCTGGCATGCTGGCATTTTATATCTAAAATACCTTTCCAAATACTTATTAAACTATATAATCATCATTTATGCCACAGGATCATTTGTGAATCTCAAGAAATACAGTATGTGACCAGACAACTGCTAATATAAATTTCATGACTGCATACTCATTGGAAAAAACTCTAATGGGATTAAATGAAAAAAAGCCTAACATATTTGAAAATCTGCCAACAGCTGTTCCAAATTATTGTGTGATATCTGATGTTCTACATGTACCTGTCCAAAATGGAAAGTGAACTTATTTGTTTGACAGAATGAATTAATATTAAATTACTTAATGTTCACTTCTTCTCCAAAGTTACTTGTTCTTTTTTTTTTTTTTTAAAGAAAAATTGAACAAATGCTTCATAGTACGTTTATGTGTCAGGCACTAATTTAATTACTCTATAAACAATAAAAGAGGGCATTTAGGTTGAGATTTTTTTCTCTTACATTTTCTTTGAGATAGTGACAAAATTAGCCAGTTATTATTATTTGTTTTCACTGTGGTAGACTGAAAATTCCTCAGTCTTGAACAACAGATTTAAATAGTACCAGAAGTTCTCTTGAAGATTTTTGACCATTTAGAGCCATCAGAAAGAATCTCTTGGCAAATATAAGAAATGTCATGAAAATTAAGAATTTTTTTAGTGCAGCATCTTCACTCTGATTTTTCTGATTAAAAATATTTTACATTTATATTGGGAAATTTGAAAATAATATAGATGTCTAAAGAAGAAAATCAAAATGATGCTCAAGTACATTACTCAGGGATAACCACCATAAACTTTTGGCTATCTTTTTATCCAATTTTTTTTTTTTTTTCTGTGAGCTTTTACATATGTACTGTTTTTCTTTTAATGAAACTGAGATCTCTTGTCTATCTTGTTACTAATTTCTTCTATGAGTATAGTTTCCTACTGACTTCCAAACAGTTAAGTTTGTTACTTTAATATTCCATCACGTGGTTGTACCATTTTCCCTTCTAAACCCTTCTTGGGCATTTTGGTGGTTTTCAGTTTTTAATTATTATCAATAGCAGTATGATGAATATTCTTATAATCTTGGTGTGTTTAATAACTTCCTTATGACAAATTCCTAAAAGTAGAATAACTGCATGAAAAGATATGGGCATATTTAGGTTCTGATAGATCTTGTCCAATTGGCCTTAAGCAACATTGTAATAATTTGCATTCCTAATTGCACGCTATCAGAATATTGAATTTTGCCATTATCAACAATATGTATTACTATTATAAAATGTTTTAATGCAAATTTGATAGACAGTAACTAATTTAAGTATAATACAAATTATATATTTTCCAACTTTGATACAGTTAATATTTATTTATTTATCTATCTTTGAAATGGGGTCTCACTCTGTGGCCCAGGCTTAGGCTCACTTCAGCTTCCACTTCCTGGGCTCAAGCCATCCTTCCACCTCAGCTGCCCAAGTAGCTGGGACCACAGGTGCATGCCACCACACCTGGCTAATTTTTTTGTATTGTTAGTAGAGAGGGGATTTCACCTTGTTGCCCAGGCTAGTCTCGAGCTCGTCAGCTCAAGCAATACACCCGCCTGAGTCTCCCAAAGTGCTGGGATTACAGGTGTGAGCCACCACGCCCAGGCAGTTAATTTTTTTATGTGCTAAGAGGCTTCTCTATTAATTTGCTTGTGAATGGGTGTGTGTGTGTGTATTTAAATTTTTAATGGTTCTGCATTAATGTTTCTGCATTCCTGCCATATAGGTTGTACTTTTTTTTTCCAGTTTGTTTGCCTTTTAATTTTATGATTTATTTTATACAAAAATTTAAATTTTCAGATATTCACATCTATCAATCTTCTTTTTCAAAAAGTTTATTGATTAACTGTATATGTGTATAATTTACATACCATAAAATGCACGTTTTGAAATTGTACAATTCAGTGATTTTTGGTAAATTTCCAGAGGCATACAACCATCATCACAGTAGTTTTAGAACATTTTTAGCACCCCAAAAAGATCTCTCATGCCTCTTTACATTTAGTTTTCTTTCCTGCCCCAGCCAAGATCTCCACTCATCTGCTTCAGTCTTTTAAAGCTTTTATTCTTAGAAAGGAGTCTTGAGCACTTATGTGGAACCAAGTGATGTGGCTATAACAGATACTAATGCTATTTTCTTCTTCTTCTTTTTTTTTTTTTTTGAGATGGAGTCTTGCTCTGTCACCCAGGCTGGAGTGCAGTGGTGTGATCTCGGCTCACTGTAACCTCTACCTCCCGGGTTCAGGTGATTCTCCTGCTTCAGCCTCCTGAGTAGCTGGGATTACAGATGCCCGCCACCACGCCCAGCTAGTTTTTGTATTTTTAGTAGAAACAGGGTTTTACCTTGTTGGCCAGGTTGGTCTCGAGCTCCTGACATCAGATGATCCAGCTGCCTCGGCCTCCCAAAGTGCTGGGATTACAGGTGTAAGCCACCGCTCCAGGCCACTAGTACTATCTTCTTTTAGGAGCTTGTGATCTTACAGGACAGATTATTAAACTAATAATAGTTTAAATAAATATAGTTACAAATAGATAAGTGCTACAAAAGAGAAGTAAAGCGTGGGGAGTGATAACAGAGGGCACCTATTTGAGGGTGGAGATTCAGGAAAGGTTTCCTTTTTTTTTTTATTATACTTTAAGTTTTAGGGTACATGTGCACATTGTGCAGGTTAGTTACATATGTATACATGTGCCATGCTGGTGCGCTGCACCCACTAACTCATCATCTAGCTTTAGGTATATCTCCTGATGCTATCCCTCCCCCTCCCCCCACCCCACAACAGTCCCCAGAGTGTAATATTCCCCTTCCTGTGTCCATGTGATCTCATTGTTCAATTCCCACCTATGAGTGAGAATATGCGGTGTTTGGTTTTTTGTTCTTGCGATAGTTTACTGAGAATGATGATTTCCAGTTTCATCCATGTCCAGGAAAGGTTTCTATAAGAAAATGACCCAGGGATGGGAAGGACCATCCAGGTGTGGAGTTGGGGGAGGAGCCTGGGGGAAGTATTTAAGAGCTGGACACTTGAGGACTGCAGGAATAGAAGCACATATGGTCAGAGAGAAAGGGGACATGATCTGAGTGGGAAAAAAATGGAATATTTTCCCATGCCATTATTTTCTTTTTATGCTGTTTTTTATGTCAAGGTATTTACAGATGATATTTATGTGGTTATATGTTTTTCCTGGTCTATAGGGTTATAATTTCCCCATATTAAATATATCTTATGCAGTGTTGAGACCCAGTGTATGTTGAATAAGGGCAGCAGAATTTTAATGGGGGGTGGGCAGGCGTTTGTGCATATGAGTGCATTATTTTCAGTATTCCTTTCTTAGTCCCAGAGGGGAGTGTGTTCAGAAACAGAGTTCTTGGGAATTACCATACTTTTCTTTATTGTTTTATACTAAGGACCATTCAGAGAGTACTGGAGGTGTTAAGACAGTGTGAAGAAATTACCTTCTTCATCACTTCTTCATCATTGCTTTGAGTATACTGGGGCCTCAGGGACTTGCTAAGAAAGTAACCAGTATAGTGATAGAATTAGAGTTGCTGCTCATGGCTTCAGAATATTTGGTCTCTGCTTACAGGATTGCATTGCTTTCTTCATAAGCTATGTAAATAGAAAGTACGATATCACTGTTTCTGTTTTCCAATGGGGATAACTAAAATATGGAAACTCAATCCTTAATGGATCCCTGACAATCTCAATGACAATCCATAGTGGTATGCCACATGACTCTTCTCTTTGTCACTTTCAATTCATGGTCAACACCTCAGATAGGCATTTTGAGAAGCAGGGCAGTCCTACCACACTTACCTAGTAAAGTCATTTTTTCACATTCAGACTTGACTCATTCATTTTTCTTCTGCATACTTCCTCCCACTTTCTGCATGTCTTCTATAATATCTCCTGCACTCTGCCTCATTCAGAACAGGCTAGATTATGCTATAGTAACTGATAACTCTCAAATCTCAGTGGCTCCACACAATAATATTTCTTGTCCATTTTATGTATCATTTGTGGGTTGGCACAGAGTCACTACCCATTAAAGTAGCTCAGAGATCCAAGCAGCCACCAGCTGGTTGCTGTGGCAGAGGGGTGCAGAGTATGCTGGAGGGTCTTGCAGTGACAATGACATGTTCCAGGCTGGAAGGGATGGCCATCATTTTTCACTGGACAGAAGTAATCCCATGTTTCATCCATCCTGAGGGGACCAGGAAGTGTAATTTTACACTGGGCCCAAAAAGCTGGGTGGCAGAGGAGGAATCCAGAACTATTTGGCAAACAGCTCTAATGACCAGCATACATTCTTAGCTAGTGATTCACCTTAACTTCATTGAGAAAGTCAGAGCATTCTCTAACTACCACCCCTCCAAAAGAAACCCTAGAACGTACTCATCTGCCTACTATTATTACATTTATCATCCTATCTGAATTCATACCTTCTTTTTCCTTCTAGCCTATTCCAATATAAGAAGTATCTTCTCTCCTATCCACATATTTTTGATCACATACTCTTATCAGTAGATAAGCACATACAGTGACATCCTAGAAAGTGTTTAACAAGTGGCCTGTAGGGGGAAAGAACCAGCCTTGATTTTTAGTGTTTTTTGATTTCCGCAGTGTAAATACTCTCACTGTGGACAGTTTCAAGCCACCGTCACGGTGTTACTGAATGTGCAGTTGGAAAGAGATGCACACAGTGGGCTCTCATGAGCCAGTGTGGACTGACTCCAGCACACCACCAGTAGTGTGCTGGTGGTAGTACTCATGTACTCGTGTCTGTTTTATAATAATATTCATATTAAACCTATTTGTGTGTATATGTGTGTGTGTATATATATATATGCATACATATTTTAATAATGCTTGAGTTCTTTCATTTTATATTAAAAATAAAGCAGTTCTACCTCTCCCCTGTGCCCCACCACTCTTCCAGATGGCCTTACAAAGCCTTGCATACCTGACTTGGGGGCTACTGCTCTAGACACTCAAGGTCTCGACTTCTTTGGTTATTCACTCTCTCTGCATCGTCAGCCTCTTTCTCTTGTATCATTCTCATGAGTGTACTGAGAAACTCTGGTGTTCTCTAGCGTCTTCCATCATTAGAGATTGTCCCTTAGTCTAGCCTTCTTCTTTATCAAAAGCTCCATTTTTCTACTCCCCTTCATAGCAGAACCATTCAGAGACATCTCTACATGCCATCTCACTTCCTCCTCTTTCATTCCATCTTCGCCTACTCCAATCTGACTTTCACCCCCAGCACTCTACTGAGATTGCTCGTGTCATTGCCATCAGTGATTTTCATGCTGCCAAATCTACTGGATCATCTGTCTTCATCTCACTTGGCCTCTCAGTGTCAGGTGACATAGTTGAGTACCCCGCCCTTCTAGAAATGCTCTCCTCTTTTAGCTTCTGCAATAATACACTCTGCTGGTTCTCCTTTGTTGAGGCTTCTGCTGCGACTCAGGAAATAGCTTTGGTCTCCTTTTGATATTTGTACTGTTTCCCTAGGTGATCTCATTCATTTCTAGGCCTTTAAAACCAAGCTGTGTGCTGATCACTCCCACATTGCGTTCCTCTGCCCTGCTTTCTCTTCTGAGCTCCAGATGTGTACATCCAATTCCCCTCCCCCCGCCCACCATATTTTCACCTGGAGGTTTCATAGGTATCTTCAAGGCTGCAGCTCTACAGTGAACTCTTCATTTCCCCCTTTTCTTCTTTCTACTATTTCTCTTTTGCCTCAGTTTTCCTTATTTCACAGAATAGTAAATTGTTTATTTAGTTGTTAAATCCAGAAATCTGGAATGTATTCTTAACTTCTATCCTGAGCAACAGGGAGAAACCCCGTCTCTACTAAAAATACAAAATTAGCCAGGTGTGGTGGCGCATGCCTGTAATCTCAGCTACTCGGGCGGCTGAGGCAGGAGAATCACTTGAACCCAGGAGTGGAGGTTGCAGTGAGCCAAGATCATGCCATTGCACTCTAGCCTGGGCAACAAGAGCGAAACGCCATCTCAAAAAAACCCAAAAAACCCCAAAAGACTTATATCTTTTTTTATCCCTTACATCTAATTCATAAGCACATCCTTTAGTTCTACCTACAACGTATGTATTTCATCTGTCCACTTATCTTTGTCTCTATTTTAGTCCAGACCATCACTTTTCTTCCAGATGATTGTAATAGCACATTCCACGCTCACATGTGCCTCTTTCCAATCTGTGCCTGATATTATAACTAAGAGCGATTGTATAAGATGTAAATCAAGTTATTTTTCTCCCTTCTACATCCTCCAGTGCATCTAGAGTTAGCTTCAGATTCCTTACCACGACCTCTAGGGCTATGTGTGATCTGGCCTCCGCCTTCCTCTGCCTCCTCGTAGCATGCCACTCTGTCTTTGGCTCTTGTGCTCTAGTAAAACAAGCCTTTTTTTGTCCCTAGAATAGGTTGGTCTTTTTCCTGAGTGCCTTTGGCTTCTCTGGTCTGTCTTTCTGGGAAGCACTTTCTCTGGCTTGTCATATTTCTGGTGCCTTCTTTTCCTGAAGATCTCAGCTTAAATCCCGTCTCCTTAGAGAATTCTTCCTGTTCTAATAAGATTTCCTGCTGGTTTGTTTCTGTCTTAGTACTTAACACAATTTGGGGTTGCTTTTCTTTATTTATTTACTTGATTTGGTAGAAAGCTTTGTGAGAACAGGGACCTTGTTTCCATCTGGTGGTAGGTGCTCAATAAACAGATGCTGCATGAAAAAAAAAACGTTTGGAAGAATACTGGTCTTGCCCTGCCTATCATGTGAATGGTAATTACTAAATGAAGACAGAGAAGGAAGGTATCTTAACAATGGTGGGCAACACAATACAGGGAGGACAGGTTAATGTGTTGATCATGTCTGACTCTTTCTTTAAGACAGCCTAAAACTAGGGAGGAACAAATCAGATCAAACGTTACAGAGGTAAATGTAAAATCCTGTGATTTGGTTACAAATAAATCAGTTGCATTTTACAGAATCAGGAAACTCCAGTCTGACACCGATTCACATGCCAAGTCCTAAGGAAAGTGGTAGCCGAAAAGCTAATGCAGCCCTAACCTACATTAATCATTCCATGTATTTCTGTATTAGGGAAGGGAATTGACCAATATTACTCTCCTCCAGTGACACCAGTAGAATTATTAGAATTTTGTAGAATTACAATGTAATAATACCTCATTCATCCATGCACAAATCCATTTATTCATTCCTTTACCATTTACTGAGTAAATTCTGGGCACTCATATTATAGTCATGAGCAAAATTGCCATGGCTTTTGTGTTCATGGAACTTAATGTCTAACTCCTGAAGAGAAGTGAGTTCTCTTTTTGTGAAAGTGTTAAGCAGAAACCAGTTTGTCATTTATTGAGACAATGCATTCTCATGGTTAAGAACTCGTGCCCTGGAAGCCAGGGGTTGGTGTCCAGGGGCTTTAAATTCCAGCTCCAGTATTTGCCAGCTGTGTGACTTTGGGCAAATTAATGTCTTTGGTCAGATTAATGTCTCTGTGTTTCAGTGGTCTCATCTATAAACTGGAGATAATAATACTATGCCTAGAGTTAAAATGAGCTAATGCACACAAGTAACTTACAACAGTACCTGGTACGTAGTAAGCACTTAATAAATATTTTAGATAATAAGCAGTTAATAAAATGGTGTTGAGATTTAGGGTGAGAAAAAGTGGTCACAGAATAATCCTGGTGTATCAGGACACACATTATTATTTTTTGTTTTTTATTAAAGATTGTTAGTAATTTGAGCTTGAACTTGAAAATCTTGACTTTAGAGTTTGATGACATTTGTTTTATTTGGTTTTCTGTTTTGGGCTAGGAAGATGTGACTCCTATTTAGAAATAGCCACCAGGTAGTCCCCCCACAACTCCCCAAATGCTTACAAAGAAACACACCTTTGGAAATAATACAATTGTAGCTATATATCAACGTCTGTTTTTGCTTTGGTTTTGTTTTAGTGGCAGCTGAAATATCCTAAACTAATTCTCCGAGAAGCCAGCAGTGTATCTGAGGAGCTCCATAAAGAGGTTCAAGAAGCCTTTCTCACACTGCACAAGCATGGCTGCTTATTTCGGGACCTGGTTAGGATCCAAGGCAAAGATCTGCTCACTCCGGTATCTCGCATCCTCATTGGTAATCCAGGCTGCACCTACAAGTACCTGAACACCAGGCTCTTTACGGTCCCCTGGCCAGTGAAAGGGTCTAATATAAAACACACCGAGGCTGAAATAGCCGCTGCTTGTGAGACCTTCCTCAAGCTCAATGACTACCTGCAGATAGAAACCATCCAGGCTTTGGAAGAACTTGCTGCCAAAGAGAAGGCTAATGAGGATGCTGTGCCATTGTGTATGTCTGCAGATTTCCCCAGGGTTGGGATGGGTTCATCCTACAACGGACAAGATGAAGTGGACATTAAGAGCAGAGCAGCATACAACGTAACTTTGCTGAATTTCATGGATCCTCAGAAAATGCCATACCTGAAAGAGGAACCTTATTTTGGCATGGGGAAAATGGCAGTGAGCTGGCATCATGATGAAAATCTGGTGGACAGGTCAGCGGTGGCAGTGTACAGTTATAGCTGTGAAGGTACAGTCTGCTCTTGGAAAAAGCAGCCCTGTATGTAATAATATGACCCGAGTTGTTTAGGCTCTGGAGATACACACGCATATACATGAACATGTTTGCATGTGTGCTTGCGTGTGTACATGCACATGCGTGTGTGTGTATCATGTGTCCTTTTTAGTCTTGTCACACCTGTATGTCTGCAGAATATGCCTCTTTCTCATCTGGCCATGCTAGCTGGCTCATTGTTATACTGTACTCAGAATATTTTCGCACGTAAGCACTGCTGTCATTTGTCTCTCTTGTGCCCAGGAGAGCAGCCTCTTGGTTTCATACAGCCGACTGTCTTCTCTACAGCTCAGAGGAGATTGTACAGTTGCTATAATTAACTTGCTGATAAAGAGCTGGGAAAACAAAAATCTGTCAAATCTTTCCAGGTTCCCACAGGTGCACATTTCCAGACCTGCCAAAATATTTTATTATGGTTGACATCACTATCTTGATGGGTGTGATTTGTCAAATATGGACTTGTTCTTGGCTTCCTATAGTTTGTAACTACTGTCCTTCCTTGCCAGAAGCAGTTGAGGTAGGTTTTGTAAGCAGACAGTCCTCTATTTTCAGGAAACTCCCTAGCTCTTTACCCAATTCTGCAGTTTTAGACCTTGTTGGGTGGCTGTGGTAGACTTGTTCTTGCATTTTCTGATGTATAATCCCCTTGAAACAGATCGTAGGCTACCTCTTAGTAGCCCACCCACATTTCTCTTCTTCTATTATTGTTTCTGTGTGTTTATGGCCCTCATTTTTCCTTAGAATAGAATTACAAAAATGGTAGTTGAACAGATGGAGGAGAGCATGACCTCTGTTGACTTTCTTTTGTGTCTGATTATTTGGCAAAGGGATACAAGACATAGTATTAGCTCTCCTGTCTGATTTACTGAAAGATGTTTGGAAAACCAGAATTCTGGATATCCCATCAGGGAATGACTGGAACTTTCCAGGGTCATTATTTTCTGACAACTCTAGTTATTTGATTGGATTTTTGTTTGTTGTTGTTATTTGTTTACTAAAATTACTGTTTTGGAAAAGAGATTTAAGAAAAAAAAGATCTTTAAAGTACTCTTTAAATTTCTTACAATTTCCCAGTCTCAAAAATTTCCTCAGAACTACTAATATTTTTTCTAACTTTATCTTATGTCTTCAGTCTGAAACAAGGAACTAGTTTAGCATTTGGAAATTTCACCACTTTCTCTGGCATCTCAAATAATGATGCTGACCTAAGAAAATCGCTTGAAGGGATTTAACGCTGTCCTAATGGAAAGAACGGAGATCCTCTGATCTTTAATAAGGACTTGCCAGGGATTTAAGAACTATCACATCCAAGAACTCTGATGTGAACGAACAATGGAGTTAGTTTCTTTCTTAAGGAGACAACTCTCCAAACCTGAAGCAGTGGTATGTGATAGTACAAAGCTCTACAAAGATGTCTTTGTGCTCCCAATTACTCTGAGCCCTCCAGTTTAATAGTCCTATTGTACTCCCTTCCCGTGGGTGATCAAGTAGTTTTTGAAACCTAGAATATCTTTCAGAAAGGAATTTAAATGTCTAATGAATAGTTTCTATGCTCAGGAGTAATTAAGACTGACAAAGTATACAAATATAAATTACATATAAATATAGAAATGTTGGTACTTAAAGAGGGAACTGTAGAATTTGAATCTGTAAGAGCGGTGTGCAAACTCCTTTGTTCTCTTTTTTTTCTTTTTTTCTTTTGAGACGGGGTCTCGCTCTGTCGCCCAGGCTGGAGTGCAGTGGTGCGATCTCCACTCACTGCAAGCTCCGCCTCCCAGGTTCACGCCATTCTTCTGCCTCAGCCTCCCAAGTAGCTGGGGCTACAGGCGCCCGCCACCACGCCCGGCTAATTTTTTGTATTTTTAGTAGAGACGGGGTTTCACCGTGGTCTCAATCTTCTGATCTCATGATCCGCCCACCTCGGCCTCCCAAAGTGCTGGGATTACAGGCTTGAGCCACCATGCCCGGCCTCCTTTGTTCTCTTAACTGCAGAAATTCTCAGAACTCCATCTAATAATAATAGCAATACTGGGAATGCTCATTTATTGAGCACCTACTACGTGCTACATGCTGTTATAAGCATTTTACATGCATTAACTCATTTTGTCTTCCCAACAATTCAAAGAACAAAATAGTAATGAAGTACTATTGCTATCCTCATTTTACAGATGAGGAAACTGAGTCACAGAAGGTTGATTAACTTGTTCATGGTGATGCAGCAAGTAATTAGCAGAGTTAGGATTTGAGGACAAATATCCAGGCTTCAGAATCTTAACACCTAAGGCTATGTGCATTATGAGCAGGTATTTCTTATCCCAGCAGTGTAGCCGTCTCAGGGATTTTATTTTATTATTTTACTTTTTTAATTTTTTGAGACAGAGTGTTGCTCTATCTCCCAGGCCGGAGTGCAGTGGCACGATCTCGGCTCACTGCAACCTCCGCCTCCTGGGTTCAAGTGATTCTCCTGCCTCAGCTTCCCGAGTAGCTGGGATTACAGGCATGCACCACTACTCCCAGCTAATTTTTTATAATTTTAGTAGAGACGGGGTTTCACCATGCTAGCCAGGCTGGTCTCAAACTCCTGACCTCGTGATCTGCATGCCTTGGTCTCCCAAAGTGCTGAGATTACAGGTGTGAGCCACTGCGCCTGGCCAGGGACTTGGATTTTTAAAATGTCCACCTTCTGGAAAGGTTAAGGGGACATTCCACTTGCTTTTTCTTTCAGGTCCTGGTGTCTTCCTTTCTCCAGCTTTACTTCTCACCCACATCTGCTGTAGCTTTCCAGCACATACTCTCAGATGATTGGAATGCATCAGATTATCTTATTCGATGAAACAGAACCTTTCTGTAGGTGTCTGGCTGTGTGTCAGACGGCATACAAAGCATGTGGCTCTGGGTCAGATGGTGTACAAAGCATGTGCCTTGAAACTCTATGGTGGGCGCATGTCTTCTAAGTGACAAGTGATATCTGTTTAGTTTTCTGGTCTTATAATCCTTGGCAGAATGCCAGAACTATGGCAAAGGTGGACTTGAAGAGAATCATTTGGTTTAAAATTTTGGTTGAGGTTGAGAAGGGCTTAAGGAGGTCATAGAGAGTGGACACTTCAGAGAATTGTATTTTTTTCTGTGTCCTTGAACTTGTTTGTCAATGAGCTGTTCTAGACAGTATGGGAACTCCAAAGATAAATCAATGGCTTTCTCACTTTGAGGTAATAGGGAGGTAATAGGTGGGCTCTCGTGATTATAATTATGAAATGATGAAACATTGGGTTTGAAAGAGACTTTTGAAATCACTTGATTCTAGCCTTTCATTTTACAAATGAAAACACCGAGAAGGGAAGTGGCTTGGCCAAGGTCACATTGCTACTTAGTGATAAGAGCAGGGATTTAAGTTGGAAAGTGTTCCTTGCCACTGGAGAGGTTCACGTAAAATGCACTGGGAATTCAGATACAGAAGTGATTGCTTCCTGCTGAAATTAAATTCAGTTGAAGCTTAAGATCTTTCAAGACTCTGCTCTCAATACCTTTTCCCAGGGAAATCTTCTTGTAGATTTATAATGAGCCAGTCATCCCTCTTTGGTTTATTTTCATGAGTAGAGGTCATTGAGAAGTAATTTGTATAGGATACGTGTAATTATATACTAAATTCATTGGCTTTCACATGCCGTTCTAGTTAATAGATATCTCCAGTAGGAAGATTGAAATGGTACAATTTTTAATCAGGAATGGCTTCGGGGAACCATATGTAAATAGGCAGAATATTTGATTTTCCTATTCCAGCTTTGCTGGCAATTGCTTGTTACTCCTAGCTATAAAAAACGAACTTTAGCGGGGAAGGCATTAAAAACCCAATGTTTAATATGGTCCAGCACCTTGTTCTTTGACTGGAACACCTTCAGAAACATCACTTAGATCAACAGTAACTATTGGCTACCATTTTTGTTTCTTTGTCTGGAAGGAAACATTTTCTGTGAAATTGTCTTTCTAGAAAGAAAAGCAATTCTTAAGATTTTAAACTAGTGCCAAGTATTGCATATTCTTGACATTATTTTCCAGACCTCCCACAAGGAGCCAGGAAGGCAGCTGGGCGCGGAGGCTCACAACTGTAATCCCAGCACTTTGGGAGACCAAGGCAGGTGGATCACAAGGTCAGGAGTTCAAGACCAGCCTGGCCAACATGGTGAAACCTTGTCTCTTAGAAATAGAAAAATAAGCTGGGCATGGTGGTGCGCACCTGTAGTCCCAGCTACTCGGGAGGCTGAGGCAGTAGAATTGCTTGAACCTGGGAGGCAGAGGTTGCAGTGAGCTGAGATTGCGCCACTGTACTCCAGCCCGGGCGACAGAGTGAGATTCCGTCTCAAAACAAACAAAGAAACAAACAAAAATCCAAAACCCAGGAAGGCTCACAAAAGGAAGAAACCGATCCATGTTTCCTGTTGAGCATGTGATAGGCTGGAAAGTAGAGACTTTGCAATAATGTTCTTGGAATTCTAGGATTTCCATTCATGTCTTTGATTTGGGAAAAATTGCATCCCCTTAAGGATGGAAATTTGTTCCCGTAATTCTTGAATCTCTATTTTAACATGACTTGCTCTATATTTCTCAGCTCATCACTGAGACCATGAAAAGCTAGTTTATAATTACAGCTTGGAGTTTTGGAGTATTCATAAAAACGCTGTGATGTTTAATGTTATCTTAGCGTCCCAGCATCCCTGTCTAAAATCTCAAAGCTTATTTGACCTAGCTTTTTTTTATTGTATCATGCTATGCCTTGTCAGTGATTTTTGAAATCACTTATACTGCTCAGTAAAACTTGTTTGGTCTTATAAGTCACATTTTTGGGGGTGACCATCCAGTTATTTATTCATCTAACAATAAGGTCTCCCATGAAGAGCCAAGAAGGCTCACAAGAAGACCAAAGGGGGGGAAAAAACTTATTTGATCTACAAAGTTACATTTTTTTCATGCCTATGCAATTATTTTTTCATTTAACAATAAGCATCTACTATTTGCTAGTCAGTTGTCTAGATGCTGAGCATGTATCAGTGAACAAAACAGACAAAAATCCCTGCCCTCATCAAGCTCACATTCTAGCAAGGGAAAACAGAAAATAAAAGTAGATTGTGTAACAAGGGTGAGGGATAATCTTACAATTTTAGGTAGGAGAGCCAGGCAAGGCCTTGTTAAAGGGGTAACATTTAAGCAGATTGGACGGAGAGAATGAGCCACTGAGAAATTTGAAGCGGGAGCACATAGGCGGGAAGATAGAACATGATTGGGATGTTTCAGAAGCAACAAGTGTGGATGGAATAGAGTGAGAGAAGAGGAAATGAAATGAAGACAAAGGGACAAGTAAATGGGTGGCAGAAGGTAGGGCTTTGTCATGTTAGAATACAAAGTAGTAGGTTTGGATTTGGAGTGAGATGGGGAGCCACTGAGGAGTAGAAGAAGGGAAGCAACACCAGAAACAGGAGAGCTCACAGAGGTGACCAAAGTAATCCAGACTAGGGATATGATGGTCCAGATCAGAAGAGGCAGAGCAGGGGAGAAATGTGTAAATACAGTCCTGTAACTTTTTACCAACAAAGAGAGTGGCAGTGTTTCAGCACCAGTGAGAAAGGATAACCAGCAGTGGCATCTCCCATTTGTCAAGAGAAGGCTAAGCCTGTAAGAATGGCTACATTTTCTCCCCTCTGTGAATGGCTTTATTCGGGAATAACTGACATACAATAAGCTATACATATTGAACATTTATAGTTTTATAAGTTTCAACACACCTGTGAAACTATCCCCACTATCAAGATAATGAACATACCCATTATTCCAGAAGTTTCCTTGTGCCCCTTTGCAATTCCTCTTCCTGACATATCTGTTTTCTTTTTTTATTGTTTTTTATTTGTTTGTAGAGACTGGGTCTCAATATGTTTCCCAGGCTGATCTTGAAATCCTGGCCTGAAGAGATCCTCCTTGCTCAGCCTCCCAAAGAGCTGGAATTACAGGTGTGAGCCACTGTGTCAGCCTGGATTTGTTTTCTGTCACTAGATGAGTTGGCATTTTCTAGAATTTTAACCAGATGGAATTATATATGTGCACGGTTTTTTTGTCTGGATTCTTTAACTTAGCATAGTTATTTTGAGATTCATCCATGTTGTTATGTATATCAGTAGCTCATTCCCTTGTATCCTTTTTTATTTCAATAAAATATACATAAAATTAATCATTATAACCATATTAACTGTACAGTTGAGTGGCATTAAGCATCATCCCACACCAAATCTCTGTACCCATTTAAACAATTACTCCCCATTTCTCCTTCCCTCATTTCCTGGTAACCACTGTTCTGCTTTCTGTCTGTATTATATTTGACTATTCTAGGTACCTCATGTAAGTGGAATCATACAATATTTGACCTTTTGTGTCTAGATTATTGATATGGTTCAGCTGTGTCCCTGGGCAAATATCAACTTGAATTGTATCTCCCAGAATTCGCACATGTTGTGGGAGGGACCAAAGAGGAACTGGTTGAATCATGAGGCCGGTCTTTCCCGTGCTATTCTCATGATAGTGAATAAGTCTCACGAGATCTGGTGGGTTCATCAGGGGTTTCCGCTTTTGCTTCCTCCTCATTTTCTCTTGCCACTGCCATGTAAGAAGTGCCTTTTGCCTCCTGCCATGATTCAGAGGCCTCTCAGCTATGTGGTACTGTAAGTCCAATTAATCCTCTTTTTGTTTCCGGTTTCGGATATGTCTTTATGAGCAGCATGAAAACAAACTAATACAACTATTTTACTTAACATAGTGTCCTCAAGATTCATCCATGTTATGGCATGTATCAGAATTTAATTCCTTTTTAAAGATGACTAATATTCCATTGTATGAATATACCACATTTTGTTGATTGATTCATCCATCGGCTATTCATAATAGCCATCTTTTGGCTATGGTGGATAAAGTTGCTGTGAACAAATATCTCTGTATACAAATATCTGTGGGAATCTCCGCTTTCAGTACTTTTGTGTGTATACTTTTTTTGTGTATATACTTTTGTGTATGTACTTTTGCGTAGGATTGCTGGATCAAATGATAGGTCTATGTTGACATTTTTGAGGAACTGCTGTACTGTTTTCTACAGCGACTGAACTGTTTTATATTCTCGCTGGCAATGCGCAAGGGCTCTAATTTCTCCACATCTACGCCAACACTTACTGTTTCCTGTTTTTTGATAACAGCCATCATAATGGGTATGAAGTGGTATCTCCTTGTGGTTTTGATACACATTTTCCTAATAATTAATGATGTTGAACATCTTTTCATGTTCTTAGCCATTTATATATCTTCTTTGGAGACATGTCTATTCAAGTTGTTTGCCCATTTTTGAATTTGGCTGGTTTTTAGTTGTTGAGTTTTGTGAGTTCCTTATGTATTCTAGATATTAATTCCTTATCAGATATATGACTTGCAATATTTTCTTCAAGGATAGCTGAACTTTTTTTTTTTATTTTTTTTGAGACGGAGTCTCGGTCTGTCACCCAGGCTGGAGTGCAGTGGCGCGATCTCAGCTCCCTGCAAGCTCCACCTCCCAGGTTCACGCCATTCTCCTGTCTCAGCCCCCTGAGTAGCTGGGACTACAGGCGCCCACCACCACACCCGGCAAATTTTTTGTATTTTTAGTAGAGGTGGAGTTTTACCATGTTAGCCAGGATGGTCTTGATCTCCTGACCTTGTGATCCACCTGTCTCGGCCTCCCAAAGTGCTGGGATTATAGGCGTGAGCCACCGCGCCCGGCCTGAACTTTTGATGATATATTAATGTGATGAGCACGGGATCAGAGAACAGTGGAATAGACTTTACTGTCCATGACATTGATGAGGCACTTAAATTCTATACTACTGAATGACATCATTCATATTGGTATTAATTAGCTATGGGACCTTAAGCAAGTTACTTAAATTCTTTGTGACTCAGTTTTCTCATCTGTAAAATAGTGATCAGAGCTGTATCCACCTCAAGATTGTGAGAATTAAACACTTGTAAAGTGCCAAGAACATAACAGCAGTAATTAGCACATAGTAAGCATTCAATACTGTGTTATTTTTAGTTTTTATCAAAATTATTCATTCATATCATTTTTACAAGTCAAATATTTTTATAAGGTTTGCTAAGGAAAAAAAAGCAGGAGTTTTTACACCTTTTCTTCCCATTTTCATTTCCACAGGCAATCATTTCTACTCTTTTCTTTCAGGTAATGCTTTTGGTAGTTGATAACATACTTACATTGTTTTGAACATTATATATTGGCTTCCTGATATGGAAGGTGAAGATTTACCTAGCTCTCTTCTTTCTCCCTGCCTGCCTACACATGTACACGCTTCTGATTCCCATTATAGATTTACTGTAATTTTGATTATATCACTATTCAGCCTTTATAGTTATCATATATATACATGAGAATGCCTTCCAAAACCTGTGATCTGTTATCCTTTTCTTTTCAACTTTTTTCTTGCATTAATGGTAGTCTTGCTTTTTGTGTATTTGTATAGTTTTCTATGTAGTTATGACTAATTAAATCCCTTGCTATCTACCACATCTCCTCTTAAGAGCTTCAGAACCATCAGATATTCTGTCCATTTCATTTTCTTGGAGCACTGTCTTCCAGAGTCTTCTTGTCTGCTCCAATCTGGTGTTCTATGCCTGATGCATGGGGATCCCTTTCTGTGACCTCTTCATTGTAATCCAGCGGATTCCTTTACTTCTCTCTTTTGTGAACTCCTCACGTTCCTGCATCCTGGCCTTGCTCTTTCCTGACTGTTTTCTTATTTTGGTGGAGCATGTCCTACAATGTTTTCTTCAGAAAGATGCTTAGGAGGTAAATTTTTAAGACCTTAAATGTCTTCAATCATCTTTATTCCACCTTGGTATATGTAGGTTCTTCCAGTATGAAAACCTTGTTAGGAAATAATATTTTTTTTCAGAATCGTAGTGACATTGCATTACTGTCTTTTATCTTACAGTGTTCATTTTAAGAGTTCTGAATTTTTCTTCAGCTTTTATGTCGCTTTTTTTGTTGGATCTTTTTTTGAATGTTTTACAATTTCACAGTGATATTTTTCACTCATTTTACTGTCATTGTGTAGGGCTTTCAATCATGCCCTTCAGTTGTTGGACATTTTCTTGAATTGCTTTGTTAGTTATTTCTTCCTCTCCAGTTTTCTCATCTCTTTGGAATCCATATGATTTAGTTAACCTTCTGGACTCTTCCTCTAGTTTTCTTGTTTATTCCCTTATTTTCAATCTTTATGTTTGTTTTTTAGTCTAATATCTGGGAGATTTTATTAACTTCCAACCTGTCTATTGATTTTTTTTTTTTTTTTGAGATGGAGTTTTGCTCTTGTCACCCAGGCTGGTGTGCAATGGCACAATCTCAGTTCACTGCAACCTCTGCCTCCCAGGTTCAAGTGATTCTTCTGCCACAGCCTCCTGAGTAGCTGGGATTACAGGCGCGGGCCACCATGCCCAGCAAATTTTTGTATTTTTAGTAGAGACAAGGTTTCACCATATTGGCCAGGCTGGTCTCGAATTCCTGACTTCAGGTGATCTGCCCGCCTCAGCTTCCCAAAGTGCTGAGATTACAGGCATGAGCCACTGCGCCTGGCCTGTCTGTTGAATTTTCAGTATTGAAATATGACATATATCATAAACATACAGCTTGAAGAATTGCTGTAAACATATCTGTGTACCTAGCACCCTGGTCAAGAAATGAAACATATCAGCGTCCTAGAAGTGCTCCCTTCCAGTGTCTGCTTCCCCACAACAGTAAACACTCTCCTGACTTCTAAGGCCATAAATAGTTTTATGTGTGTTTGAATTAGACTTGTAAACTTGTAAGCTCCTAAAAGAAGTAATTTGTGTCTTCATCCTTCTTTGTATCCGTATATAGTGGCAAATGAGTATTTTTTGCCCCAAATCTGTTAAGTATTTGTTGTTCTTGAGGAGCTTGTACTATTCAGTTACATTGTGGCCACTGTTCAGTAACTCTTTGATTTCTGCAACTGCAGTCTCTGTTTAGTAATAGGATTCTTTTGATAGCAAATAATAATTCCAGACCCAAAGAGGCTTAATTTAAAAAGGTAAGGAATTCTCTCACTTCATCCTAAGAACTGGCGTCTCACTGGCTTCAAGTGGACCTTGTTCCAACAGTAATGATGTGATCAGTTTCAAATTTCTTCCCCTTCCTCTTTTGGCCATTCTAAAGCTCATGGCCCCCAAATGACTGCCCCCAGCTTTTGTGGCCACTCTCTCTTTCTTTTTCCTGAGCTTTGGGGAGGAGAGAAACTGGGTATTGGGTGTGTACTTTGAACTCTGGATCAAGCTTTACCTGAAGCTAGATGAACAAATAATGACCCTCTTTTGATTAACCCAGTTCGGTTCTGGTTTCTGTGTTATTTACAACGTAAGGGTTTCCTGTGAGTCTCCACAACTCTCTTTATACCTTCCTGAGGTTACCCAAGGAATTGAAACCTCTACTGTTAGAAGCTCTGGTTTGGAGAATATTGTTTGAGAAGTATCTCTGCTTCCTTACCTGATTTCATATTTTACTTCAGATAATATAGTGATTTTGAAGCTTTAGCTAATGGCCCGCATAGCAGTTTTTCTCTCCTTTTCATACTTTCAATTTTTCTCCCAAGTCCGTGAAACATGATGTAATGAGGTTCTCCTCTGTAATGTAAATATTTTTATCTTAAATTTTTTCCCCAAATGCTTAATCTGAAAGCTGACAGAGCCAGACATGATGTTGAAGGGCTTTAGATTTTTCTGTAAAGAGTTTTCAATATTTCACCTGAAATCCTAGAAAACTTATAATTAATTTTACAATTTATCTGTGTCAAGGGACTATGTTTGTCTTGAATTGCTTGTTTCGAGGCATCTGAGAGCGGCTTCTTGTTATAGATTCTGAGCTGGGAATGATTAGTTTGTTTTTTTTTCTCACCCCTTCAGACTTTTCTAAATTCTCCATTTTTTCAGACCATTCATTGCTCCGTGGCTGAGAAGGAGTATGTGCTGTGTCAGCAGCAAGCTTTTCTTGCAACCCGTCAAGGAAAGCATTTCTAAACTCTAGAACTCTGGCAGGGAGGCTTCTCCTTGGCTAATCTTTCTTTCCTAGTGATGTAGTCCATCAGCTGTGTTTCCTAAATGCTCTCTGGCTTATACAGTACCCATTTGTTGCTACGCTGGGAACGTGTCTAGAAAAAGTGTAGTAATTATGCACGAAGAAGCTGGTACCTTCTAGAGAGATCATTCTGAAAACAGATCTGACTGGTGAAAAAGGCTTTAGTGTCTGTCAGTAGTCTCAGTGTAAGTTCTAGATTCTTTCCTATGGTTCATAAACCCATGTCCTGGTCTCCACCCACCTCTCCAGGCTCTTCTCTTGCAAGTCCATGCCATTCATGTGACACTATTGCAGCTGGGAATTGATTGTGCTCTTATACACACACCATGCCATTTCCCTCCTAGAATGTGCCTTCCCTATGTCACACTTTCCCCTTTTGCCTTCTGTCTCCTTTCGTTCTACAAAATGGATTTCCCATCCCAGACATGGGAATGTCGAAGATCAGCACTGGACAGATGAGGCATCATTAGACTCCATGGTACCAGCTGGCCATCTACAACTTGTGAGTTTCTCCTGCCTCAAGATCTGTGACATGGATAGCAAGGGACCAGCCTTTTAAAGCTCCTCCAGGTGTGGAGTTAAGGAAACAGAGGAAGTAATCACAAGGGTGGGAATCTTCTTTTTTGAGATGGAGTCTTGCTCTGTCACCCAGGCTAGAGTGCAGTGGCACTATCTTGGCTTACTGCAACCTCTGCCTCCCAGGTTCAAGTGATTCTCCTGCCTCAGCCTTCTGAGTAGCTGGGATTACAGGCATGTGCCACCACACCCGGCTAATTTTTGTATTTTTAGTAGAGACGGGATTTCACCATGTTGGCCAGGCTGGTCTTGAACTCCTGACTTCAAGTGGTCTGCCTGCCTCAGCCTCCCAAAGTGCTGGGATTACAAGTGTGAACCACCACACCAAGCTGAGAATCTTTTGTATCTTAGCTCTTGGCTAAGGAAATAGAAAGTAGAGAATAAGAAATAGGGCTGTTTTTAACAAAAAATTAGCCACGTGTGGTGGCACATGCCTGTAATCCCCACCACTCAGGAGGCTGAGACAGGAGAATCACTTGGACCTGGGAGGTGGAGGTTGCAGTGAGCCAAGATCACGACACTGCACTCCAGCCTGGGCAACAGAGCGAGACTCTAGTCTCAAAAAGAAAGAAAGAGGGCTATTTAAATGTATGGTGATGATGAATATGTACTGAACCTGTGAGGGAAGTTCTTGACATACACTATTATGTATGTTATTAAATATGGTACAAAATTTTTTGTGATATATTTTATTTGAGTATCACTGTAATCTCTACTGTCATACTCTGGCTTCTGTCTTTGTTTCCTGTAGAGCCGTGGTTATAATTAGAAATGTAAACAAAGTATTTTGTGCTTTATTAAATAGAATTTTTTCTCAAAAACTAGCTGGCATAAAACATTGAATGGGTTAATTTTGGGGGGAAGTTTTGGACAATTTAAACTTGACTTTTAAACTTAACAGTCTTTTGTATGTTGTCACATCTTCTACTTATTTAACAGTTTGGTTAGTGGGAGCTGGGAGCTGGGAGTGCACCAAACACACTGAGGTACTTAAAATCTTTTCAATTTTATTGAGGCTTAAAGGCAAGTAAGAACCTGTTGCCTCTGCTTGTTGCCAAAATAACATGGGGCAAGAGTAATCAGTTACAGTTGCTATAGGTAATTACAAGTTGATTTCACTGAGAAGTAAGAACACTATATTTAACAATAAAAAGTTTATCAGACGTGAAACTTTCCTCCTCCCTACACAGCCTAAGGAGGGGAAAAACTCTCACCAAACTATCATTTTACTGAGCAGATTTCAAAGGTGTTGGATTTTTGGGAGACATCGAGAAAGACTAATTGCAATTATTGTCTCTAATTGTCTTTATTGATGCCAGCTTGAGAAGAGTACCAGGATGAAAGTTAGAAGGGAAAGTAGTCAAGCAGACTGTTACCCTATGAAGATTCCCACTTATTAGACTGTCCACACGCAGTGGCATTAAAACTTCATAAAAACTGTTCCTTACAGTTTGAAAATTATTTTTTTCAAGTCATTATAATTGGTTTTCTTTTTTTTTATTTATTTATTTATTTATTTATTTATTTATTTATTTATTTATTTTAAGGTGCAGTGTCACTATGTCACCAGGCTGGAGTGCAGTGGCGCGATCTCGGCTCACTGCAACCTCTGCCTCCTGGATTCAAGCGATTCTCCTGCCTCAGCCTCCTGAGTAGCTGGGATTACAGGCACGCACCACCACACCCAGCTAATTTTTGCATTTTTAGTAGAGATGGGGTTTCACCATGTTGGCCAGGATGGTCTCAATCTCCTGACCTCGTGATCCACCCACCTCAGCCTCCCAATGTGCTGGGATTACAGGTGTGAGCCACCACACCTGGGCCTTTTTATTTCTTTTTAATTTTGTGTGGACTTCAATGGTAGAAGTTATAGTTGATTTGACCAGAAAGGGACATGTGAAAAACCTTCCTAAAATATTTCCTTTTTTTTTCTTGTGCTGTTTGCTCTATCTGTAATCATTAGTGCCCCCCTAGAATGAAGCAGCCAAGTCTTGGGTTATCACAAATATAAACATAATTTTTATATCATATTCTTTTGCTAAGGTGATCTGGATATCAATTAATTTAGCATTAATTATTATACTGTATGCTGTCATTAGTCATGTTACATTATTAGGTATTAGTCACATTACATCATAATTATTTTATGCAGCCTCAACTTCTTTACTAAAATGTGCAGTAGACATCAGATCACAAATATCAAGACTTTCGAACAGGTGTTGGCAAATTTTTTTTGTAAAGGGCCAGAAACAAGTACTTTTGGCTTTGTGGGTTTTATAGTCTGTGTCTTATCTACTCAACCTTGCTGTCTGTGTGAAAGCAGCCATTTATGTAAATGAATGGGCATGACTGTGTTCTAGTTAAACTTTATTTTGCAAAAGCAGGTCACGGGACTGATTTGCCTGTGATCTCTGCAACCCAGCTCTTGAGTAAGGGTCACAGACTTTGCTGTGGTTAGGCAGGTACCTCAAATGAGTAAAGTGAAGTGGCTGTGGGGACTGCGACTAGCAAAGGTCACGTCCTTGTCTAAAATGGGCAGCTACTTCTTCCCTATAGCCACTGTGACTGGCTCAGTGATACCAGATCTTGTAATTCAAGGGTAGCTGGGAATTTGGATTTTTAGGCAAAGTCCTTTTATCAGTTGGCAACTCATTTAGATTTGTTAAGGAAATATGGTTGAGGTCAAGCTACACACCTTCGTGAGTTCTTTTCTGGTCCATGAACTCCAGTTTAGCAAATTCTGGTATTTTCAAGTGTAACAGTATATTATGTATGAATAAGAAGTGCCTGTAGAATGTCATCAGACATCGATAGCAACTATCTAATGCTGGTGCTGCCACTCACTAACCCTTGTAGTGCCCATGACAGACATCAGTAATTGATCATAACACTCTTTCCTGCTGAGCTAGGAGAAAGTTTCAGATTTCTTCTCCACTAGGGCTCTAAAAAGCCGCAACCAGCCAATCAGTCATGTCCCCTGATATAAAGGTATTTATCATTCTCATTCTAGAAGGTTTATAAAAAATGTTTTTTTAATTAACCTAGGAAATGGCTTTGGACTTTTATTGTTATTCTGTTAAAAAAACCTAATTAAAAGATGTTCTTAATTAAAAAGTACTGGAGAAAACATGTATTAGAATGGCAGGTATGAAAAAAGGTAAGATACTGTTAATATGGCAGTGTTAGATTTCAGACCAAACTTAGGGGAAAGAGTATCCAAAGTCAGATGTATCCTTAAAAGTCACTTAGCAGCATTCCTTCCTTGCAGAGACCATGAACTTGGCTTTCTGATGTGTTCATTTTCACCATGCCTAGTGCAAATTAATGTGAATGAATAGTTACAAAGGGGAGTTTCTTTTTTTCCTTCCTTTCACTGCCTTTGACCCTTCTGCACATTTGGCGGTAGAGTACGACATTCAGAATTTAGGGATTCTGTGTGTGCCATCTGGGATGCATGTATTTTTTAAATTGTTTATGTGATATATACATGATACAGCCCAGGGAAAACATGCTTTATTGTGCATTTTGAAAGCTTTGCATCTTTTTGTCTTCCTGCATTACTTCTCATTTTACCCTCTGCCAGTCTAAACACTGTTGTCTTTCACGTTTGACCTTCTCTAAGAGTTCTGCTCTAGTTCTGTCGTTGAACCTCTCTCCTCTCTAAACTTCTTTAGTACTGAGGACTGTACTAGTTTAGCAGCAATGCCATGCTTTCTTATGTCCTTTGGTTGTAAATTTGAGGCATTTTTGTTTTTTTCTTCCAAATTAACATTTTCTTTCCCTGCCATCTAGCACAAGGACTGTGAATGGAGTGAACTAAAAGAACATTTTGTTTAAGCAAGCCATGGTGTTCATTGAATGCCTTCTCTGTGCCAGTCACTAGGGCTATAATTGTGGATGAAATAGAAAAACAGACTCTGCCCTGGAAGATCAGAGTCTAGTACAGCAGTTTAAAGTGTGATGGAATTTCAATTTAAAATGTCCCCTTCATGGTAATCAGTGATGCACATTTACAGCTCCACTAAAAGGAGAAGCTCCAGTGGGGCATAGCTCTTTGTTTCAGTCACTGACATATCCCACATGCCTGGTGCAATGACCAGTAAATAGTAAGTGCTCAATAAATAATTATTAAATTAACTTTTAAAAGTTTTTATGTAGAGTTATTCCTGCAGGGCTGTGATTATAGGCAAATCATAGTGTGTATACCTTCTACCTTTTTTAGTGTATCTCCCACTCTTGTACCCCAGAAAAACTAGTCTTGAGTATCCTTCCAGAAATGTTGTATTCCAGTCTTGTGTATCCTTCCAGAAGTATTATAAATATTATATTATTATCCTTCCAGAAAAATCAGTCTTGAGTATCCTTCCAGAAATACTATATGTGCTTGATATTTATTTATTTATATTTATTTTGAGGCAGGGCCTCACTCTGTTGCCCAGAATGGAGTGCACTGGTGCTATCACAACTCACTGCAGCCTCCACCTCCCAGGCTCCAGCAATCCTCCCACCTCAGCCTCCTGAGTAGCTGGAGCCACAGGCACGTGCCACCATGCCCCACTCATTTCTTTTACTTTTTGTAGAGGTAGGGTTTCACCATGTTGTCCTGGCTGGCCTCGAACTTCTGAGCTCAAGCAATCTTCCTCCCTTGGCCTCCCAAAGTGCTGGGATTAGAGGTGTGAGCCACTGCGCCCAGTCTGTACTTTGTTTTCTATATGAGTATAGCCTATTTATTTTTTTCTCTGAAAATATATTAGATAGTTCCATATCTGTATATAGTCATATTATTTTTGGTGACTACATAGTATTTTATTGTCTGGAGAGATCATAATTTATTTAACCAGAAACCTACTGATGAACATTTGAGTAATTTCTGATCTTTTGCTCTTACAAGCAATACTACAATAAATATACTTGCTCAACAGTCATTTTACAACCCCTGAATGTAGGACTTTTAGTATACATTCTTAAAAGTGTAATTTCTATAAGAGTCAAAGAGCTTATGCGTTTGTAATTTTGATAGTATTGCCAAATTGTCCTCTACAGAGAGTGTGAGTGTGCCATTTTACTGTACTCTTACTAACACTGTGTTGTTTTCAAACTGATGTTTTCTGTTTTGATAGGTGAAAAAATTTCTCTCTTTTGGCTTTAACATGCATTTCTTTTATGTGAATAAATTGGAACATATTTTTATATGTTTATGAGCTAGTTTTATTTCCTTTTATGTATTGTGCCTTTATAACATGCTCAGTTTTAAATTTGTCTATTGGCCTTTATCTTACTGATGTATAGTTGCTCTTTATATATTTAGAAAAACATTCCTTGGCTGTTCTTGCTTGTTTATATTTCCATGTGTATTATAGAAACAGCTTTTCTAGTTACTAACCCCATTCATCTAAAAAATGATCCCTTTGGTCTTTTTATTTATATTATGTCCAATTTCTAGATGAATTTAGAAAGTACTGACATTTCTGTGATGTTCAGTCTTATTTCCTAAGAACATAATTTCTCTTTACATCTGTTTTTTATTTTTAAAAAGTAATTTTTTTTTTTAATAGAGATGGGGGTCTTGATTTCTTGCCCAGGCTGGTCTTGAATGCCCGACTTTAAGTGATCTACCACCTTGGTCTCCCAAAGTGCTGGGATTATAGGCGTGAGCCTCTACACCTGGCCTATTTAAGGTTTCTTGATGAAAAAATTAATGACATGTTAAAAATAACCTAGAATATCTTTTTAAAAATATGACATAAAGGGAAGATATATTTCATTTAATATTCATATTTTATTAAAATATCAATTCTTTCTAAAATAACAATTATAAAATTCAGAAGCTTAGATTAAACATTTCCTTTCTGATCATTTTCTTCTCTTTTGGCAGGCCCTGAAGAGGAAAGTGAGGATGACTCTCATCTCGAAGGCAGGGATCCTGATATTTGGCATGTTGGTTTTAAGATCTCATGGGACATAGAGACACCTGGTTTGGCGATACCCCTTCACCAAGGAGACTGCTATTTCATGCTTGGTAATCTTTGGAAAATCAAAATTATATTGAAACTCTAGTGTCTAAATTTAGATTATAGGATTTATATTTTGAGTATGTCTTATGAAATAAACTTTTGGAGTATTTTATATTAAGAGCGAAACTTCTTTATAAGAACATGTAACTAGGTTTTTCTTTTTTGAGATATTGCTGATTTTTTGAGATGGAGCTTCACTCTTGTTGCCCAGGCTGGAGTGCAGTGGCACAATCTCTGCTCATTGCCGTTTCCACCTCCTGGATTCAAGCAATTCTCCTTCCTCAGCCTCCCAAGTAGCTGGGATTACAGGCACACACCAACACACCCAGTTAATATTTTGTATTTTTAGTAGAGATGGGTTTCACCACGTTGGCCAAGCTGGTCTCAAACTCCTGACCTCAGGTGATCCACCTGCCTCGGTCCCCCAAAGTGCTGAGATTTACAGGACCATGCCCGGCCCAATTAAAAGTTGTTTTTCTTTTTATTCTACATAGATGCAGAGTTCCTCAAATATGCTAAACAATTTTCTGGATTCTTTATCAGAGATATTAAATCATCCAAGTCAAATTATAACTTTAAAAAATACTTTCCTGTCCGTATTAGTTTTTAGTAGTGAGAGTTTTTTTTTTTTTTCTTCTAGTTTTGAATGTTGTTTCTTCTCAGGAACAGCTGACCTGACAATGGGGCCTTTCTCTCGACTTGTCATTTAGTTCTTTGGGAAGCAGTTTCTCAGTTGTGGTTAGGCCAACTGAAGCTGTGGAGTTTGTGAGGCTTTGTTTTTTTCTTCTTTGCTGTAAGTTTTTAATTTTATTTTTGGACTTTCTACTTGTTTTCTAATGCGCAATGTGTAAACAGTATCATTTTTTACTCACAAAGCTTCTCAGGGTTTATTCTCTACTTG
The DNA here is from genome assembly GCF_000001405.40 of Homo sapiens. Classification (NCBI taxonomy): domain Eukaryota; kingdom Metazoa; phylum Chordata; class Mammalia; order Primates; family Hominidae; genus Homo; species Homo sapiens. The sequence goes on from NC_000016.10 coordinate 53,845,195, forward strand.
GCTCTTGTTCCTGATTATTTGGGGTTTATCTCACTCCTATCTACCTGGAGAAATCTACTCATATGTTGCTTTTGGAGCCAGGAAGAACCAGGGCTGAAGCCCAGTATTTATGATAACAGTTGATTCCCAGTTAATTGGGTATTTTAGAGTCTACTATGTTCCAGGTACTGTGTAAGGTTCCAGGGGAGATATTGGAGGTGGATGAATCTTGGTTCTTGCCTTTTGGGAATTCGGAGTACAGAATAGCTCTTTAGGCCATTCTGCCACTAAGCATTTTCCAAATTTTAGCTCATTGCCTATGAACTTCAAGGTTTTGGTCACAATCATGTACTTCTGCCTAAATAAAGTAACTTTTAATCTTTCACTGAATTGAATTTATTTTAAAAGGAGATTTTACATCACTATCTTAAATGGGAATCCAGTATCACTAGGTATAATTAGAAGGGCTTTAGAAATATAAATATAGAGAAACCAAAACAGTACTAAGGGCCTGCTACTTTTGTTTGCCGGAGATCCTGAGTCTGAGTCCTATTCTGTGTTTGTTAAAAGAGGAGATTAGTAACAGAGAGGTGTTAACTGTATAGTGGTACCAGTCTGAGACTTTCTCCTTAATGTCTGCAGGAGGATTGGGAGATCATTATGTAGGGTCTCTTTCAAATAGTGTGATTTAATGGCACTTAATGTGATGTCCCTTTACCTCTTAAATTCTTCTCATGGGGAGATTCCTGCATTTCTTGAACACTGATCTAAGTATGCCCTTCATCTCTTGCCTTCCATGTGAACATTGCTTTGCAGTTTACACATCAGTTTCACACAAGCAGCCCCAATCTCCTGTCAGCTTTGTGAGGGAGATGGCAGAGATTGTTCTTTTTTTAAGTGATCTTCCTAAAGTCACTTAGTTATGAGGTAGAACAGGGACCAGAATGGGTGGCAGGCATCTTATGCAGTGCTTTTCCTACTCTAAATGGGGCTATTTCAACCTGATCCCAATATACTGAAATCTCTATGTGGGAATGTTTTCAGTGTTAAGGTTCTCTCTTCCCCACTGTCTCTCCTGCCTGATCTCAGGAAGTAAGTTTATTTTTTAAAGTCCCTACCCCATCATTGAGTGTCATTTGTAGGTAAACATTGTTTCATTTTTTTTTGTACCACGCAAATACAGATATTTGGCCTGAGTCTTAATAGATGTTAGTATCAGCCAGTAAATCACTTTCCTTTGGATACTTTGTTCAGAAGTTTCTATTAGCAATGTATATCTTTCAAAGAAATAAGAGCCAGAATGTTATCTTTTAAAATAGCTTTTACTTTTTAAAAATATAAAAGTGGCTGGGTGCTATGGCTCACACCTCTAATCCCAGCACTTTGGGAGGCCGAGGCAGGTGGATCACCTGAGGTCAGGAGTTCAAGACCAGCCTGGCCAACTTGATGAAACCCCCCGTCTCCACTAAAAATAAAAAATTAGCTGGGTGTGGTGGCACGTGCCTGTAATCCCAGCTACTGGGGAGGCTGAGGCATGAGAATTGCTTGAACCCGGGAGGTGGAAGTTGCAGGGAGCTGAGATTGCACCACTGCACTCCGGCTTGAGCAACAGAGCAAGACTCAGTCTCAAAAAAAAAAAAAAAAAAAAAGTAAATAAGTACTCTAAAAATTCAGCTATATTCCATATATTTAATAACATCTTGTGTGTTCTTTTCTGATTAAAAAAGCAATATGTGCTTATTTGAGAGAAAAGAAACTCTGGAAAAAAGAGTCTGAAATGAAGAAAGAATATAAAAATCAGGTTAATGCCTGATTTAATATATTTCTTTTCAGTCTTTTTCTGTATATGTATGTCTGGAATTATAGTAGTAATATGAATAAAACCAGATTTACTGGGAATTAATGACAAACATTCTTTTAATCTTCTCAGCAATCCTGAGAAACAAATATTAGCTATACTGCAAAAGAGGAAATTGAGGTTAAATTTATGTAGTTACTTAACCGTGGCTGCACAGCTAGTAAGAAGCATGGATTGTATCTTGTCATCTTATCCCACTCGGGGTCTGACATCCCATGTCAGGCCAGCCCTCCTTCTCCCGTAGGGATGCCCTCCTCACCCTACTCAGCGCTGAACGCTGCTCAGGGTTCCTGTGCCTTCTTCTTCCCACCTGGCATGATGCCTCCGCCTCACCTAATGGCTTTAAGACTAAATTGTTCAGGAAGGGAAGAAAAGAAGTTAATGATATTCTGTTTGTTTCTTTTCTGTTCTTCTTAAGGTTATGGGTTTCTCAGGGTTTAAGAACTGGATTATAGGCCAGGCGCAGTGGCTCACACCTGTAATCCCTGCACTTTGGGAGGCTGAGGTGGGCGGATCACCTGAGGTCAAGAGTTTGAGACCAGCCTGGCCAACATGGTGGGACCCTGTCACTACTAAAAATACAAAAATTAGCCGGGTGTGGTGGTGGATGCCTGTAATCCCAGCTACTCTGGAAGCTGAGGCAGGAGAACTACTTGAACCCGGGAGGCAGAGGTTGCAATGAGCCGAGATCACGCCATTGCACTCCAGTCTGGGCAAGAAGAGGGAAATTCCATCTCAAAAAAAAAAAAAGCGCTGTATTTTAATGAAAATATTAAATAATGACATTATTCATTGGATTTTGGTGTTATAATGAGTATACACTGTAAAATATACATTGGGTCCCTTGAGCTATTGTACATGATAAACAGAAGAAGTTAGCATTATTTTATAGGAGCTGATATCCAAGACATAATATAAAATCTACTCTTGATTTCCCATGTCTTATTTTTAGATGTAGGTGATATAGTTGGTATCCTACTGAACTGTGCCAAACACAGCACAATATATCCCAAAGTCTGCACTTAGAATATATATTTTTATTAGGATTTATTATTTTTATTTTATTTGATTTCTGAAATGAATCTTCCTTCATCTCTTTTTTTTAAAAAGTCAAAAGTAAAAGCAACCATGGTCTAATGCTGCCTTTTCTCTTTACTTTTAAATCCAAATAGCACAAGGAGCCCCGTAGAGGGAGGGACTTCGGCCCCGTGCTGATATCTGAAATCTGAACTTCATAGCACTTATGAAAAGGAAACAGTTTAGCTCAATTTATAATAATATATTGGTCTGCAGAGGAAGTGCAGGCTGAACCCTGCTGTCTCAAGTAAATACTCCAGGGGTGTCTGATGGGGAACGTGTCGGGTGCCTGTAATAAATCCACTGCCCATGGAAGTGAGTGAAGGCCTTGTTGGCAGTGCCTGAGGACATGCTTAACTAAGGTTGTCACGGTTTTACTTTTAAATTGGAATCTTTGCCCTAATCTCAGAGTTAGACATGACCAGATTTGCAAACAGATTTACAATTTTCACTAATTTTCCAACCAGGACTTCAAAACACACTCAGAGAAAAAAAAATACACTCTGGTCTTTCTCAGAGTAGGATGATTTACTTTGCCACAGATGTTTTCCATAGACTGAATGTAACCAGGGAGTTAGGGACTTAAAAGTGGCTTGGAGACAAACCATGGGTTTGTTTTTTGTGGAACAGATTATACAGTTCAAGGGACATCAACACAATTATGTTTATTAACCAGGAGCTGGGTGTGGAGGTGGGATGTTTCAGGACAAAGGTGAGTGCTAGGTAAACATTTGGGGCAAAAACCCTCTCTTCCTCCCTTAATTTGTTATTGTTATTCTTTACATGTCACCATTCATGACTCTGTTCTCTCTGCTCTATTTACATTTGTTTCTTAAGCACAACTAAATCTCACTTTCAAGTATTTGTTGTTACTATACCAATCAGCAGTTTCAAAACTTAAGTTGCCAGGTAAAAATTCCACTGCAAAAAAAGAAAACTGCAATAGAAATGTAAATGCATAGCCCTTCTTTTTTGGTTTTTCTTTACCTTGTCAACAGTTTAGGGTAGAGTTGTGAAAGGACCATAGGATTTCTATCAGGTAACCAGGTCCCAGACTCACCGCATTGTCAATTGCCTGTGTATTGCTAGTGCCTCTCTTAGTCTCTGCCTTCACTGTAAAATGGGAGCTTAATGATACTTCCTTCTCAGAGTTTTTGGGAGTACAAATAAGAAAATGTATGGGAATAGGCTTTGCAAGCTATAATTTGTAAGTGCAGACTTGTGAAGAGTGGGAACTGGACCATGGCATATTGGAGAACCAGTGAGACGACTGGGTGATAGAAGAATGCTGAATGCTGTGTTCGTATCCTGCTTCATGCCCAGAGTTTTGTCACCTTCACAAAATACCATTCCATACGTATATTTGCTACATATAGGAACTACAAGAAAGGGAAGTTTTACCAATGGATTCTTGAGGGTGAGGAGAATTAATATCTGGTCCATTGGTTATCAGAGCCCTGTAGTAATCAGTCTTACTTTGGTGGAGGCCAGCTTTACTTTTAGAGCCTGGCCAGTAGTTTTTTATAGATTAAGTTCACCTTCCTTGAAATACCTATGGCTTAGAGGCAGCAAGACCCAGAGCACAGAAATATTTGATGTGGTCTAAACTGTAAATTGCCATGCTTCTGTTTTTTGACTCAACATGGCCACTCCCACTGGAGTCTGTAGCCCTGTGAGCAGGAAGAACAGAGGTCTCCAGGAGTTTAGACTCTTAAGCGGGGGCTCCCTTGGGACTGAACATGGAAACTGTGGTATCTTTGTAAATCCTCCAGGTGTCCCTCAGTTTTGCCCTGATTTAGACATTTTATTCAAAGGAAAAAGCTTTTGTTATTTCTTTCTCTGACCCCATTCCCTTCCTCACCAACCTCTGAATGACCAGCTAAAGTAAAAAGTACACATAATTTATGGCTTAATCATAAATTTAAAATAATTATACTTTATTACCTCTCATGGGTCTTGAAATGTAGGTGCTATGTTCTGCTTTCTGCCGAGGCAAGGGAATAATACAGAAACCAGTAATAAATTATAACTTCAGGCTGCAGTTGGTAAGCTGGAGGAATTGCTATTTAAGTGGAAAGTGCTTGAACAGCCAAATGAGCACCTGTCATGTTTATTTTCACTTTGAAAAGTAGAAACATGACAGTATAGTTTCCACTGCCTATCCAATATGAACTTCTGGCATTCTTGTTATCTTCTCAGGAACTGCACTGTTTGCTTCTTGTGTTCAATTTTTTTTTTTTTCCAGGGATGAGGATGTATCTCTCCTCCTGAAACTTTCACTCTAAAATATGCCCCCAAATACTGACATTTTCAAGCTTGTGCTTTTTTACTTGATATCTGATTTTTTTTAAATTTTTATTTAATAGGGAGAAGGTCATGACTTATGGAATTTACTCTAAGGATAGGGATCTGAGCAGGTTCCTGAGTACTTGAAAGGCTTTATTTACCTCTTACACTTTTTTGTTACATCCAGGTTTTTGCTCATTTCTCTATCATTTGTGTCTTGAACTTTACCTGAAATGCATGTCTTGAGTGCCTACTAAGGTCCAGGCATTGTGCTGGCAGATTTGATATATTTTTGTTTATTCCTTATTACAGGACTATTACATAGTAGACTCTCATTCTGACACTCACTTTTTTTTTCCAGAAAAAAAAATTAATGGAGATTGATTGCTAATGGGTACAGGGCTGCTTTTAAGGCTATGAAAATGCTCTAAAATTAGTTTGTGGTGATGGTTGCACATCTCTGAACGTACTAAAATACATTGAATTATATACTTTCTTTTTTCTTCGTTTTGCAGCTTTTGCTCAAAGGAGAATTAGATATTTAAAATGAGTGAATTGTATGGTACATGAATTAGATCTCAATAAAACTATTTTAAAAAAAGAAACTAAAGCTTAGAGAAGTATAATATCTTGTTCAATATGACACTACCTGGTAAAGCTTTTGTCCAAATTTTTCTGAGACCAAAGCTATTCTTTCTTCCACTGACGCATGCTATCTCTACTAATTATATAGCCACGGTATCCTTTTTCTTTAAAAATGTAGGAAAAAATGGCTGGGTGCGGTGGCTCACGCCTGTAATCCCAGCACTTTGGGAGGCCAAGGCGGACGGATCTCTTGAGGTCAGGAGTTTGAGACCAGCCTGGCCAACATGGTGATACCCCACCTCTACTAAAAAAAAAAAAAAAAAAAAAAAATTAGCCAGGTGTGGTGGCGTGCACCTGTAATCCCAGCTACTCGGGAGGCTGAGGCATGATAATCACTTGAACCTGGGAGGCAGAGGTTGCAGCGAGTCAAGATTGCACCACTGCACTCCAGCCTGGGCAACAGAGTGAGACTCCGTCTCAAAAAAAAAAAAAGGAAAAAAAATAATTGGAGAAATAATACATGAACACACATGTATTCTCATTCAAACTTTGTGGAACTATATGAAATAAAATGTAGACATTCTCTTTCCCCTTGCTTTCCCATCTGGTCCTTTGTAAGTGTTAGCGTAAAGATAGTTATGTTGACATATTTAAATATATGTTGCTGCTGCTGTATTTTTAAAAAACATAAATGATACTTTATTATAAATATTACTCTAGTGTTTGTTTTTTGTACATAATATGTGCTGGAAATTTTTTTATGTCAGTATGTCATTCATATTATTATTGTTATTATAAAAATACTACATGCACAAGGAAATAAAAATTGAAAGATTTAAAATGGAAAGTTGAGGAAGATCTAAAATGGAAAGTGAAAAACTCCACCTATCCCCAAGTTCCATCCCTTAGAGGTAACTGCTTTTCACTGTATTTGCGTTTTATTCTTTGATTACCTCCCTAACCCTTAAACATATATATACTTGTACTTTTATTTCTTTAATAACTTTAAGCATTCTTGGTTGTTGATCAGTTAAGAATGACAGAAACAGGCAGATTGCTGGAGCCCGGAAGTTTGAGTCCAGCCTGGGCAACATGGCAAAACTCTGTCTCTACAAAAAATACAAAAAAAAAAAAAAAAAAAGCCAGGTAAGCCAGGTATGGTGGCAAACACCCGTGGTCACAACTACTTGGGAGGTTGAAGTGGGAGGATCAGCTGAGCTCGGGAGGTTGAGCCTAAAGGGAACTGTGATCGCGCCACTGCACTCCAGGCTGGGTGACAGAGCAAGACCTTGTCTCAAAAAAAAAGAAAAGAAAAAGAAAAAAGAATTATGGAATTAGTGCTCTGATACTACCTCTCACTCTTGCCAAATTTGGCTAGTTAACCTTTACTTTTAGGGGTTTATTTCCTTAATTACTTTCCTTAGAACCAGTTTATAGATACTTTCTCTTGAATTTTAGTGTGTAATGTGGGGAATTAAAGTTCTCTTTCAGCCATGTCATTACTTTGACATGATTGAGGTTTACAACTTTACATACAGATCTGTAATTTTGATAAGACAAGCACGCTTATAAGTTGATCTGAAATTAGAAAGCCAGTACATAATGATGTTGATGTAAGTGTTGTTTATTGCAAAATGAGATAGAGTGATGGAATTAATAGGTAGAAAATGTAATCTACTGTAACTATCCAACCTGCGCCAATGAATGAAGAATACTGCACATGTCAGGTCAAGATTTTATACTTAATCAAAAGCTCAAAATTATGTACATTTTAGCTTGCTTTGTATTTGAATCATGACTTTGTTGCATAGTTTCCCTCTCCCCCTGGAGACTTATATTCGTCTTTTTTTTTACTCTTACTGATAGAAGAAGCATGCTATAATGATTGCTCAATATCACTAGATGTTTCGTCATGTGACTTGTTCAGTGTTTGATAAACACTGGCTTCTTCATACCCCACCTACCACAGTTATCATACTGGGATTTCTTCTCATTGGACACCTTTGCCAATTCCATTAAAAAATCATTTTAGGCTAGGTGCGGTGGCTCACGCCTGTAATCCCAACACTTTGGGAGGCTGAGGCGGGCGGATCACCTGAGGTTGGGAGTTTGAGACCAGCCTGGCCAACATGGCGAAACCCCATCTCTACTAAAAATACAAAAATTAGCCAGGTGTCGTGGCAGGCACCCGTAGTCCTAGTGCCTGTTTTAGTTACTGGGGAGGCCGAGGCCAGAGAATCCCTTGAACCTGTTAGGCGGTGGTTGCAGTGAGCCAAGATCGCACCATTGCACTCTAGCCTGGGTGACAGAGCAGGACTTTGTCTCAAGAAAAAAAAATGTATTTTAAATTTCAGTAGCCTTAGGGATATAAGCAGTTTTTGGTTCCATGGATGATTTGTATAGTGTTGAAGTCTGGTATTTTAATGTACCTGTCACCTGAGTAGTATACATCTGATAAGTGTTTTGTTTTTTTTTTCATCCATCACCCCCCTCCCATCCTCCTCTCTTCTGAATCTCCAGTGTCCATTGTACCACTCTCTACACCTTCATGTGCCCATAGCTTAGTGCCCACTTACAAGTGAGAACATGCAATATTTGTTTGTCCATTCCTGAGTTACTTCACTTAGAATAATGGCCTTCAGTTTCATCCACGTTGCTGCAAAAGACATGATTTCATTTTTTTTAATGACTGAGTAGTATTTCATGGTATATATACATGCCACATTTTCTTTATCTACTCAACAGTTGTTGGGCACTTTGGTTGATTCCATATCTTTGCAATTGTGAAATGTGCTGCAATAAACATATGCGTGCAGATATCTTTTTGATATAATGACTTCTTTTTCAGGTAGATACCCAGCAGTGGATTGTTGGGTCAAATGGTAGAGTTACTTTTAGTTCTTTGAGAAATCTCCATACTGTTTTCCATGGAGGTTGTAGTAATTTACATTTCCACCCCCAGTGTATAAGCACTCCCTTTTCACTACATTTCTAGCAACATCTATTATTTTTTGACTTTTTAATAATGGTCATTCTGGCTAGGATAAGGTGATATCTCATTGTGGTTTTAATTTGCATTTCTTTGATGATATGTGATATTGAGCATTTTTTCATATGTTTATTGGCCATTTGTATATTTTCTTTTGAGAAATGTCTATTCATGTCATTTGCCCACTTTTTAGTGGGATTATTTGTTTTTTTTCTTGCTGATTTGTTTGGATTCCTTATAGGTTCTTTGTCAGATGCATAGCTTGCAAATATTTTCTCCCATTCTGTAGGTTGTCTGTTTACTCTGATAATTATTTATTTTGTTGTGCAGAAGCTTTTTAGTTTAAGTAGGTCCCGTTTATTTATTTTTTGTTGCATTTGCTTTTGGGGTCCTATTCATAAATTCTTGCCTAGCCCAATGTCTAGAAAGAGTTTTCTTCTAGAATTTTTATGGGCTCAGGTCTTAGATTTAAGTCTTTAATCCATGTTGAGTTAATTTTTGTATATGGTGAGACACAGGGATCCAGTTTCATTCTTCTACATGTGGCTATCCAATGTTCCCGCACTGTTTTGAATAGGGTGTCCCTTTTCCAGTATATCCTTTGTCGAAGATCAGTTAGTTGTAAGTATTTGGCTTTATTTATGGCTTCTCCATTTTGTTCCATCAGTCTGTGTATCTACTTTTATACCAGTACCATGCTGTTTTAGTTACTACAGCTTTGTGGTATAATTTTAAGACAGATAATGTGATGCCTCCAGATTTGTTCTATTTGTTTAGGATTCATTGGCTATTCAGGCTCTTTTTTGGTTCTGTATGAATTTTAGGATTATTTTTTTCTAATTCTGTGACAAATTACATTGGTATTTTGATAGGAATTGCATCAAGTCTGTAAATTTGTTTGGGCAGTATGGTCATTTTCATGATATTGATTCTTCCAATCCGTGAGTATGGGATGTATTTCTATTCATTTGTGTCATCTATGATTTCTTTCATCAGTGTTTTATAGTTCTCTTTGTAGAGATCTTCTACTACCTTGGTCAAGTTTATTTCTAGGTACTTTATTATTATTATTTTTTTTAGCTATTATCAAAGGGATTGAGTTCTTGATTTGATTCTCAGCTTGGTCATTGTTAGTGCATTGCAGTGCTACTGATTTGTGTACATTGATTTTGTAACCCAAAACTTTACTGAATTTGTTTTTCAAATCTAGGAGTCCTTGGAAGTGTTGTTAGGATTTTCTACCTACACAATCATATTACTGGCAAACAGAGATAGTTTGACTTCCTCTTTTCAATTTGGATGCCCTTTATTTCTTTCCTTTGCCTGGTTGCTCTGGCTGGGACTTCCTGCCAATTCCACTTTTACTTGGATCATTTGTATTTCTCTTTCTTAGAATTTTCTAAAAATTCTGTTATATTTAAATTTTCTAAAAATTATACCATATTTTAGATTCTTCCAGGCAAGGACTGTTTTAGCTTTGTATCCTGTACAGCACCTAACACAGTACTTTGAATATGGCTGGTGCTTACTAAGTATTTGTTGAACTAATAAGTGAATGAATGAACCAAGAACTGGCTTTTTTTTTTCATTTCATGGTAGTGTGTCTTGGTTATACAAGCAAAAGGAAGTATTAATTCTATCCTTGAAAGCCCCTGCCTGGGAAAGGTTTTGAAATTCCTTCTCAAACAGATGGCCATTCACCTAATGCTTGGAGATTACCAGAGACAGAATTTAGAATCTTCCATGGCAGCCTATTCTTTTTCACAGTAACTCATGCTTCTTTTCCTTACATCTAGTCTAACTAACCACGTGACATCACAGAACTTTCTAAAGAGACACAGTATCTGGATCCATCTGTACATTCCCTTCTAAATTTTTTTATAAGAAAACCATCAAAGATAAAAATAATGTGTTGGTTTCTTTTAGGCTGAGGAGGAATGTTTTACTATGCATTTTGAAATTTTTTTGTTCTCTCATATTTCATTCAATTAGAGTCACCCTGTTTTGGGGTAATTCTGCATCTGAGTTTGGTGGTGGAATTTTTCCCATTGGCTAACAGTCTTCATATGCCCTCTTTGGCCACCTGTCTATTGAACATAATTCCCAAAGGCATGAGCTATAGAAAATTTTTTTTTTTAGGCCTTTATGTAGGTTGTATATCCTGTGTGTGTTATTTGCCACTCCTGTAAAGACAGTGGAAGAATGACTGTGAATGATGCCATTATTTTTTTCAGTCGATCTTTATTGAAGGTTCGAATTTAGGACTAGGCCGGGAATGAGTTTGACTTTCCTCATCTAGTCAGTCCCAGCAGCACGTTTCAAGGTCAGACTATATACCTCATGCTGGAAGGTTCCTTAGACTTTGTAATCTAAGCCCAATAAACATCTTTTTTTTTTTTTGGGGGGGGATATTTATTTACCAAATAAATAGGACAGCACACAGCCATCCGTGAAGGTGATAAGAGCTTTGACTAGTTTTATAAATCTTCCCCTAAATATAATTTTCTATGGGAGTGAAAACTCTTTTATAAAAACAATTGAGAGACCGAGGCAGGTGGATCACTTGAGGTCAGGAGTTCGAGACCAGCCTGGGCAACATGGTGAAAGGCTGTCTCTACTAAAAATACAAAAATTAGCTGAGTGTGGTGGCGTGTGCCTGTAATCCCAGCTACTCGAGAGGCTGAGGCAGGAGAATCACTTGAACCCAGGAGGCAGAGGTTGCAGTGAGCTGAGATCGCGCCACTACACTCCAGCCTGGGTGACAGAGCCAGACTCCATCTCAAAAAAAAAAACAAGCATGGAGGTGAAGATGATCTCAAGGTACATAAGATACATACCTAAAGGTACAAAGATATAAATCATAGTCCTTGGTCAATTCATTATAGTGGTTTTGTAGTCTGTCCTACAGTTGGTTGGGGTAACAACCTCTTTTCTTATTTTTGTTCACACTGCTCTCTCTACCCCCTCATCTAGGTATGTGTATAGCTCATTTATTTAGGGGTGATGTTAAAAAATTGAATGCCCTTAATGGCAAGGGAACCAACCAATCAATGTGGATGCCACAACTTTTTCCCCTGTTGACTGTTGTTATTGGTATGGAAGTATTTTTTTTTTCTCCCAGCTTTTATTTCAGGTTCAAGGGATACATATGCAGGTTTGTTACATGGGTAAATTGCATATTGTAGGGGTTTAGTATACAGATTATTTCATCACCCAGGTAATAAGCGTAGTACCTGATAGATAATTTTTCGATCCTTACCCTCCTCCCACCTTCCACCCTCAAGTGGGCCCTAGTGTCTGTTGTTCCTTTCTTTGTGTCCATGTTTACTCAGTGTTTAGCTCCCACTTATAAGAGAGAACGTGCAGTATTTGGTTTTCTTTTCCTGCGTGAATTCACTTAGGATAAGGGCTTCTAGCTGCTTATGTCACCTACTTATGTCACCTACTACTACTAAGCTTTTTGAGAACCTGGTCTCTCTCTCTCTCTCTCTCTCTCTCTTTCTATATATATATAGGAAGTCCTGGATTCTGGGGCTTCGAGGGCTGACCTGGAGCCTGAGTCCACAAGGGCATACCTGGTGCTAGAGTAGGCTTGGAGCCTTCGTCTTTGGAGGCCACCCTATCACTGGGGTTCACTGGGGTGGACCTCTGCTTGGTTTACAGAGAAGTTGGGTACTCACTTCATTCTCCTTCCCCCACACAAAGGGTATCCCTCTTGACACTGTGCTGCTCAGGCTTCAGGGAGAGGTGACGTAGGTAATTTGAAACTGTTCTTCCTACTCATCAATGTGTCTTTTCTTATTTCTGTGCTCCATCCAGGCAATGTAATCTTTAACCTGGATTCCTTTGCTCTTATAAAGGTATTCTGTGCATGGATAGTTATTCAAATTGATGTTTCTACAAGGAGACAAGTGCTATTCTGACATCTTGCTTGAAAGTAAGGGATTAATTTTTAAACCAGTTTTTAACAATTATTTTCAAGAACTGTTTAGTGATAAGAAAACAATGCTCAAAATATAAAAGTATCAGGGAAAAAAGATGCAAAATGTTTGTACAACATGATATTAATTTTATATAAACAAAGGATAAACATATTACTAAGTATAAAAAAAAACTAGAAGGAATTAGACCAAATAATTATAAATAATATTTTCTCTTCTTTACACTTTTCTATAGTTTGCAAATTCTCTACAATGAGCATGTACCCTAATTCATCAGTTCCAAGGTAGACATTTTTTCTTCATATTTAACATCTCTGAAATTGGAATCCATCTTAAACTGATGCCTTCTTTGACTGGATGATATATTATTACTTTTAAATTAAGCAATACAAACTTTAAAAATAAGTATCCTTATGTTTTAAAGCTTCAAACGGAAATGTTCAATAAAGAGATTCTCAGGAAAGAGGTATTCATTCACCAAATAAATAGGACAGTAAACAGTGATCAGTGAAATTGGTAAGAGCTTTGGCTAGTTTTGTAAATCTTCCCCAAAATAAAATTTTTCCATGGAAGTGAAAAGTCTTTCAACAAAACAAGTATAGAGATAAAGATAATCTCAAGGTACATAACTTCCCCTCTCCTTCTCCCCTTTTTTTAGAATTAACTTTTATGGAATGCTCAGTTTGTTGATGGGTTTTGAAGAGAATAGATTCTTGAGGTTAATAATTGATTTTTGCTTTGCTTTCTTTTCTTTTTTTTTCCTTTTTGTGAGACGGGGTCTTGATCTGTCACCCAGGCTGGAGGGCAGTGGTGGGATCTCGGCTCACTGCAACCTCCGCCTCCTGGGTTCAAATGATTCTCCTGCCTCAATCTCCTGAGCGGCTGGGACTATAGGCTCGTGCCACCACGCCCAGCTGATTTTTGTATTTTTACTAGAGACGGGGTTTCACCATGTTGGCCAGGATAGTCTCGATCTCTTGACCTCATGATCCGCCCACCTCGGCCTCCCAAAGTGCTGGGATTACAGGCATGAGCCACCTTGCCTGGCCGATTTTTGCTTTCTAAATAAGCAAAAAGATCTTTAATCCACTTTAGCCAGGGCTACCTTTCTCCTTTATTCTTCCAAGTTGTAACTCTTCCCAGGAGACTGCAGAGTATAGCGAGTTGGGGAAAAGGAAAGATGAGAAGGGAGAGAGGTTAGATTGACAGAAAAGATAATTAAATGGTTTTCTCCATTTTCCCCTTTGTATGTGCAGAGCCCATCACTTCTGCCCACAGTTCCACTAAACTGTGAAGACCAGAATCTCTCAAAGTTAATGAATGAAACAGAAGAAGCCACTTCAACCTCCAATTTCTGTTTCTATGTCTTCTGACCTCCTTCTTTACACATCCTATCTCATATCCAATTTTCCATTAGCAATTAAGAAGGATAGCTATGGTTTCTGGCTAATACCTGGGGAGAGAAAAAGGATGTTCTCTCCAAATATGTGGTAAGTTTCTAGTATGTGCAAGGTTCTACATGCTGTGTGTAGTATAAAAATATATATCACTATATATCATATCAATGATATATATATTTCATTATATGATTTATATATCATATAAATATATATCACTGTATATTAAATATATTTTAATGATATTTATATATATATCATATATAACTCATAAAACTCAATAGCAGGTTAACAAGTAACCTGACCTAAAAACGAGCAAAGGACTTGAATAGACATTTCTGAAAAGGAGACATATGAATGCTCAACATGTATATGAAAATGTGCTCAACATCTAGTCATCAGTGAAATCTAAATCAAAACCACAATGAGATATTACTTCACACTTGTTACAATAACTATTATACAATAGACAATAGATAACAAGTGTTGGTGAGGATGTGGAGAGAAGGGAACCCTTGTACACCATTGGTGGGAGTGTAAATTGGTATAGCCATTGTGGAAAACTGCATGGAGGTTTCTCAAACAGTTAAAAATAGAACTTTCATATGACCCAGCGATTCTACTTTGGTATACATATCCAAAGGAAATGAAATCAGTATCTCAAAGAGATATCTTCATTCCCATGTTCATTGCTGCATTATTCACAAAAGCCATGATTTAGAAACAACCTAAATATCTGTTAACAGATGATTGAATAAAGAAAATGCAGTAGGTATATCTATATCTATATCTACACACACATACCCACACATATCCACACATAATGAAATATTACTCAGTCTTAAAAAAGAAGGAAATCGTGTCATGTGTGACAGTGTGGAATATGTTATGCTAAGTGAAATAAGCAAGGCACAGAAAGACAAATACCACATGATCTTACTTATATGTGGAATCTAACAATGTTATACTCATAAATGCACAGAGTTGAATGTGGTTTCCAAGGGTTTGAGGGATGTTGGGTAGATGTTGGTCAAAAGGTACCAAGTTTTGTTTATGCAGAATGAATAAGCTCTAGAGACCTAATGTACAGCATAGTAACTGTATTAGTCTGTCACATTGCTGTGAAGAAATACCTGAGACTGGGTAATTTATAAAGAAGTTTCATTGGTTCACAGTTCCCCAGGCTGTTCAGGAAGTAGGACGCTGGCATCTGCTTGGCTTCTAGGGAGGCCTCATAAAATTATGTTGGAAAGCAAAAAGGGGGAGCCAGCCCTTCACATGCCCGGAGCAGGAGGAAGAGAGAGTGAGGGGGGATGTGCCACACACTTTTAAACCACCTGATCTTGTGAGAACTCACTGTCATGAGAACAGCACTGAGAGGATGGTGCTAAACCATTCATGAGAAACCGCCATGATCCAATCACCTCCCACCAGAACTCATCTCCAACACTGGGGATTACAGTATGACATCAGATTTTGTGGGGACACAGATCCAAACAATATCAGTAATTATATTTATTAATACTGTATTACATATGTGAAATTAGCTAAGAGAGTAGATCTTAAATGTTTTTAACACACACACACACACACACACACACACACACACACGTTTACTGTGAGGTCATGGGTATATTAATTAGATTGGTTTTAGAAGTCATTTCACAATGTATATGTATATTAAAACGTTACATTTTACATTGTAGATATATAAAATGTTTGTCAATTATACTTCAGTAAAGTTCAGAAAATGTTTTAAATCACAAAATAATCTTCTACTTTGGTTATTCAAGTTTTTTGATATTATATATATTGCTACAGTGAACATCTTTGTACATATATCTTTATTTCCATAGGAAAAATTGCTAGAAGTTGAATGCCTTGGTGAGGTATTATGGTGTGGACATTTACACAGTACATACTCTGTTGTCAGACTGTTACTTAGAGAGATTTTCATTTTCATTCCTACCTGCAATGTATGAAATGTGATCATCAGTTACTTCCACCAACCTCCTTTACCCTACTGTATACAGTGCTAAGTGTTCCAATTTACAAATATTTTTGCCGATTTGATGGGTGAAAATATGCTATTATTTTAAATGTCATTTATTTATTCATGAGGTTGAACACTTTGTATTTTTGTTGGCCATTCTTCTTTCTGTTATTCATTGGCTGATCGTATTTTGCTCATTTTTCTGTTGAGGTGTTAGTGTTTTTCTTAACATTTACTTTATCCCTTCTGCCTTTAACTTTATTGCTTTAACCCTTCTGCCCACTTCCCAGATATTTTCTTATACCCAATTTTCAATTTTGTATTTAGATTTTTAATATTTATTTTAGGTGAAACATCTTTCCATTTAAGTCTTAATCGCAATAGTTGCATTAAATTAAATAACAATATTTGAAATTATTTAACTGCGTTTATGCTTACTGCTAGCCTTTTTGTACTGTGATTTAAAAAAAATTCTTGATTGTTCTCTTGGTCAGCCAAAATGTAGTTTCTAATAATATTTATGAAGACTAATGGCAGGGGAGTGGTCGTGGCATATTCTTTGAGTCTTTGCATTATAGAAGAGTGACTTCCTATCCTTTCACTTGTGAATATCTGCTTGATTGGCTATAGGATTCTTAAGTATCAAACTTCCCCCTTAAAACTCTGTAGAGGCTGGGTGCAGTGGCTCATCCGTGTAATCCCAGCACTTTGGGAGGTCGAGGTGGGCAGATCAGGAGGTCAGGATTTCAAGACCAGCCTGGCCAACACAGCAAAACATCATCTACTGAAAATACAACAATTAGCCAGGTGTGATGGCACATGCCTGTAATCCCAGCTACTCAGGAGGCTGAGGCAGGAGAATCACTTGAACCCAGCAGGCAGAGGTTGCAGTGAGCTGAGATTGTGCCACTGCACTCCAGCCTGGGCGATTAGTGAGACTTCATCTCAAAAAACAAACAAACAAACAAAAAAACCACCACCAACAACTCTATGGATATCGTTCTGTGACCTCTGATATTTGATGTTGGGAGATGTCTGAGGTGATCTACATTATGGTTTCATTTTGGTAAGCTGTATTTTCTGTTTGGACATTTGTAGTATTTTATATTTAATTTTTTAACAGAATATGTTTATGTCCTTGCTCAACCATTTTATAGTGCAGACTCTGGTCTTTTCACAACCTTGGAAAACATTCTTCTAGTGTTTCTTTGATTATTCTTATATCTTTCTGTATCTTACTTTTTTTTTTTTTTTTCAAGATGGAGTCTCTCTGTCGCCCAGGCTGGAGTACATTGGTGTGATCTCGGCTCACTGCAACCTCTGCCTCCCAGGTTCAAGCAATTCTCCTGCCTCTGCCTCCCGAGTAGTTGGGATTACAGGCGCCTGCCACCACACCCAGCTAATTTTTTTTTTGTATTTTTAGTAGAGACAGTGTTTCACCATGTTGGCAGGGCTGATCTTGAACTCCTGACTGGCCTTAAGTAATCCATCTGCCTTGGACTCCCAAAGTGCTGGGATTACCGGTGTGAGCCACCATGCCCAGCCTGTATTTTACTTCCATTCTGTGATTCCTGTTAAGTACATTTGGATCTCCAGGATCTGTTCCTCATGTCTAAGGTTTTCCATCACTCATTTCTTGTATTTTCCCTGAGTTATAGGAGAATCTCTTGAGTTCACTCATCCAGCTCAGTAATTTGGTTTTTCTGCAGCATGTTTTCTGCTGTTCACTCCATCTATTGCCGTGTTAAATGAAGAAATGCTATTAAAAAAGTCAGTTGCCAGTGGTTTTTTCTGATCTCATACTGTTTCAGCTTCATGTCTGCTTACCGTATTTTCACAGATGCAGTGCCTTCTTGAATCAAGTGTCTTCTTGAAAAACTGAGAATTTTCTAAAATTTTATCATGTCAGTTCGAGTAAACTTTTTTCAGAAAAGACAGTTTTGATCAAAGTGCCTCCATTCCTTTGAACTGTAGTAATTTTGCATAGTTCTGGCAATTACTCCTTGCCTCTTTATCCTCATAGAAAGTAGACTAGTACTGGCTGATAGGCAAGTAGCTGAGATTGGTTCTGTGAGAGATTAGTATGGATTCCTGGCCAAATCCTTTACTTGAAGGTGGAAGAAGATGTGTCCTTACACAGTCATGTAGAGATTTTATAAATTGGAGTGTGCTTAAGAACTTGTTTTTGTCTTTATGTGGATGCTTGCAGTATGAGCAAACCATGGTAGGTTTTGGCCCACTCCTATCATTGCTGATTGCTCCAGTTCCTTGTTTCTGCAATGCCTGGTACTCAGAGTCATGGCTTATAACAGCAGCACATCCAGGGGTCTGTGAGTATCACAGGTTATGTGCACAGAATTCTGGCTACAGTGAGTATCACAGGTTGTGTGCATAGAATGCTCGCTACAGAGGCAAGAGCCTTGCTCTCTGAGTGCCCTGTAAGCTTCTCTTGCCCTCCTGCTCTTTGCTTTCTGAGTTAAGAGGTGAGCATTTTGCTCAGGATTTGATTGGTATATTTATCAGGCTCGCTGCTCTTTTGGAGAGACAATCACCTGTCAGCCTTCTTTGCCCTTCTTTAATCTAATTCCACCTATACTATATTCAGCGCAATCATTTGCACTTCTGGCATATTGAGCACCTTTCTCTAATATATAGTGCCAAAAGAGGTTTTGATCCATTTTTATGTTCCATTGATTGTCTCATTGAGAATCTAGGAATGGGACGGGGCCTGTGTCTATACTGGCATCTTGCCAGGAACCTTCCCCTCCCCCTTTCATTGGCTATCAAATTCTGAAAATGTTTTCAGCCATGGGTGGCCCACATCTAGGAAAAACAAGGTCATAAATATTAAGATTGAGAGATGAGAATGGACAGGTAAGTAAGAATGAAAAGCTTCAGTGATTGTTTGAAGCTGGGAAGACTGGATTTCAGTACTGGGCTTATTTACCCCAAGAGTGCCTTTAGCAAAAGTCATGATTGTTTCTCTAAGAAATTTGGGTGAAATGGCCCTGGTAATGTACGTGACAGCAAACCCAAGGAAGTAAGGGCTGGGGTAAATTTAGGGTGACCAACTGTCCTTTTCGAAAAGTCTGTGGGCAAGGGGATCTCAGGATGCAGGACTTTCAGTATTAAAACCAGGAAAGTCGTGAACATGAATTGGTTACCCTAGCATAAATTATAGCATTGCTTCTGTGGTCTTTTATATATGAAATGAGATTTCATGCTACAGTGAATGTCCAGAGCTCTCTTCTCCACTGCCAGGGCACGCAGCATTCAGCCAGCAAAGAGTGAGAGCGTCTTTTCTTTTTGTGTGTGTGTTGTCACATCATCTACAAACTCTTACTCCAGTTGGATACAGTGTCAGTCAAGTTTCAGCTGTATTCTGAGATAGCTGTGGTAAATAGACATTCTTTAATTTATTTTTTCTAAAAATTATTAGGAATAATCTTTTAAAGCTGGGAGGGTCTTAAGTATATCCTTTGAGATGCACAATCCATGAAGCTTGTGTCGCTTTTATAGATGGAGTTTTCGATAAATTAGAAGCTCTTAAATGAAAATTACAAGTTTCTTTTTTTAAAGTCATAAAGGATTAGATACAGTTGGAAGCAATTTCAAAAGAATTGTTTGATTAGAGAGTTGCCAAGGATTTAAATGAAGGTGGAAGCCTCAAAGTATACCTTCTAGTGTTGTGTTTGCCATTTGGCCTGAGTCACTAGGTGACTCAGTGTTCCCCTCAGTGGAACAAAAGCACTTAACAAACCTACTCATTAAGGTGGTGATTTTTCCCCTAATTATGACTGTGGGTCCCAGTATTAATAGCATAGGAGTAATAAGGCTTTTATTTGGGTAGATGAGACTGGCATTTATGTATTTCCTAGACATTGTCCCAGTCTTTTATGGGAATTTATCCTGGGAAGCCCCCTTCAAACTCCACTTTTTATTATTTTGCTTGACTCTGAAACCTCCTTTAGGCAACATAGTCAGGATCAACCAAAACTGCTCAGGAATGTCCTCAGAGATGGCAAACGGGAAGAGAGAATGGCCACTTAGCCTTCCTCATTAGGCCTTACAGCCACACTTCTGCTTTTTATCCTCTATATTGTTGTGTTTATATTTGGATTTAAAACTCCAAATGTATCACTGATGTTTTCATCCTCACCTCTAATTGCATTTTGTAGTTATTATTTTGCAATGTCCTAAGGTTTTGTGACTTATTCACCTTCAGTCAGTTGTTGCTGTGAAAACCCCAAGAGTTGTTCTTGAGTTTATTTTTTCCTGACTTGACTCATCCAGTTCATTAGCATGTCCTATTGTCTTTTCCTAGAACATTCTGAATCTGTTGTCTGCTTATCGTCTCCTCCCCTGTCTCTGTAGTTCAAGTCACTGTTAACTCCTGCATGACTTACTGCAACAGCTTCCTGACTGGCCTTCTGCTGCCATTCTTGTTTCCCCTTTAGTTCTTCCTCTTTCCTATGAAACTGCCAGTCAGATTAGATTATTGATTCTTTTGAATTTGCTACACAGACAATAATATAATCTGTGAACAAACATACTCTAATTGTTTCCTTCTCTATTTGTATACCTTTTGTTTTCTTTTCCTGTCTTACTGTGTCAGCCAGGTCTTCCAATATGATACTGAAAAGGAATGTTGAGAGGAGACATCCTTGTCTTTTTCTTACTCTGAGCAGAAAAGTTTCTAGTTTCATACCGCTAAGTATGATATTTGCTGCAGGTTTCCTTACACATTCTTTATATGTTGAGGAAGTTCTTCTCTATTTCTAGTTTACTGAGAATTTTTTATCATGAATGGGTATCACATTTTGTCAAATGTTTTTCTGTACCTATTGGTATGATCATATTTTTTTTCTTTGTAGCTTGTTGGTGTGATAGATTATATTAGTTGATTTTTGTATGTTGAATCAGTTTTTTATACCTGTGATAAATCTCACTTGGTCGTGGTGTAATTCTTTTTATACATTGTTACATTCAATTTGCTAATATTTTGATGTGGATTTTTGCATCTATGCTTATGAGAGAATACTGGTCTTTAGTTTTCCTTTTTGTAAGGTCTGTCTGGGCAATGCTGGCCGCAAAGAATGAGTTTGGAAGTATTCCCTGTGTTACCTTCTAGTAAAGAATGTTAAGAATTAGTATAATTTCTTCCTTAAATGTTTGGTAGAACTCAACAGTGAACATATTTGGGCCTGGCGCTTTGGAAACATGTTAATTATTGATTCAATTTCTTTAATAGAGATAGGCCTATTCATATTATTCATTTCTTCTTGTAAGAGTTTTGGCAGATTTTATTTCTCAAGGAATTGGTTCATTTTTTATAGGTTTTCAGATTTTTGGGTAAATAACTATTGACATCATTTTAAAATTATCCTTTTAATGTCCATGGGATCTGTAGTGATGTCATCTCTTTCATTTCTGACATTAGTAATATGTTTCTTGTCTCTTTTTTCTTAGTCTGCCTAGAGGTTTATCAATTTTATTGATCTTTTAAAAGAACCAACTTTTGCTTTCATTAAGTTTCTTTATTAGTTTTCTGTTTTTTATCTCATCGAGGTGCATTAACTTTTATTGTTTCTTTTCTTCTGCTTTGGATTAATTTGTTCTTTTTCTTTAATTTCACAAAGTAGAAGCTTAGCTTATTGATTTTAGATCTTTCTTCTTCTAATATAAGCAGAATGCTATATTAATGCTATACATTTGTGGCATTTAATGCTATAAATTCTCCTCTAAGCAGTGCTAATGTTGCTTCCAACAAATTTTGGTAAGTTGTGTTTTCACTTTCATTTAGTTCCTTTTTTTTAAGATTTTTTTGACCCACAGATTATTAGAAGTATATTGTTCTATCTCCAAGTATTTGGGAATTTTCCAACTATCTTTCTGTTATTATTTTCTAGTTTAATTCCATTCTGGACTGAGGTCAAATATTTTTTAAAAAAATGTTTCAGACAAATAAAAATTCAGGGAATTTGTTGCTAGTAGACGTGTATTGCAGGAAATTTGTCAGAAG
This sequence comes from Homo sapiens, assembly GCF_000001405.40. Classification (NCBI taxonomy): domain Eukaryota; kingdom Metazoa; phylum Chordata; class Mammalia; order Primates; family Hominidae; genus Homo; species Homo sapiens. Next base: position 53,867,322 of record NC_000016.10, read on the forward strand.
AAGAATGATATAGATCAGAAACTCAGATCTACATAAAGAAAGGAAGAGATTTTGAGATGGAATAAGTGAAGGTAAAATAAAAACCATTATTTTTCTTACCCTTAATTGATAGAAGAGATAACAATTTATTCACAATAATAACAACAATGTATTCAATTATGTACGCCACATATGTGTGTGTGTGTGTGTGTGTGTGTGTGTGTGTGTTTGTGTGTACCTATGTATGCTTATTTGTAAGTGAAAGTAATGATAACATTCTCTTAAATTTGGTAATACGTGTTTTATCGCCCAGAATGTGGTCTGTTTTGGGGAATGCTCCATGTGAGCTTGATACTAGTGTGTATTCTGCTGTTGTTGAATGAAATAGTCTATGTATGTCAGTTATATTCAATTGACTGATGGTATTGCTCAGTTCAACTATGTCCTTAATGATTTTCTGCCTGCTGTATCTGTCGTTTTCTGATAGAGGGATGTTGACATCTCCAGTTATAGTAGTGGATTTGTCTGTTTTTCCTTGCAGTTCTATCAGTTTTTGCCTTATACATTTTGATGCTCTACTATTAGGTGCATACTGTTATATCTTCTGGGAGAATTTACCACTTTATCATTATGTACTACCCCTTTTTCTCTGTGATAATTTATCTTTGCTCTGAAATCTGCTCTGTCTGAAATTAATATAGGCACTCCAGCTTTCTTTAGATTAATGTTAGCATAGTATATCTGTCTTCTTTGTTTCTTTAAGTTTAATCTGTGTGTTTCTTTGTATTTGAATTGAGTTTCTTGTAGATAGCATATGCCTTGTTTTTTATCTATTCTGATAATCTCTTATTTTTTAATGTGTGTATTTAGACCATGGGCATTTAAAGTGATTATTGATACACTTGGATTAATATCTACCATATTTGTTAATGTTTTCTATATTTTGTCTTGTTTTTTCCCCTGTTTTTGTCTTCCACTCTTTTTCTGCTTTTATAGTTTTGAGTATTTCATGATTTCATTTCATCTCCTTTCTTAGCATATCAATTACATATGTATTTTTTTACTTTTTAAGTAGTGACCTAGAGGTTGCAGTATACATTTACAGCTGTTCCAAGTCCACTTTCAAATAACACTATACTGTTACACAGATAGTGCAAGTACAGTAAAATAAAATATTCCTAATTTTTTTCTCTCATCTCTTATACTCATTGCTATCATTAATTTCACTTACAAATAAGCATAGATAGGCACACATACATATATATATATGTGGCATACATAATTGAATACATTGTTGTTATTATTGTGAATAAATTGTTATCTCTTCTATCAATTAAGGGTAAGAAAAATAATGGTTTTTATTTTACCTTCACTTATTCCTTCTCAAAGTCTCTTCCTTTCTTTATGCAGATCTGAGTTTCTGATCTATATCATTTTTCTTCTGACAAATTTCTTGCAATACAAGTCTACTAGCAACAAATTCCCTGAATTTTTATTTGTCTGAAACATTTTTTTAAAAAATCCTTTCTTTCTTTCTTTTTGTTTTTTTGAGACAGAGTTTCACTCTGTCTCCCAGGCTGGAGTGCAGTGGCGTGATCTTGGCTCACTGCAACCTCCGCCTCCCGGGTTCAAGCGATTTTCCTGCTTCAGCTTCCCAAGTAGCTGGGATTACAGGTGTGTGCCACTGCGCCCACCTGATTTTTGTATTTTTAGTATAGACAGGGTTTTACCATGTTGGTCAGGCTGGTCTTGAACTACTGACCTCAAGCGATTCACCTGCCTTGGTCTCCCAAAGTGCTTGGATTACAGACATGAGCCACCACACCTGGTCTGTTTCTCCTTTACTTTTAAAGGGTAGTTTTGTAGGATCCACAATTCTAGGTTGCTGTTTTTTTTTCCTCTCAACACCTTAAGTATTTCACTTCACTTTTGTATTGCTTGCCTCGTTTCTGAGGAAACGTCAGATAGCTTTTTTTTTGCTCCGTTATAGATAAGCTGTTTTTTCCTTCTGGCTTTTTCAATATTCTTTATCTTTGACTTTCTGCAGTTTGAATATAATATGCCTAAGTGTAGGTTTTTTTCCTGAGCTTCCCGAGTCTCTAGTTTGGTGTCTAACATTAATTTAAGAATATTCTTAGTTATTATTGCTTCTAATTTTCTTCTGTTCCTTTCCCTCTTTCTTCGCCTTCTGTTATTCCATTATACATATATTACACCTATTGCAGTTGTCCCATAGTTCTGTTTTTTTTTTTTTTTCAGTCTTTTTTCTCTTTGCTTTTCAGTTTTGGAAGTTTCTCTTAATATATCCTCATGCTCAGAGATCTTTCATCTGCCTTGCCCAGTTCTCTAATGAGCCCATTAAAGGCATTCTTCATTTGTGTTACAGTGTTATTGATTTCCAGCATTTTGTTTTTGATTCTTTCTTAGAATTTCCATCCCTCTGCTTACGTTCCCCATCAGTTCTTGCATGTCGTCTACGTTGTCCTTTAGGGTCCTTAGAATAGTAATCATAGTTTCAAAAACATTTCTGATAATTAATTTCTGCCATTTCTGACTCTGGGTCTGATTTTTGCTCAGTTTTTTCAAATTGTGTTTTTTTGCCATTTAGAAGGCCTTGTACTTTTTTCTTGATAGGCAGATGGGATGCACTGGATAAGAGGAACTGCAGTAATAATGTGGTGGTAAGGTATGTTGGGAGGGGAAGCATTCTATAATCTTATGGTTAAGCCTCAGTCTTTTAGTGAGTTTATGCCTGTGAATTGTGAACCTCACAAGTGCTTCTCATTTTCTTTTTTCTCATTCTTAGTTCCAATAGGATGGCTAGCAGGGGCTAGGAGTTCTAGGTGGCATTGAAGTATGTTCATGCCACTACACTCCAGCCTGGATGACAAGTGAGACCCTGTCTCCTGAGAAAATAAATAAATAAATAAATAAATAAAGTCGCTATTTTTTCCCTTCCTTCTGCCAGAAGCATGAGAAGATGTTTTTGGATCTTCACTGTGAGAACCTGTTAGAGCTTTTGGAGATAAAACTCACAAAAGTGTGGGAGTTCCCTAAGATGGAGCTCCCCTGGACTTTTTAACTCTCAGTCCCGTCTACGTTGAATCTCCAGCAATTCAGTAGTTACAGTTACGGTTTTTCTATCCTGGAACTGGTTCCCATGTGTGTTTCTGCTTCTTGTTTTTTACTCTGATAAATTGTCATCTCTGTTTCCAGTGTGTCTCTCTCTCCAGAGTGAGGAATGACAAAATTACATCTCATTGAAAGCCACTGCTCTTGGTTTTATAATATCTTTACATCTTTGATTTACCACAATGTAACTTTGAATGTTGTACCACTTTTCCTTCCATCCTCTTTTGTGCTTTTTCATGTGTTTTACGTCTGCATATGTTATAAACCTCAGAATACATTGTTATTATTTTGGATTTAAAAAGGCATTTATTCTTTCATGATATTTGTTACTTATGTTACTTTTTATTCCTTTGAGCAGATCTAAATTCCTTCTGACATTATTTTTCTTTTGCCTGTAGAATTTCATAACTATTCTTATAGTGTAAATCTACTGAATATAAATTGTTTCATTTTCTTTCTGAAAAGTCTTTATTTCACTTTTATTTTGGAAAGGGTGTTCACTATGTATAGAATAGTAGATTGACAGTTTTTTCCTTTAGTATTTTGTCACCAGTTGTCTTCTGAGTTTTATAACTTCTGATGAGAAGTCTGCTGTCATTCTAATCTTTGTCCCTCTGTATTTAATGTCTCTTTTTCTGACTGCCTTTAACCTTTCCACTTTATTACTGATTTTAAGACATTTCATTATGACATGCTTTAGTTTAGTCTTATATCTTTTTTTGCTTAGAATTCGTTGAGCTTATTGGATCTCTGGGTTTATAGTTTTCATGAAATTTGGTGAATTTTGGCCATTGTTTCTATAAAAATGTGTGTGTTTTTGTCACTCTTTCTTCCCTAGAATTCAAATTAAATTTTCATTAAATGGCTTAATATTGTCCTGGCTGTCACTCATGCCCTTTCATATTTTTGTAGTCTTTTTTGTTTAGCCACTTTATTTTGCATAGTTTTTATTTTTCATGTGTTCTAGTTCACTGATCTTTTCTTCTGCAGTTTGTAAATTGCTGTTCATCTCACTTAGTGTGAGTTTTGTTTCAGATACTGCATGTTTAACCTTTAGAAGCTTCACTTATATATATATATGAAAGGGCAGATATGTACATTTAGAAGAAAAGAGAGATGTGACTACCTCGCATATTTTGTGTGTGTGTATGTATCTTTCATTTCTCTGTTACTTTTTGAATGGATGTTGGGTATTGCACATCGTATTTGTTGGGTGCCTGATTTTGTTATATACTTTTACATACTTTTGGCTTTTGCTCTAATGAATAATTAAATTACTAAGAAGTTGGATCCTTTTTTTTTTTAAATTTTGAGATGGAGTTTCACTCTCGTTTCCCAGGCTGCAGTGCAATGGCGCAATCTCGGCTCACTGCAACCTCTGCCTCCTGTGTTCAAGCAATTCTCCTGCCTCAGCCTCCTGAGTAGCTGGGATTACAAGCACCTGCCACCATGCCCAGCGAATTTTTGTATTTTTAGTAGAGACAGGGTTTCACCATGTTGGCCAGGCTGGTCTCGAACTCCTGACCTCAGGTAATCCACCCACTTCGGCCTCCCAAAGTACTGAGATTCCAGGCATGAGCCACTGTGCCTGGCCAGAAGTTGGATCCTTTTGAGGCTTAGTTTTAAGCCTTGCTAGGTGGGACTAGAGCAGCCTTTAACCTAGGACTCATTTAGCCCTACTTCTGCAGTGATGCTTTCCTAAGGATTTTCTAGTATCTCATGTAGTGGGAGCCATTTTGGCTGCTGGGATCATAGAATACTCCTGGCTGTGTGTGAAATCTGAAATTGGTTCCACCTGCTGCATTCTGGTGCTTCTTTTTTTGGCCCTTGGGAAATTTTTATTCATACATGCACAGGTCAGTGCTCTTCCAAATACTTGAGGGAACCTTCCTGCAGTCTGTTTGCTGTCTCTCTGTATAGCTGTTTCTGTTCCAGCATTCTGCCTTTCGAGGCCCTGTGGCCTTGGCCTCCCTATACTCCAGTCTTTGTCTTCTCAACTTGGCAAGAAAGAAACAGAGACTCTGGGTTTTGACTTCCTCTTCTCTATTCTGTGGCATTGAAACTGTTTCCATGGAGTAAGTTAGGGCAATTGTAGGCATCTCTCACCTATTTTGTTTCTCTTCTCCATGGGATTATATCTTGCTGAAACCTTTGATTCATATTTTTGGCTTGTTTTGTAGTTGTTTAAGACAGAAGGGTAAATCTTGTCACTGTTACTTCACAATATTCATAAGCAGAAATCCTGTCTTAATATCTTGCATTTCTTTTCTATGTTTAGAGATGATATTGTAGGTTGTTTTTGCTGATACATAAGGGGCCTGGTGGCATTTGCCTCTTGGTTTAAGTCATTATCTTTTTTGGTATCTTGATAAAAATCTTGTGTTGCCTGTATAGGATGCCATTGCTGGAAACATTACAACTCTCTTTTTTTGTAATAGAGGAAGTCATGTCCTGAGCAGAGGTTGTATAGATTTTGCCTGACTTGTGGTATCATTTCTTAGGATATATAACAACTTGGTCATTGGTTTTTCTCCCACTGCTTGTGGTTTTAGGAATATTCTTCAACTGATGAATTCACCACCTACTTCATTCTTGGGTTGTGAATCCCTACACTTGAGTTCTGTTCTAAGAGCCAAACATGCAACATGCTGAGTTGGTTGGTTTATTGCCTGGAAAATTGTTAGGGCAAAATTGATACTTTGATTATGGAGGGAAAGAGGCAGATTTTTCAGATGAAAGGTGTGCAACTCCAAATTCTGGTTTATTCTAAAGATAAGGGTAGAAGTAGATGTGTCATGAGAAAGTGAAAGAAGCTCAATTCATATATAGTGAATTTTATAGTGGGTGGGCATAATAGGACCACAAATAAGTAGAGTGACCCTATATCTCATTTGCTGAGGACAGTCCTGGTTTATACTTGTTGTTCTGGAATAATTGTTAATAGCATCCCCTTTCACTCTTCAAAGTGTCATACTTTGTATGATAGAATATATACATATTTAGTTATATACATATGATTATATATATCTACTTATATATACTTGCATATGTATAAGTATATATAAGTATATCATATTTATTGTATACTTATATTTATATTATTATACTTGTTATGTATCTACATATATATAATGTCTACTTATAAGTAGATACGCATATAATGGAATATATATATATGTAGTCACCTACTTATAAGGGATTGATTAAAGAATACAAGGTAAGTATTGATTCCTTGGTTATTGTTATTTCTTGGAAGATAGATTTACTGTTTACTTTGTGTTTTAGTTAAATAATATATAGTATATACTGACTAATAAATATGGTTTTATACATTTCTGGTGTTTTTCCTGTAGATGATCTCAATGCCACCCACCAACACTGTGTTTTGGCCGGTTCACAACCTCGGTTTAGTTCCACCCACCGAGTGGCAGAGGTAAGTGTAAATAAAAATGTGATTCACACCTAATTGGATGTGACAGAAGTGGTTGAATGAGCAATTTACTATAGAGCTTTGGAAGAGTATTTGATGGGAAAATTGCTTCCATCTAACTTGACTTTCGTCTCTGTTTACTTGCTTTTTGAGCTTTGGATTGTGTTGGATACAGTTTTAGAAAGCATATTCATGCCATGGGATAAGTGTGTTTTGCTTCTTGGGGTTATGTTTCTTGGAGAAGGAAAATGCCGTTGACAAGTGTTTATAGTTAGAGGTTTATTTAGAGGGTTGTATCTGTCAAGGTCAAGGGCAGGAGATGACCAGAAGAATTGGGGCAGATTTTTATGCTTGTGCATGTGTTAGCTGTGGCTGGGTTCAGATGTTGAGAATTTTCATTTCCCTTAACTTTTTGGTCAGACTTCTGGGCATGTGAATGTAAAGAGAAAGTTACAGGGTTGCCAAGGAGTTTCTGAGCTCCACAGTTGTGTTCATAACCCAGACTTTATTGCTAAATTCTGCCACCACTTGCAATGGCCCATGGTTAGCTGTTCAGACTAGTTCAGAATGGAAAACTAAGAAATGAGAAAAACTCATATTAGTCATGTTGGGGTCCCATGTACTCAGTTAAGAGGGGTTCCAGAGAGCAAGGCATGAAAGGGATTACAAGTGACCTTCTACCTAAGCTTGCTATCCATGCTTTGCTTTATAGCTTGACCTTTCATGGAACTACAGGGGACAAGTGTGAGAAAATTGGGCGGAAGTGGTACAACAAAGTGAGAGGTACAGGTGCAAGGTCTTCCAGTGGCAGTACTGCGTGAGTCTATACGGCAGTGTTGTGTCTTTTGGTCATTAAGTAGCTTTACCAGTGGAACGATCATATTGCTGTGTGGCAGAGAGAGAATGAATGAGTATTTAAACCAAGATGCCAGCAAGCCCATCCAGCACCTCTTTCTTCCTTTCTCCCCTTTCTTCTCTTTTCCATTCACTCATTCATTTAAATATTTGAGTGCCTGTTATGTGTCCAAAACTGTAGGCCTGGGAGATAGAGCCGTCAACATGCCCATGATGCCCACCACTTTTGTGAACTTTAGTTGGGGGGGACAAATTTTAAACAAATAAACACAGAAATAATTGTCTTAGAGACCTAAAGGGAGTTCTGTTAGAAAAGAGGGAAGCGAGGGAGGAAGGTAGGTAAGGACGAACAGAGGAAGAAAAGAAGGGAGGGAGGGAGGAAGGAAGAGAGGGAGGGAGGAAGGGAGGAGCAAGTATTTATAGAGCATCTAATATGTGCCTTGTATTATACACAAGGATTTCATTTCCCCAGTTATAGGCATCTGTCTTTCTAGCTATAACCCTCCTAAGAATCCCTTTCTTGTGGATCACTTGAGTATATGGCTACTTAAGTGCGCCCTTCTACGTCTTTCCTAATCTAATCCAGAAGAGTGGACAGTCTCATTAGTGCTGGGTTCAAAGGGCTGTACAAAATGATAAATAAAAAGCTTGGGAAATATGTTCATGGGGATAAGAATCGTACCTAATCGTAGTGTTCTTATGAGGATTAAATTAGTTAATACATGTAAGTCTTTTTAGAACAGTGACTGGTATACATTCAAAGAAGTTTGCCACTACTATTATTAAATTACTTCTACTGCTACTACTGTCTTTTCATTTTATTCTGTTGAAAAACTAATAGGAGATGGGAACAACTAAAGTTCACTGTGTGGAAGGTTATTCTGTCTTCATTTGTACACTACAGTGTACATAATAAAGCAAGAGAGATTAAATCATCAGCAAGTTTTGATTGTAGGAACTACTATTCAGAAGGGATTTCAGTTTGTTCTCTCTTCAAACTTTTATTGAACTTTATAGTGTTCAAGGTATTCTTGTAGGGACTTGTGAACAGGAATGGTTATATTCAGTGTCTTCAAGATGCTTATGGTCTAAAGAGTATGTACAGTGCAGAATAGAATGTAGCAGATAGCCCGGCTAAATTTTGTATTTTTAATGGAGATGGGGCTTTGCCATATTGGCCAGGCTGGTCTTGAACTCCTGACCTCAGTCGATCCACCCACCTCGGCCTCCCAAAGTGCTGGGATTACAGGCGTGAGCCAATGCTCCCGGCCTAGATTTTAGTTTTTGATAATTGTGTCAGAATATTCTTGGGATTCAATACAGAATGTCTTTTTAAAGAAATTTACATTTTATGAATAATTATATTTTGAATAGGTAGTTAATGCAAATGGTTCAAAATTAAAAAAAATACCTAAAGGTATACAGTTAAAGTCTCTTTCTCCTCAGGCCAACCAGCCCCTCATTCCCAGAGGCAACCAATGTTTAAAGGTTCTTGTTACTCTTTTGGTGATATTTAATATATAAGTAAAAATGTATGTAATTTCAAAAATATTTTTAAATATAAATGGTAGCCTACTATATATATGGTTCTGTAGTTTTGTTTCAGTAAACTTTGGTAATAATTACTCATCAATATATAGCACTTAGCGAGGAGTAGGTAATGGCTTTTTAGATATGACATCAAAAGCATAAACAACTGAAGAAAAAAACAGATAAATTGGCCTTCATCAAAGTTAAAAACTTTTGTACTTCAAAGGGTACCATAAAGAAAGTGTAGAGGACCCATGGAATGGGAGAAAATATCTGCAAATCATATATCTCATAAAGCACTTGTGTCTCAAATATTCCAAGAATTCTTAGAACTCAATAATTCAAAAGAGAAATGATCCAATTTAAAATGGCAAAGGAATCGAATTAACATGTCACAGGCTGGGTGCAGTGGCTCATGCCTGTAATCCCAGCACTTTAGGAGGCCGAGGTGAGTGGATCACTTGAGGCCAGGAGTTCAAGACCAGCCTGGCCAACATGGTAAAACCCCGTCTTTACTAAAAATTCAAAAATTAGCCAGGTGTGGTGCCACATGCCTGTAATCCCAGCTATTCAGCAGGCTGAGGCAGGAGAATCGCTTAAACCTGGGAGGTGGAGGTTGCAGTGAGGCAAGATTGCACCACTGCACTCCAGCCTGAGCAATAGAGCAAGACTCCGTCTTCACACACACACAAAAAGAAGGTATACAAATGGCCAATAGACAAATGAAAAATGCTGAACGTCATTAGTCACTAGGGAAATACAAATCAAAACCACGACGGGATAACATTTCACACTCACTAGGATAGCTAGAATAAAAAAGACAGTGACAAGTGTTGGTGAGGACATGCAGGAAGTGGCACCCATGTGCACTGCCAGAGGGAATGGACAGTGGTGCAGCCACTTTGGGAAACAGTCTGGCACATCTTCAGAAGGTTAAATCCAAAGGTACCCTATGACACAGCAATTCCATGCCTAGGTAGTTTCCCAAGAGTGATGGAAACTTCTACAGGAATGTTCATAATCACCAAAAAGTGGAAACAACCCAAAGGTTCATCACTTAATGAATGGATAAATAAAACGTGGCATATCCATACAGTTGAATATTATTGGGCATTGAAATGGAATACAGTAATGATGCATGCTACAACATGAATAACTCTTGAAAACATACGAAATGGAAGCAACCAGTCACAAAAGATACATATTATATAATTCATTTATATGAAGTGTCTAGAATAGGTCTCTCTATGGACATAGAAAGTAGATTAGTGGTTGCCTAGGGTTGGAAATGTTGGTAGAAATCAGTTGGGGTTGGGGGTGACTGCCAAATGGCACAGGGTTTCTTTTTGGGGTGATGAAAATGCTCTAAAATTAATTGTAGTGATATTTGTATAACTCTGTGACTATACGAAACAACATTGCATTATATGCTTTAAATGCTTGAATTTTATGACGTGAATTATAGCTCAATAAAGCTGTTACCAAAAAAAAAAAACCTATCTCAAACTAGGCCTGATTATAGATTATTTACATAAAACAAAACACTATACATCCAGAAAAAAATTATTCCACATCCCACCCCTCTCTCTTTTTGTTTTCTGCAACCATACGTCATTAAACTAGTTTTCCTATTGTTAAGAAATTTAGGTTGTTTCTAATCTTGCATGAAAATGCAATTAATAACCTATGTAGCTCACTCCATACTTGGGAAAGTAAAGGTGCAAGTAGGGAAACTTTCTAGATAGAAGTCATTTTAAAAAGATGTTGTAGGCTGGGTGCAGTGGCTCATGCCTGTAATCCCAGCACTTTGGGAGGCTGAGGGGGGTGGATCACTTGAGGTCAGGAGTTCGAGACCAGCCTGTCCAATATGGTAAAACCAGTCTCTACTAAAAATACAAAAATTAGCTGGGCGTGGTGGTGCACATCTTTAATCCCAGCTACTTGGGAGGCTGAGGCAGGAGAATTGCTTGAGCCTAGGAGGCAGAGGTTGCGGTGAGCCAAGATCATGCCACGCCACTGTACTCTGGTCTGGGCCAGAGAGTGAGACCCCGTCTCAAAAAAAAAAAGTGTTGTTGTAGAGGTTGCTGTGGGACAAAAATGAGTGGTCATTCACCTTTATTCTTTGTGGGGTTTTTTTTGGCAGGAAATTGGAGCTGCCTGCCCTTATGCACCCAGCACTCTGGGATCTTCATATTAAAATACATTTTAGTCAAGCTTCTGTTTCTTGGCACAGAAACTTTGTTTTTCCCAGGCTTGTTGATGTCGCATTGTATAAAATGGCAGTAAATGTGCAAGGAAATTTTATATCAGAGGATTAGCCTTCAAGGTTATTTACAAGGGCTCAGTTTAAATTATAAATAATAAAACCAAAATATTTTAGGGATACATTTTCCTCATTGGGACTGAAGGGTATTTATAGCTGACTTTTTATTATTCTAGGAAATCATTTTAATATCAAAACAGGCAGATGCACTGCCCATGTGCATTGGCCTCTTTTCCAACATATGATCATTTATAAAAAGGAGTTTGTCCATTTGACCTCTGTTTTGCTCCCACGGACTCAGAGAGGGATGAACTAGTTATCTGTGTCCTTGCTGAGGCCCAGGTACTAAGTTATGCCTTTGAATGTGCCTTGAGGGCTTAAGCCAAATATTCTCCATTATTTGAAGAATCTATTCTGCCAAGGACTGCCACTGCCTAGTGTATGCTTTTTGCAGAAAAGAGAAATGAGTTCTTTGCCTTGTGATTATAACTGCATTTTTCCCCGCTGTCATTATAGAACCATTTATTGTGCTTTTGAACCAGCTTTGCAGCCTGGTTACCTTTCTTTCCTATCTTTAGTCTCAGGGCATTTGAGATAAAAAGTCAGTGTCCTTGACTTCTTGGTTAACCAGTTATTCATCCAATAATTATTTATTAAATTTCTTCCAGTTTTCAGACTCAGTTCTAGATGTTGTAGTATATATAGAAAATGTATTTAACATATATAAATAGGGCGTTAGCCTCCGGGACCCAAATGTTTAGTTAGAGATATGAGGCCCACGTAAAAGAAAACCAGCAAACTAAGTGGCCCAAGTGAGGCCAAACTGGCAGCACAGAGCCCAGTGGAACAGGCCACTCTAGTAATTCTTGAGTTCGTGAGTATAGGCCGGGCACAGTGACTCACACCTGTAATCCCAGCACTTTTGGAGGCTGAAGTGGGAGGACTGCCTGAACCCAGGAGTTTGAGACCAGCTTGGATAATATAGCAAGATCCTGTCTCTCTCTACAAAATAAAAATTTAGAAAAATTAGCTGGGCAGAGTAGTGCCTGCCTGTGGTACCAGCTATTCAGGAAGGTGAGGTGGGAGGATTGCATGAGCCCCAGAGGTTGAGGCTGCAGTGAAACATTATTACACCACTATACTCCAGCTTGGGTGACACAGCAAGACCCTATCTCAAAATTAAAAAAAAAAAAAAAAAAAAAAGGAGTATAGACTGAGCCATGGGGCAACAGGTGAATTCACAGCCAGGGACAAATATGAACAATCCTAGGAAGGATGGTAGAGTAAACTTAGATTTTGCCCATAATTGTGATTGCTGGTTCTGTCTCAACAGTGCTCAACAGGAACCTTGGATTATATTTTACAACGCTGTCAGTTGGCTCTGCAGAATGTCTGTGACGATGTGGACAATGATGATGTCTCTTTGAAATCCTTTGAGCCTGCAGTTTTGAAACAAGGAGAAGAAATTCATAATGAGGTAAGGACTTTCTTTTTTTTTTTTTGAGATGGAGTCTCGCTCTGTCACCCAGGCTGGAGTGCAGCGGCATGACCTCGGCTCACTACAACCTCCATCTCCCAGGTTCAAGTGATCCTCCTGTCTCAAGCTCCCGAATAGGTGGGACTACAGGTGCATGCGCCACCACTCCTGGCTGATTTTGATATTTTTAGTAGAGACGAGGTTTCACCACGTTGGCCAGGCTGGTCTCGAACTCCTGACCTCAAGTGATCTGCCCGCCTCAGCCTCCTGAAGTGCTGGGATTACAGTCATGAGCCACTGTGCCTGGCAAGACTTTCAAGAATTGTGAAAGATCTGAGATTCTACCCTACTTGCAAGCTAACAAGTTAATCTGCCACAATTTCATATTGTTATAAGACGTGAGACTCTTAGGTCACAGATGGAGGACAGGTTATTACGTATATCAATAGCAGTCACCAGAGTCTCCGTATTTTTGTGTTAGTTCACGAACTTATTCTGTTCAGGCTGCAGTAACAAAATTGCATAAACCAAGTTGCTTCTAAACAACAGAAATTTATCCTCACTGTTCTGGAAGGTAGCAAGTTCAAGATCAGATGGCATCAAGTTCAAGATTTGATGTCTGCTGAAGACTTGTTTCGTGATTCATAGATGGCACCCTCTCACTTTCCTTAGACGGTGCAAGGGCCAGGCAAGCTCCCTGTGGTCTCTTTTATAAGGCTACTAAAGTCTTTTATGAAAGCAGAGCTTCGTGATCTCTCACCTCTGAAAAGCCCCACCTCTTAATGCCATTGCCTCGGATGTTAGGATTTCAACATAAGAATTTTGGAGGGACATGGCCGGGTGTGGTGGCTCACGCCTATAATCCCAGCACTTTGGGAGGCTGAGGCAGGCGGATCACGATCAAAAGATCGAGACCATCCTGGCTAACACAGTGAAACCCCGTCTCTACTAAAAAAAAAAAAAAAAAAAAAAAAAATACAAAAAATTAGCTGGGCATGGTGGCGGGTGCCTGTAGTACCAGTTACTCGGGAGGCTGAAGCAGGAGAATGGCATGAACCTGCGAGGCGGAGCTTGCAGTGAGCCAAGATCGCGTGACTGCACTCCAGCCTGGGCAACAGAGTGAGACTCCGTCTCAAAATAAATAAATAAATAAATAAATAAATAAAAATAAAATAAAAAAGAATTTTGGAGGGACATACACATACAGACCATAGCATTCTCCCAGCTTCTGTTTCTATAGGGCAATGCAAAGGAGGCTAGATAACATGTACATATTGAGGAGTTACATTATAGGAGAGGAACCATGAGCTATGGGAACCTAGTCTTTTTCAAAGGATAGTAAGCATGCCTGTCTTTTGCTGTAGGTCAAGACACTGTCTTCATCTTCCAAGCCTATATGCACACCTGCCCTTTGTTCTAGAGGGAGAAACTCTCTCTGTCAAGGTTGTTGCTATGTAAACATCCTTGCAATGAGAGTCTGTAACACAGGACAGTCATTGCTTACTCACAAGACACGCAGAAGCACAAGAGACTCATGAAGAATAGTCTCCCAGCAAAGACTGCTGGGAATTGAGGGTAGGCCCTGGGAGCAAGTGTCACTGCCTTGCTTTTCACTGATGAAATCAGTTGCAATTCTGCAGTCTGTGAGACCAGCAGGTCTGGATCCCATGGGTCAAAGTTTCGCAAACTCTACTTTTCCCACTAATACCCTCTCAATATTTGCTTTATCTTTGGACTACATACATTGTTTAGTTACTTAATATTTTACTTTAAATCAACTCTTTTTTAACATGTATACATTTCTTTAAAAAGGGAGCTTTATATTGCTACTTTAAGTGGAAATCCAGTATCATTAGCCAAAAGAAAAAGTATCCAGAAAAATAGATCCAATGAAAACAGAGTAATGTTATTACATTCCAGCAGATATTCTTGTCTGGAGGAGGCTCTGAGCCTCAAGTTTCCTTTCTTCATGTTAAGAAGGGAGATTAGTGGTAATGGTTGCACAGCTTTATACATTTTCTAATAATTATTGGATTCTGCACTTACAATGTGTGAATTTTATGGCTGATAAATTATACCTCAAAAAAAACCATTAAAAGAAAAAAAGGAGACACTAAAATGTGGTTGAGAACTGAAGTTCATTCACCAATCTGAGACTTTCTTTTTGATATAATAAGAAGGATTGATGGGGAATTTGGAGTTAAAAAATGTTCTCATGCATCCTTTCTATAATTAATTACTGAGCACGTGCCAGACACTCTTCTGGGCGCTTTAGAATATATTGGTAAATAAAATAGACATTCTAGTACAGGGAGATGATGGTAAGTAATACACTTAACACACTGGTAAATTATACAGTATGTTAGAAGTTGATAAGTGCTACAGGAAAAAAAAAAAAAAACAGAGCAAGATGATAGAAATTGAGAGAACTAGAGAGCCTCCCTGTTGAAAAGATGTCCTTTGAGCAGAGAATTGAAGGACATGAGAAACAGCCATGTGGATATCTGGGGAATTGCATTTTGGGCATAAGGAGCAGCCACTGCAAAGGCTGTGTGGTGGGGGAATGCCTGGAGTCCGTGGAACAGTCCAGGAACAGTATGTTTGAGTGAAGGGAGTAAGGCTGCTACTTGTAGGAGAAGAGGTCATAGAGGTAGTTCCATGAGACTGGGGAGCAGCAGATTGTATAGGTCCTTGGAGGCCCTTGTAAGGACAAGGCCTTTCCTTTTTACTCTGCAGGAAATGGGGACCCATTGAAGAGTTTTGAGCAAAAGGAGAAATAATGTCGTCTCCCATGGCAACATATAATATCTTTTCAATGCCTTTATAAGTTATTTAATATCTTGTGAGCTGCTCCACACTTTGTGAAACATTGTCATAATCTCCAGAACCACAGGGGAAGCAATTCTGCCTTTCAGGGGAGTAGTAACCACTTTTGATGCTGAGCTCAAGTCTGACTTGCTGCCCTTCATTGTGCCTGATGGGTGTTCTACTTTCTCTCTTATTAGTCCCTGCTGGAGACATTGCTGATAGCCAGAACTTCAGGAAAGAATACATTTATGGGCCTGATGACCTCCCTGAATTAGAGCAAAGTTATGTCTTTCTCCATATTTATAGTATAGAAATTCTAATCTCAAAATGTAGTTATTTCCTTCGCAAAAAATCTCACAATTTTCAGTGTCAGACTAGCAGAATGGGTGCTTTCTTTAACATGCATATGGGCTGTTGTATTTCCCTATCCTTTCTCATCTCTTGTGACTGACTGTGATGTTTTTTACCATCAATGGATGGGAGAAATCTGTAAAATCACACTGTGTATATAACAGAATATCGTCATCTAAGTCTGTCTGCTTCAGGCTGGGTGCGGTGGCTCACGCGTGTAATCCCAGCACTTTGGGAGGCCGAGGCGGTGGATCACCTGAGGTCAGGAGTTCGAGACCAGCCTGGCCAACATGGTGAAACCCCGTTTCTACTAAAAATACAAAAAGTTAGCCAGGTGTGGTGGCGGGCGCCTGTAATCCCAGCTACTTGGGAGGCTGAGGCAGGAGAATCGCTTGAACCCGGGAGGCAGAAGTTGCAGTGAGCCGAGATTGTGCCATTGCACTCCAGCCTGGGCAACAAGGGCGAAACTCTATCTCAAAAAAAAAAAAACAAAAAAAAAAAAACAAATTTGTCTGCTTCAGAAAGTGACTGGCTGCTTTTGATATTATGTGTTAGGGAGGTGGGGCAGAGATGTACTGTATCAGAAACCTCGGCCCCCTGGGGTTGAATAGAGAGATTGATCTTGAATTTAAATAGCGTGTGTGCCAGTCTTCACCATCCCCCCAATCTCTGATTCTTCAAGGTCATCTCCTTACTTTCACAATTAATTCCATATGTCAGGGCACATTGTCAGATATTGTTCTTTTGCCATACAAGTTGGCCTGGGATTTAGCAGTTGCATGCTCGCTCTCTACTTTGTCCTGTTGTTCAATGAAAGCCCACGTGTCTGTAAGAGTTCTCCCAGTTTCTTTCTTGCTTGCCTCTTTCTGCAAGGCCATGTGTCTTTTCTGGACAAATCACAGGATGAAGCCCTTGGTTTTACATACTGCAAGCTCTCAGTCTGTGTGGGTTGAAAAGTGGTTTGTTTTCCTTGTCTAGGATGGTTTCTAACTAAGCAGTTTCGGAAGTTTGGGCATATGTTTTGGAGTACCTTATGGGAGATAGTTTTTCCAATTTAAGATGCTTAGGAAAGGTTCTTGTTTAATTATAAGCAGAATCTTCTTCCATGTTATTAAATGGCCCACTTTCCTTTTTAAAGATAGTAAAATGTGGAATTCAGCCTCTTCTCTTAGTAAATGTCCCCTAGAAGAATGGAATGTTTGATGGTATTGTTTGGCTCTCATTTTCTTCTGATCAGACCTGTGGCTTCCTTATAACTACTGCAAAAGGGCCTTCATAGGGTATCTCTTTGTAGGCAGAGCCTTACCATGTCTTCCTGGTCTAATTTCTTTCTCAGTGAAGTAACTTCTTTCCGTTATTACAGTGAGACATTAATCCCAAGGGGCGCAGTCACACATCTCATAAGGGAGCTCTATGGCTGACTTGGGACCAAATCAAGAGCCTAAATAAACTTGGTAGAAGAAAAGTAGGTGACGTTTGCTGACCCGTTGGAATGATGGATATGATTTACAACTATATGGTGATAAAGTGGCTCAGAAATATTCTTTTGAAGTCTTATTAGCTTTGCTCTCCAATGCCTAAGTGCCCAATGACTGAAGTCCAGATATGTGGGTTGATTCCATTTCTTTCTCCTCTTCTAGGCTTATTTCCATTAAGTGCATGTTCAAAATCAGGGAGTTTGGTTTGTAAGTATCATGAAAACTTTGAGAGAACCCTGAGAGCTCCTGCAGGTTGTTTCCCTGCTATTGAGGTCTTCAGGGATGTGTCACCCGTGGAATGTTCCTTGGCCCCAAGTCAGCATTTGTCCTCCTGACGGCTTGCCTCTTATTTCTGCTGTGTTAGCTATGAGCATCCTTTGGCGGCCTACAACTCTGGAGAAGGGAGGAAGACCCAACTCCTGTCATGGTTACCACTTCATCAGTCAGTCAATATGGTTAGACATTGATGTTTGTTTGGTTTTTTAGCCCCAAAGTAATAAGGACTCACTGTATTTTGCGTTCTGACTCTTTGGTTTTGTGCAGTGTCCATGCTGTAGCTTTCCTTCCTAATTTCCAGAGTTTATTACCTCAGACTCTGAATCAAGCAGGTGGAGATTTTTTTTGCCTTCTTAATTAAGTTTAAGGAGAGAGTCAGCTACTTCTTTCTCTTGGCAGTGGGGAAACTGGTAAACGTGGCATTTGATTAAAATCCTGTAATAGTTTTTACCCACAACATTGAAATGAAAAAGTCAGGTCATGGAGTTGAATAGAAGGCATGCCAGTGGACTTGATGTCCAGAGATTGTATCTCATGGGCAGTACTTCAACTCATGAATAAAATTGTGTTGGGAGAAGGTCTTCAGTGCTGTTGAACGTTTCTGACTGGCATTAGTGGGAAAGGGTGGGCATGAATTGACAAGGACATTAAAACTTTTCCTGGTCAGAAAATTGGTAAGATTGTGAGATGCTTGAGGACAGGAAGTCCAAAGCCTTGTGGTCTTGTTTAGTATGCATTCTTGACATCTAGCAAGTGCCTAACAGATAGTAGGCAGTAATTGTTTCTGTCTTACAGATGACATAGCTATTCTGTAGTGGTACCCACTTTTGAACTGACTCCAGAACCCATATTCCTTTTTTCTTTTAGAGACATGGCCTCACTGTGTTGCCCAGACTGGAGTTTAGTGGCGCGATCATGGCTCACTGCAGCCTGGACCTCCTGGCTCAAGTGATCCTCCTGCCTCAGCCATCTAAGTAGCTGGGAGCACAGGCGCGTGCCACCACAACCATCTAACTTTGTTTATTTGTTTATTTTGTAGAGATGAGGTCTCACTATGTTGCCCAGGCTAGTTTCAAACTCCTGGGCTCAAGTGATTCTCCTGCCATGGCCTCTTAAAGTGCTGGGATTATAGGTCAGAGCCCTTATTTTTAACCATGATACTATCTGCCTCAAAACATGGTTGGGCATCCAAGGGAAGATGAAGGCATTATTTATTAAAATAGCCAGGGCTCTCTCTTTGCTCTCTTGTCCAATAGCAGAGCCCCTAGATATAGCCTTCTCCTTGCTTCCAAGTTTTAATTTACTGAAATCCAGTTTCTAGTGTACCCTGATAGACTGGATAAACTAATTACATATGATAATCTATTTCCAGAGTCACCATGGTTGGCGAGCCTTATCCATTCTGTCCTCTTCAACAGGCATAACCAGCCCAAAGACTGGAAAATCTTTTAAACCTTTTCAACTCTTTCTAACATAGGGCTTGATGTTTTGCTAACAGGCTCTTTCCATAGTGTGAACAAATTTTATGTGAAATCCATCAAAAAGAACTCATTTTTTTCTTGAAGTAAGTATGTTGTTAAACCAGTATCTTCACAGAAGTTGAACCACACTTGTATTAATTCTTCTTTCAAAGTACTCAAGGTTACATCTGTTAACCACTGTCTTTTAATAGCACAGATAAGTTTTAGCAACTGTTGTTTTAATATTGTCTACATTCCTTTTTTGTTTTGTTTTGTTTTGTTTAAACAACTTTAACTGAAATCAGTCCTACATAGCAAACAAACATTTAGTTAATGTAAACTAAAACCTTTTCATACAACTTGGTATTCTCAGGTTACTTATTTGAGCCATTTCCACCATCGTTAAATCTTCACAAGTTGCTTTTGTTTGCCTCATGAAAGTTCAATATGGATAAACACACAAAAAAATTCTTTGCGGTAACAGGTGAAGATTATAATAGCTCCATGTCTATATATGGAACATGATCACCTTAGCAAAGCCAGACAATCCAGCCTGAAGCTGTGGTGGCTCCACGTTTCTTTAGCGGGCAGTGGTAAAAAGAGTATTTAAGATCGGTAGCATTGTACCTTGATTTTCAAGTTGATGAATGATAGAAGACTTAGAAAATGGATAGAAAACAATTTTATATATTTCCATAGGTTAACTCAGCCTCTCATCTAAATATGTTGGGATTATTTTAGTTGCAAGGGGCAAAACGTTCAACCTGAACTAGCTTAAGTAAGAACAGCTTCAGGAATAGTTCGATCAAGGGTCAGTTGATGTCATCAGGATGTGGTTTTTGTCTTTTCATCTTGCAGCTACCCCTACTATGTTGGCTCCATTCTTCCCATTGCTGGCAAAATAGCTGCAGAGTCTTCTTCCTGTAGTTTCTGATAGTCTTGAGACTCATTCTGATGGGACATATTCCTATTCCTCTCAATCCTAGTTCTGTGACTAGAGAATCTAGTGGGCTGATTGGCTTAGACCTGGGTTGCATATTCCACCCCTGGCATTGGAGCTGGAGCCTCCTCAGACCACATGGGCTGTTTGGGGGAAGGGATGGGTGGGATTTGTCTGGAATAGGAGGACTGCCAAGGTGGCAAACAGTTGAAGTTTACCATAGTAGATTCATCGGAAGGAAAGTCAAGTTACTTGAGTATTTCTGATCTGAAAATCTGAAATCTGAGGTGCTCCAATATTCAAGGCTTTTTGAGCATAAACATGATGCTCAAAGGAAATGTTTATTGGAGCATTTCAGATTTTGGATTTGAAATGCTTGGCCAATAAGTATATAACACAAATATTCTAAAATCAGAAATACTTTTGGTCTCAAGCATTTCAGATAAGAGATATTCAGCTTGTACTAATATGATTGCTACTCTTGTTTTTAACCTATTGTCACCTGCCCTGAGTTGACAAGTGACAATTTGAATGGCTTTGTCGGTTTAATGTATGCCTCCATAATTAGTTTTATATATATAGGTTAAGATTATCACCAGCTCCTCCTGGCCCATGGGTAAGTTATTTTAATTTATTGTAATTTAAGAAACTTATAATTAATATTTCCTAATATATATTGGTGTTTTGCTTGTAATACCAGCCTTAAATAAAGACATTTAATAAAAACGTATTCAGTTTATGCCTTTCCCATCAAACATAGTACAGCCTGCTTTATAATTAGGATCTCAGTATTTGTTGTTGATTGACTTATAGTTTCCTCACATCTGACTAATAAATGTGTTTGAAAACCCCTCTCTGGCGTGAGCTGGGTTGTGTAAGAGAATTTCAGCTTTTTAATTGTTTTATTTTATTTTATTTTGACACAGAGACTCTTGCTCTGTTGCCCAGGCTGGAATGCAGTGGCACAATTATAGCTCACTGCAGCCTCAAACTCCTAGGCTCAGGGAATCCTCTTGCCTCAGCCTCCCAAGCAGCCAGGACGACCAGCACACACCACTGCCAATTTATTTTTAAAAATAAAAATAAATTGGCCAATTTATTATTAAAAATAAAAATAAATTGGCCAATTTATTAGTAGCTTGGCCAATTTATTTTTAATTGTTTTATTAGTAGCTTGGCCAATTTATTTTTAATTGTTTTGTAGAGACAGCATCTTGCAATGTTGCCCAGGCTGGGCTTAAACTCCTGGCCTCAAGAGATCCTCACGTCTCAGCCTGCCAATCTATTAGGATTATAGGCATGAACCAACACGTCTGGCCAGACCTCAGTTTTAAGACTACTCTTTTCTTAGCTTTGCAGATATGCTCTGGAGATGCCAGCTTACACTGGGAACTGGTTAGGCTGACCTTTCTCACCTTTTCTCATCCTATGGCCATCAAGTTACTGGAGGAGAATTAAGAGACGAAGTCATTGTCCTCGCTTGTCTATCACAAGGGTATTAAAACCACCATCTTCTCTTTATGGTCCACAGGTCGAGTTTGAGTGGCTGAGGCAGTTTTGGTTTCAAGGCAATCGATACAGAAAGTGCACTGACTGGTGGTGTCAACCCATGGCTCAACTGGAAGCACTGTGGAAGAAGATGGAGGGTGTGGTAAGTCCATCAGACCTGGGACCGTGTTTTCTGGGCTGCTGTGTTATACAAATCCTCCACTGCCTCATTTGCTTAGGCAAATGTAGATTTAATTATTCCTAATTATCAAGTTAGATTCTTCTTGGTAAGGTGATGGGTATAGCCAGGATTTTGTCAGTACAACCT
Source organism: Homo sapiens (assembly GCF_000001405.40). NCBI lineage: Eukaryota > Metazoa > Chordata > Mammalia > Primates > Hominidae > Homo > Homo sapiens. The sequence continues at coordinate 53,889,117 of NC_000016.10, forward strand.
CAGTTTAGTTCAATAAGCATTTATTGAGTATTTTCTCCTCATAGGGCATGTGCTGGACATATACTATGAAGTGGTGATAAGAGGATAACAATTCGAAAATAATATTTAACATTCATTTGCATTTTTATATGCATCAGGTGCTACTCTGTTTTCTCAGTATTAACTTTAAAAAATTTTTACAGCAATGCTAAGAGGTATAGAAACTTTTCCAGGCCTTAATTTGTGGATGTGAAAACTGAGGGGCAGGGAAATGAAGGGCCTCCCCCAGGGTCACTGAGTAAGTGGCACAGCAAGGTGGAAACTCAGGCAGGCTGGCTCCACAGCTTATGCTCTCAACCACTGTGTCCCAACAGTTGAACAAGGAGAGGGGCACGAATATCACCAGGTATGACATTAGCTAAATTGAAATCTGGTAATAGATGTGAAACGTTAAAAGAAAATCATAGTTCCAGAGGAGGGAGTATTACATTCAGACCACTTGAGCCGGCTGGGATGGTGGTGAAATGGCAGATGTGGTTTTTGGGGCCCTTGGATGCTGAGGAGTATGATGGGATGGGGGATCTGGGGAAGAACATTAGAATCCAGAAACTAAAAACAAGGCCAGAAGTCAGGTGTGACCAGAGCAAGTAGTGCAGATGATGTGGGAGGAAATGTAGCTGGAAGGCAGGTTGAAGCCACATGGAGGTCTTGCATTAAGTCTTAATTTAAATAATAGTAATAATAATAATAATAACAAACACTTACATAATACTTATTAAGTACCAGACATTATTCTAGGTGTTTTCTGTAAAACTTCTTTAACTTTTATGACAACCCACAACATAGGTGTAATATATTCCCCATTTTTCTAACGAGGAGACCAAAACACAAAGGGTTTGTGTAACTTCCTCGAGGTCACCCAGCTAATAGGTGAGGGAGCTGGAATCTGAACTCTAGAAGGCTGCCTCTGGGGTCCTTGCCCTTCACCACCTCACTGTTCTGCCTTCAAACAATTGGATTTGGAATGTAGTAGAAAAGTGGTAAAAGCCTGCAAACTCTGGAGATAGTACCTCTGCACAGAATTTGAAATGTACTGGAAACAATGAACTAATCTGCAAAAATGGATAGCTATTGCTAATCCCTATTTTATTTTTTTAAAGCCATTTTATTGGGGTATGATTGCCCTACAAAAAGCTGTACGTATTTAATGTGTACAACCTGAGTTTAGAGATACATGTACCTTCATGAAACCATCACAGCAGTCTATGCCATAAACCTATCCATCACCTCCAAAAGTTTTCTTCTGTCTTATTTATTATAATTATTATTATTGTGATAAGAACACTTAACATAGGATCTACCCTAATTCCTACTTTATAATAATGAAAATGTCAAGTCACAACTTTGAAGGCCCCAGTTTAAAAGTCTGGATCAGAATCCAAAAGTCCTTGCTTTCCAGACATCTCAAATCTTTAAATCATACCTTTTCATGGATATACGTCTGGGGAAGGAATGTTATAATCCTTTTAATGTATTAATAGTATCACAAAAATTGATTTCTCCAAAGACCTGAATCGATGCAAAACTGAGCATTGTGAAACTGAATTGGAGTTAATGAAAAGTCTGTGCCTAAATCTCCTTAGTCAGTTCTGTTCCTAAACTAAGCCTGTTATGAGTACTCTCCATTTTTATGGGCTGCTTATATAAAGGCAGCTTCAATTTCAGGGCAACATTTTTTCCCCCTACTGTGTAATTCTGATTTTGTCCATTTACATATGAGTTAGAACCTCTTAACTTGATGAACCTTGGCTCTAAGACATCAGCTTGACTTTGAAGTTGTAATTTGACAACTCTGTGAATTAGAGTTGAAGAGCAAATAAGAAAGGAGCTCTTATTGATTTTTTTTTTTTTTTGAGACGGAGTCTTGCTCTGTTGCCCAGGCTGGAGTGCGATGGCGCGATCTCAGCTCACTGCAACCTCCGCCTCCCGAGTTCAAGTGATTCTCCTGCCTCAGCCTCCCTAGTAGCTGGGATAACAGGGGCCCGCCACCATGCCTGGCTAATTTTGGTATTTTTTAGTAGAGATGGGGTTTCACCATGTTGGCCAGGCTGGTCTCCAACTCCTGACCTCAGGTGATCCACCTGCCTCAGCCTCCCAGAGTGTTGGGATTACAGGCGTGAACCACCATGCCTAGCCCTTGATTTTGTTTTTTAAAAACCAAATTAAAAAAAAATTGTTTTTGTTCAAGAGCTTTTTTTTTTTTATTTTTTTTAAGTAAAATCTGGCCCAGCATGGTGGCTAATGCCTGTCTTCTCAGCACTTTGGGAAGCCAAGTTGGGAGGATTGCTTGATCCCAGGAGTTTGAGACTAGCCTGGGCAACATAGTGAGACTTTGTCTCTACTAAATTAAAAAAAATTATCCATGTGTGGTGGTGCATGTCTATGGTCTGAGCTACTTGGGAAGCTGAGGTGGGAGGATCATTGGAGCCCAGGAGTTCAAGGCTACAGTGAGCTGTGATCGCGTTACTGCACTCTAGCCTGGGTGACAGAGTGAGACCTTGTCTCACGTACACACACACAAATAAAAAATAAAATATTTGGTATTGTGAGCTTACAAGTGATATTCATTATGAATTCATTTAAGGAATTTAGTTATATCTATGTAAATTTGTGTATAAATAATTTGAAGGTGGTGGCACATGCGTTAAGAGGAAATATCTGTTATTTGTTTTGTCGCTCTTGTATAAAAAATACTAAAAGGAAAAGCAATTCTGCGAACTCTCTGGTGCTGGTTTCCCAGAAGTTGGCGTGTCATTTCTAAGTGTTCTGAGGGAGATCAGTGGCCTCAGTGTCTCTCCTCAGCGTGTCTTGGGATGATCTTTATCAGCAGAGTGAAGATTTAGGTCCAGATAAAAGGGATGTTTCTTCCAAATTAAATGTAAGCATTGCTTCAAGCCTTTTACAGTGACTTTTTACAAATTCATAGTGATTTCTTTTTTCTATTGGACAAGACAGAACAGAATAATTGTTGGATGAATCTACGGTTCTGTGGTTCTGTTCGTTTAGTACCATCTGGTATTTGTATACTCGGGTGGAATTGGCAGTGGCTGGTTAGATTTCTACTTGGTACCAGCCCACCTCATATTTTCTCAGTTGCAAGCAGTAGGGGGCAATGTTGAGCTACCAGATTGAGGCCCCAAGATGTTAGCCTTTCAGGAAAACGCATACAAAAATACCATTAACTGTCAAGAATTATCCCTGTTGCTTCAAGTTAGCTGTAATCTCCAAGATTCCATAGCACAGGATATCAGTTGTGGGTTAACAAATTCAACAGCAATTTAACATAAAAAGTACAGTGTTTGGTGCACATTTGGATTCTATAGCATTAGACTAATCCAAATGGAATTTCTGAGTGTCCTCACTTTGCTTCCAGGGACTATCTTACTCAAAATTATTATCATTTTAGACAAATGATTCTTTTTTATCTTTATACTTTTTTTTGAATTGTAAAATCGTGCGTGTTGTGGAAGGATTTCTTTAAATCAATGCATTTTGTCTGTTCTGCAAAATAACATCGATCTCTTTTGCTGAGAAAATAAAAAACCTCAGGGAATATGTGCATTACTTTTCCCCTTTTGCTTATGAGTAAAGCAACCTTTATCGGCCCTCGTACCAGGGAAGAGACTTGCGCTGTGATTTCTGTCTTTGTGCTCTTTTTTCACTTTGTGGCTGCAAGGTGTAGTCTCAGGAAGGATATAGAAGAATGGAAAATGAGCTTTGAAATCGCTTTTCTTCCATTAATGGTAATTGCTTCACATGTCATAACCAGTCACATATTTCAAAAAGTTTAGTCAGCTGTCTCTAAAACTCCCCCATCCTCCACTTCCCATTTCCTGTCCCAGAAAACACCATTTTTATCACACTGTTTATTCTTGCCATTTTTTCTCCCAGCGGATAGTTTTACTCCATCCATGCTCTTGTGATGTAAATGTTAAACCTTATATTTGAATGACATTCTGATAAAATATCACATTTTCCCTGAATATTACCTCATGAATTTATGAGCCATTAAGCCCAAAGCAACATAACCCTTTCTTATAACCCAGGAATTTAGTCTGGCCTTTCCCCTCCTCTTTGCTCCCTATTGAGGATGGCATTATAACACTATAATACTATTCAAATATTTGTTTTTTATTTTAATTTTTTTAAAACCCGATGCACTTCCTACCCCCACCGCCCCTGCCATCCAAGATGATTGTATTATGAGAAGACTCTTCAGGATAAGAGAGAGTTACCATTTGAAAGAAACTGTACAGCTGCTTTGCTTTCTGGGTAAAGAGAAATATGAAAAGCTGAAGTCTCCTGTGAGGTGGGCAAGTCTTGCTGTAGCCAGAGATTCAATGGATAGGCCATTTGTCTCTCAGGGTCTGGTATCGCTCTTTGCAAAACTGACATTTATTTTACCTATAAAAATGTTTTAACACTATCAAATTCACAATGATACAGAAAAGAATGCTAGGTGCGAAATCCTCTAAATTGATGACATTTATTCATTTCCTATTGACCTTAAAAAAAAAAAAGGTCAATTTGGTATAATCCAGTGGAAATATTCGACAATCGTTTCCAGAGTAAACATTTTCGAAAGTAGTGATGATTTCGATACTGGAGAGAAATTCTTCTTGCTGTTTTCCTTGGTTTTTTCTTTTAGAATAAAAAGTAGATCCTGATGGTTTTGAATGTTTTGAATTGCGTTTCCTGTTCTGACAATTCCTTGTGCTGTTATAGCAATGCATTTATATGGCAGTTGGCCTTAATAACCTTTATTGACTTTAGTGGGTAGGAGCCAAGACTGGATTATTTTAATGTATCCGTTTGGAAACAGTGTAAAACACAACATATAATTATGTTAGGTAAGCTATAGGCTACATTTAATTCTATCCATTTATGTTAAAATTTGGCACAGGAGAGCAGAGACATGTGGAAAATGAGTAGGTGTTTTATTTAATAATGTAACCAGTTTCTTGTTGTTAAAGTTTTAAGAGAGAAATGTACTTAAGAAGGTAAAGGTTGTGCCTGACAAGTTAGTTATAATAGTTTAATTTTAAGATGAGTCATGCCTTTTCCCCTGCTATTTTGGCCTATGTAAATCATCTGGGAAGGCCCTTGCCAGGAGCCTGCCCATGGCTGTGTGGATGAGTCTTCCTCAGCATAGGTTACACTTCATGTAGTTTACATAGTCATAGGGAATGACTGAGCCGAGCAGTAGTTTGTTTATTTTTGGAGAGATTAATGAAGTTCTCATCACAGTGCTTTAGATTAAATTCTTTAAAACTGAATACAGGAACAAGGCTGCTTTTTCATTTACTGAAATTTTTACTGAGTATACTGGTATTTGCTATTGTATTATAGTTCAATTAGCTAAGTTTATTTTAAACTTCCTTCTAGGATTGAAGATTTTTGGGGATGTGCAGAAGAAAGTGATGGAAATATAAATATCGAATTTTTTTGTTTGCATTAATGGGAAAGTCACCAATTTTTGTGTGTGTGTGTGTGTATAATTTTTTTCACCCTTCTTTTCAGTGTTAATGTGCACATTAAGTTACATCAGCCAACATAATCCAGTCTCCCATTTTTCAGGGTTAGCATTTCTGATTTAAGAGCAGAGTATATTATAGTAATTTAGGATCAGATGTGAGATGTCTAGTGGTTTTAAATTAAAATGTAAATTCTCTTTTTTGACTGGGGCAGTGCTGAGTGACTCAAGATAAGCACAGATTAGAGGTGGATAAAGAGTCATAAGCATCCAAAAATTCAGTTTCTGAAACTGGTGTGCAGGCACTGAGTTTTAGGACCTTTACGTTTAGCTTTGAAAATCTGGAAAAACGAAAAAGTCACTTGCAGCTGGAGCAGCTTAAAATCTTTGGTTTAAATCTTTGGTTTTTGGTTATCTTAAAGGTGTTCAGGGAAGCTCGGTTCTTTCCATTCTCCTTCCTACCCACCCACTCTAATTCCCCACCCACTCCAATTCCCCACAGCTATATTGTTCTATTAAAAGTAAAACATCTGGGGAGAAATTTTACATGTAATTTAGCAGTGAATTTCTTATAAGTTTTTATTCCTTTTTTGATTATCTTATGAATTTCAGAGTTTTCCATTTTTTTCCCTGAGTGTCTGTACCTTTAGTAAGGAATTTTACAAGAAAGTGTTGTGTATCCTGTCTTTTTGGGAAAAAAGAATATACAATTCCAAGAGAATTCAGGCTTAAGCCTCAAAAACACAGTGTGCTTCGAAAGCACAAAGGACTGTGTTTATGATTCTCTTTGAAGTGTTTTTGCAACTGGATAAGGAAAATTTTAGAAACCGTCTGATAGTGTTCAGGGTAAATACTTAAACCCCTTTAGAGAATTTCACACACAGATACTGTGCAGCAGAAAAAAGGGATACTTATGTTTCTTAAAGCTGCTACAGCCTACAGCTTTGTACTTAAAGACAGAGGTGTTGAATAGAATTCTACTGAGGATACATCCAGTGACAGTATCTCCAGGAACATCAGAGCAAACCAGTGGGTAGGACTTTCTGTTTTTAACCCTTACATGAGCTGTGTGAGAGTTGAGCTTTACTGGTACCAAGTCCTAGGATGTGCCTGGTACATCTCAGGAATGTTAAGAGGATCGTTCCTAGTGCCTCTGCTCTGCACACAATAGGAACAACACTAAAAATGCTGAAGATGCTGAGACAAAGTGACAGGAGCTAGGAAATTCCAAGTGACAGCCTTGCCATCTCTCTTAACTCTTAGTGTGTGGAGAGAAAAACTGGAGTAAACAGCCAGGGTTTGTGTTTTAACCTTGTTTCTGTAGGATTTGGCTAAATTTTGACAACCTTCGTTAAATATACACACGCACATGTGCACACACACACATACACACATTTCACACATTCTATATGTAAAGAAAAAAAAGATGAATTCTGCTGCTTTAAATAGTTTTAACCACCCTGAAATTCAAATTGATGTAAAGGTGTGAAGATCCTGCTATTTTCCCTGGGGTGCTATTTTAGCCTTGGCTGCTAGAATTCATTTTGGATTGCTTTGACTAGCAGACTATCATAGCATTTCAGATATGAATTAAGAAACCCTGGTGCAAGATTGGAATGTCAGAAATTTCTCTTTTTCCTGGAAAAGATATAACATAAAACAAATTATGTAACTTATTTCATCTAGGGTTTTTTTTTTTTTGTGGGGAGCATGGTAGAGGGATTAAATTCAGCTCTAGTCTGTTATTTACTTTATTATAATTACCTCTGAAATATCCTAGAAGAATCTCAGTCTAGAAGAATGAAGTAGTGTACAAAATAATAATAATAATCACCAGACCTACAGATTTGAAAGGAAAACAAGATTTCCAAAGGATGTCGTGCCATTTATTTGGAATATTATCAAGATGTTAGAATCTTTTTCCCCCAAGTTGGTTAATGAATAATCACTAAAACTGTTGCCTCTTGAAAAATATTGTTATGATGATCCAATGAGAAAGTTTGTAAAATATAAAACATACATAAATGCAAGGTATCACCAGTATTGATTTTAAAAGGAAGCGTGGAGAGTCTTCAACTGAGGAATCCTTACTTCGAGGCCGGTTGACCGAGTCTTCCTTATTGACAGCATCCCTTTCCTTTCCTAATTTTCCTTCCTCTGGAGCTGGGGTTCAGTCCAGGAGCTAAAGGGACTCACAACAATTTGGAACTCAGCGCTCCTCTTGCAATGCGTCTATCCACTGTGGGTTAAATACTTTGAGAGGCTGGGCTGGGAATCTTTCCATATTGTACAGAAATGTCTCTATGGAGAAATGTACTCCCAGTGCCAAAAAATGACTTACAGAGAGCCCCGGGAACACATTAAGTTGGCCCTTCCGTGCCTTATGGTAACATAACCACCATCCTGCTCCCTCCTCATTGACATCTGCAAAATAATGACCCTTTTTTAACCAAAGGGAACTGTGATCTATTTTTTTTCTGTATTCCTGAAAGGATCTCTGTGATTATTTGTAGATGATATTTTTAATAGCATGTTTTCCCTAACAAGTTAAATGTGATTGACATTTTTTTTTGCATTTTCTTTGCATGATCTCAGTCCATCTGGAACCACCTGTGACAGTCTCAATTGTAAATTTTTCCTTCATATGTATAAAAATCTCAGGCAGATCATCTCCTACTTGTTTCTTTTAATACCGCTCAATAAATCTCCTACTTGTTTTTGATTGACAAAATTAGCTTTCAACTAAAAATCTGGAGTCTTCGGGCACTATTCATAATTAAATTTTAATGTTTTAGACATATCTGCATAGCCATATCTGCATTGGTTATAAAGACTTAGAGCTGGTGGTAGCTTGAGCATATATAGCCCTCTTATTAAATATTATTAATTGAAATGACAAATTATGAAATATCCAGAATTATGCGTCAGATGTTCTTTAACAGATGTTGGGGGATTAAGAGGTTTCAAATTTTACTTGATGACATAAACTTTTCATGCAGTTAGCAGTGACATTTTTTAAAGGATGGGAGTGGTGGCATATACCAATGCTTGTAATACATTAATATGTTCTTGATACTGAAGTCTCATGTCCTGGATACCTGAACATTGTTTGGGAAGGGTGGGCAGTATTCAGCCATCCAGTAATAAATATCTCAAAGGTACCAAATCCAAAACCCAAGTTTTGATTTCTGTAGTCCCTAGTGTTTCACAGTTCAGTAATTTGAACTGTCCAGTTGCCCAGACTAAAACCTTGGAGTCTTCTTGATGTATCTCTTGATTTATCAGTGAATCCAGTTAGCTCTACTTTCAAAATATACTCATGACCTGACTACCCTTCACTACCTCCTGTGCTACCACCTTGGTAAAAACTACCATCGTTTATAAAATAGCCTCTCAACCAGCTTTCCTGCTTCTACTACCCTATGTCCATCCCAGTCAGAATGTTCCTTTGAGATACAAGTCAGGTCGTCGTTTCACTCCCCTGTTTCAAACCTACTATCATGTTTAGAAATCCACCTTCCTTGCAGTGGCCTAATGCCCTGCAGGATCTGTCCATTCCTCGACCTCCATCAGTGCTCCCCCTCTTTCCCTCCCCTAATGTCTGCCTTACTATGTCTAGAACATGCCCAGCCCACTCTTGCCCAGGATTTTTGCATGTGCCGCTGCCTTTGTCTGGAATGTCTGTCCTTCTGTAATTTACATGACTCTCTCCCTCATTTCATTCAGATCTCTGCTCATGTCACTTTCTTGGAGAGAGTTGCTCTGACCAAGCACTCTCTCATTGTAGCAGGGCCTTACTCTTTTCTACTGTACTCTTAACACTTTCCACCAACTGCAATTATCCTATATATCCATTTGTTGTCTGCCTCTACCTGAAATAATCTCCATGAGGGCAGCAGGGACTTGGTCTGTTTTAGTCACTCTTATTTCCCCAGCCTCTAGAACAGCATCTACTGCATAGGAGGTACTCGACACATGTTTGTTAAAAGAAAGAGTTCACGTGAGGTCTGTGTTCTAGTCCTGCCTTTTCCTCCCACCCATGTTGATCAGTGTGGCCTTAAATCTTTTTTTGGGACGGTCTTACTCTGTTGCCTAGGCTAGAGTACAGTGGTGTGATCATAGCTCACTGTAGCCTCAAACTCCTGGGCTCAAGTGATTTGCCCACCTCAGCCTCCTGAGTTGCTGGAACTACAAGCCATCATGCCTGACTAATTTATTTTTATTTTTGCAGAGACAGGTTCTTGCTGTGTTGACCAGGCTGGTCTTGAACTCCTGGCCTTAAGTCATCCTCTCACCTTGGCCTCACAGAGTGCTGGGATTACAGGTGTGAATAACAGCACCTGGCCAATAAATTCTTTTTAACTTTATACATTTTCCTAAAATATTACCTCTTATTACCTGCTTCACAGGAATATTTTTGGGTTAGTTTTATTCTTAAACAAACATAACTCTCACAATAATACCCCAAAACGTCTTTAACTTCTTTTTAAAAACAAAATAATACTGAGGGCACAGAGGACAGTCTTGTTTTATGCCTCTGGCATTTATAGCTGAGAAGATTGAGCAATCACAGGCAAACAACTTATGCAAATATGGAAAATCTTTTTTTTTTTTTAATGAGAGGCTTAAGTAGGTTATTAGTTTCCCAGAGTACCAGTGTTGCTAAAAGTTAGAATCATAGTGTTTTGTCTTATTTGTGATCATCCTTCATATTTTAGATTTCCCTCTTCTGGAAAAACTTAGTAAATTGTCACAAAATTAAATGACTTCTCCAACAAAGCTTGGACTTTCTTGTTACAAATTTTCAAAATTATATAGAGAAAGCAGCATGGACTGGACAGGTTTTGGGCACAGGACTAGGGAAGTCCCTGAGGAGTAAACTGACTTCCTCTAGACAAGCTGAAAACTGATTAAAATATTTATCATCCTTTGGGTATGCAATAGCTTTTGATGATGGAAGGCATATTAATATTCATCTTTGCTGCTTGTCTACACTTCAGACAGATCCCAGGAAAGGATGTTCAGATGACCAGTTTTCTTTCCTCACCAGGAGTCCTTGAGAAACCAGTACAGCTTGGAACCAAGAAATGCCTTGTGATGTGGATTGAGCTTTTCCTTTGGGGGACGGGAATAGGGGAATACAAACCAGGGGAGACCTTTGGACTGGAAAGCTTTAAAGGATGACTGCTTTCACACAGGAAGTCTTTTGCTAGAACAAAGGAAAAAGTTTGGTTGTAATTCTATAAGCAGCAGAACTATTATTGCTTATCTGAATACATGAAGCTGACTTCATTCCTTAGGTAAAGTCGGAAGATTGAAGCCTTATAAAAGATTTTGATGTGAATGCCACTGGGGGCTGAAGATTTTTCTTCCTCCCCACCAACCCACCCCACCACTTTGTTGTAGGAGAGAAATCAGTTGTGTTTGTAGCCGATGCTCAGGTCTTCTGACTGGTTCTAGAGTGCCCCATCTCCCTTTTGTCCTGAGACAGAATTCGAATGCATATGGCATCCACATAGCCTGGCATAAGTAGCACAGGGTGGCCTTCTGGGATTCTCAGGATCTGTCTTTTAATTTTTTTTTCTTTAATGTGAGAAAGAGTCTGGCTTTATTAGTTGAGTTAATTAAGCAGTGTTGTTTTTTGTCTAGGTTGAAATAGCCTTGATTACATTTTTGGATGCAAATAAGACCTCTGAAAGAACTCGATCTTTATATGAGCAGTCTGAAAAATCTGAAAGTTAAATAGAATATTCTCAAAAAAAGGGCAATGTGTTAAGACTCTTGGTTTCCGTCTTTTAAATCTGAAAATTCAGAATCCTCTTCTCTTGCATTTCAGTTTTTATTATTCCACACTACTGAGATATTTTGATGAAAGCTAGCCTTAAACATTGGATAATAATTATATTTGAAATCTATTTTAATATAGTGACATCAGAAGTGCTCTTTCTTCATCCCAGTCATTTAATCATTCATCTGCTCCTTTTTTTTTTTTTTTTTTTTTTTTTTTGCAGATAAGTGTGGAGTTATACAAAGAGCTAGGACTTATGTCTCCCAGGTTGATAAGGCACAAGGCAGTAAGTAATTCAGAGGAAGAAAAAGGAGAAGAGCAGATTCTGACAGAGGCCTTTGGGAATACGAAGGATTTTGATAGATGGAGATGGGTGGAGAATATTCAAAGATGGCAGAAGCAGGGCCATCGCAGTGGGAAAACACAGACCTGCTCGCAAACTTGATTAGACTGGATGGAGTTTGGTTTGTGTGAGTCCAGCAGCTAGAGATAAGATTAGGAAGATTAGCAAGGACCTTTTTTTCTCTAATGCATTTCTTTGCAAGGTATGGCACTTTCACCCCTTAATGACTGGCTTCCTATCAAAGTCATGGGAAGCAAAGTGCTAAACATGTGCAACTAAAAATAAAATGAAAACCGTTTGATTATCTTGCACTTGCAAAGGTTTTACTTTGAAAGCAAGTCAAATTCAGTTATTTGCACTACTTTCAAGACCTGTCTGCTTTGTGAGTACAGCAAACAAGCAACACCATACATTTTTAGAATGAGAATTACAAATGAGATTAGGTAATTTTTCTACCAAGATTCTTTGTTTTTCTCTGATAAATTGAATACCAGCTTAATAATTTTGGACTTTGGTCAGAAGCAGGTCTTCCCATGTATGAACCACTTATGATTCTCTTCCTTGTTAGGAACCCTAAGTGTATTTCATTTGATCTTTTGCTATTAGAGTTGTGGTTTGGAAGAAATGACATCTTCATTGCCTCTTGTCCAGGTGACAGTCTTGTGAACTCAATACTTGCATAAAAATTATTTTGAAATAAAGCCAAAGTGTCATTCATGAGCTATTTGATTTGGTTCAAGAGAGTGGATGTGGTCTTCTCTCACTTCCACTGCTGAAATAGAGTGGTTTCTTTCCCACACATACCTCTCCACTCCTTGGCTAACAGTCCCACATTAGTGATTGTGCACTCTCTGCTGTCTCTATTTGCCATTGCACTTCAGCTTGTCAGTCACACCAATTGAAAGACTGAGTAAATGTTCAGAACGTAAATGGCCGTTGTTCACTCTGGTCTTTCCCACCTTTGCACATAAATTTCTGCTAGACCCTCATGTTTTCCCTCTCTATGTGATGCTGTTATTTTCCAATGACTGGTTTTATTACTTCTAAGGCACAAGATGTTAATTGTTGAGTGAGTAATAACTCTCAGTTTGTTCTTCAAACGTGGGCTTCTGAAAGATTGCCTTTACTTTGATTCTGCTTAGGAATCTAGGGTCTTGGGGTAAATTTAGAGGCCACTATTCTCCTTAAATGATAGTGACATAGAGAAATGATACTATGGGACTACTGTTTCATTTTACCAAAGAAACTGAAGAAAGTCACACCAGAGGGTCATTGCTCCCCTAGAGAACAAATGGGCTTCAGGCTTTTTAGAATGCCTTCTTCTTTGATATCTCATTATTGCTCATAATGCCAGAGAAACAGGTAACGTCGGCATAGTGATATTGGGCATTGCTTAATTTCTTTCAAGGCCTGAAACATTTATCCTCTCTTCTTTATATATTAGGTATTCACCCTAATGGTACTCAAACTGCTAGGCTCTGACAAGCTGAGGTCCAAGTGCCATGGCATTCAGGAATGTCAATGTTGGAAGGGACCTGAGAGGTGATCATCTTCTCTTCCTTTTTGGAAAGGAAGGACTCAGAAGGATGTAGGCTTTTCTGGAGGGCATAGAGCCAGATAATATAGAACCCCAGATTTCCCAGTTCCCAGTTCAGTGCTTTCTACTACTCCCTAAATATCCATGGCTGTGCTTGGGATATTTCTCTGATGCATTCGCCAACTTTCAACGGTGTGCCAATAGCAAAATAAGATAAACTGAGTGTTTCTCTGGAACTTTTTCTCTACCCTGTGTTTGGACCTGGCATATCAAAATGAGGCTCTCTGGTGTTGAGATGGACACTGTTTTTGCTCACCCAGCATTCATTCCTCCTTCTCTGGCAGCATCCTCATGTTGCCTTGTGGAGCCATTTTCTTCATTGGCTAGAGGGTGAGGTGCATTGTCTTATTCTGGCTACTCCATGAGCATATGACCTGAGCCAGATCTTTCACATGAGCTTTCTCAGAGCTGTTTGCTTATAAATATACATACAATATCATAGACACAGGATGCAGAATTCAAAAGTTATCAACGTGGCCGGGCATGGTGGCTCATTCCTGTAATTCTAGCTCTTAGAGAGACTGAGGGGCGAGGATCACTTCAGACTAAGAGTTCAAGACCAGCAACATAGCAAGACCTTGCCTCTACAAAAAATGCAAAAGACTTAGCCAGGCGTAGTGGCACATGCCCGTAGTTCCAGCTACTCGGGAGGGTGGGGCAGGAGGATCACTTGAGTCTAGGAGTTGGAGGTTACAGTGAGCTGTGGTAGCACCACTGTGCTCTAGCCTGGGTGACAGAGTGAGACCCTGTCTCTTACAAAATAAAAATAAAAACAAAGTTATAAAAGCCTATGCTGTGAAAAGTGTGTTTCTGTCCCCTCAATCCTCCAGCCACTCATTCCCTTCCCAAGAGGCTAGCACTATTCTTAGTTCTTTCCATACCTTTCTAGGGATATTCTAGTTTTTTTTTTTTTTTTCCTTGAGACGGAGTCTTCCTCTGTTGCCCAGGCTGGAGTGCAATGGTGCAATCTAGGCTCATTGCAACCTTTGCCTCCTGGGTCCAAGCGATTCTCCTGCCTCAGCCTCCCGAGTCGCTGGGATTCCAGGTGCTCGCCACCACACCAAGCTAATTTTTGTATTTTTAGTAGAGACAGGGTTTTGTTATGTTGGCTAGACTAGTCTCAAACTCCTGACCTCAAGTGATCTGGCCGCCTCAGCCTCCCAAAGTGCTGGGATTACAGGCGTGAGCCACTGTGCCCAGCTAAGATATTCTATGTAGTTACAAACGTTTATGTGTTTTTTCCCCACATGGATAACACTATGTCTTAGAGATTGTTCCAAATTTGTATGTTCTTTTAAATTACTGTGTAGCTTTTTATTGTATGGTTCCATAACTTATGTAACCAGACTTCTACTGTCTTTAGTCTTCTGCTTTTACAAATAATATTGTAGTGAGTATCCTAATACATAACGTTTTTCACAAGTGAGATCTATGGTAATTAATACCTAGGAGTAAAATTGTTGGATCAAAGGATGTGTGCATTTTTAATTTTAAGAGAGATGGTCAAATGCCTTCCATAGAGTTTGTAGCAGAGTTTATATGTGTGTGTGTGTAAATGTGTGTATTTGTAGATATATATACTATCTATATGTATGTATGTAGAGTTTATATACATATATAAATGTGTATATTTACATATAGATTAGTTTATTTACATATATAAACATAGACAATATACATATATGTTATCTATATACATGTGTATATGTATCTATATTTACATATAGATATATGTATATACATATACATATATGTACATGTGTACATATGTGTCCATATAATGCCAGTTTCCCAACATCCTCACCAGTGCAGTGTATCATCAGACTTTTTTGCAAGAATGATTGGTGAAAAATGGTGCCCCATTTCCATTTGCATTTCTCTCATTCCTGTTTTACTGAGAAAGAAACTAAGGCTCAGATGTATGAAAAGATTTGTCAGGTCATAGGAGTAGGGAGCAACAGAGCTGGGGTTTGCACTGAGGTGGGAGCAACTGTTCTCTTAATTGCTATAATAATCTTTACCCAGGCTCCATTCTGTTACTGCAACTGAAGAATCCCAATACATATAGCGGTTCCCATGAGGAACACCCATCTGTCCTTGACTGGTAAATGTGGGAAGGTTGTTCTCTTTCACCATGGACTTGTGCGTCAAATCAACTGATCAGTCTGGGTGATGGGTGCGGTTAGCGTGACATGCAGTGATGTTATTACGTGGTGGAACTGAGTTCCACACGGGATGTAGGTGGCCCTTTATGTACCCTGCTGAGTTCTAGGCCTTTGTGCTATAACTATTTTTGGCAATGGAAGGTGAAGGGAGGGCTCCCCATCCCTGGAAACATGGCACTTTGCCTGATTTTCTGTTTAAAGTTATGTTCCTGTTGGAATCTGTTCAGGTCTGAGTTTCAGTTGTCACCTTCTGATATGATGAGCCTCCTTGGCCTCTCCTGCTCGCCTCGTTCTTCCTCCACCTGTCAGTCTTCATTAGGATCATTTAAACACTGACTCATTCTCTGCTCTGGGCCTTTTCCTGCTTGGCTATGGAACTGCAGGTTGAAGCCTTTACCTTGCACACATAGTTTGTTAGGTAAGAGTTTTATTTCAAGAAGACTTTGCGGGGAACTGTGATGACTGGGGAGTGGTTAGAACAATATTTTCTAATAAAGACAAGGACGAAAAGAGATCTCAGCAGGGGAGGAGAGCTTTCTTTGACCCCTTACTATATTTGAGTGGGTGGACACTAATTCTCAGGAGTTGGGGGCCTTACTAGACCACATCTCTTGCTGTGTTATCTCATGCTATGTTGTAAAGTGAGCATCTGTTGCTGGCTGTATGACCCATGTGATCAGCCACTCCATCACCTTTGAAGTGGTCAGGCTTAGATATTCTTGGGTTAAGAGCTTTAGCTTTCAAGTTAATCAAACTGGGGTTTGGGCCCTGACTTCATCATTTTGTTGTGTATGACAGTGGCAGTCATATGGAGAGTCTCAAGTTTCTTCATTTGTAAAATGGGGATAATAATAGTATCTCCCTTAGCAGATGGTTGTGAGATTTGCCTGAGATAATACATGTAGTGTTTTGTCCATTGCCTGGCATCTTTTGCATTTTTGCTTTGAATCTACTTCTTTTATTCCTCCCGCCATCCTGCTAATTTGGTGACCCCTTAACTTTCACCTGAGTTCCTGTTGCTCCTTAGACTCTCATCTTAGGTTTGTGCATATGTATAATCCATGCTTTCCATTCAGTTCTCTGTTCAAAAGTCACCTCACAGTGGCCCTTTCTCTTTTTACCATGTTTTATTTTTTTCCTGAGAGTATTTATCACTGTCCGAAATTATGTTTTATGTGTTCACCTATTACCTGTGCTATTCTATAAGCACCTTGAGAGCAGGGACTCTGTCTCACATACTGCTGTGTTCTTGGTGCCTGAAACAAAGTCATAACACAACACATATTGGATGAACAAGTGAAGAAGCAAATGTTTCATGGGTGTACGCTCTCTCTGAGGTGCACCCTTTTATGCTAGTGGTGCTTTGTTTGTGATATTTGTTGAATGCCTTGCTCTTCCTTCTTTTTGGCGTAATCCATTTGAAAAACTCCCTTATTTTAAAAGATTCAATAATTATCCATTACTAACTGCAGAAATCTTATCTTTTTCACCTTCTCTGGAATGTAATTTCTCTGCATTAGACTCTGTCAACATTAGCATCTATATCAAAGACACTTCATGCAACTTTTTAAAGACATAAGCACCAGCTCCAGGCATCGGGGTTCAGTAGCCATAGCTCTCGATCTTGGCTGCATATTTGAAACACCTAGGACAATTTTTAAAATTTTTCATCAGTTAGGTCCCACCTCCAGAGATACAGATTTAATTGGTCTAAGCTGTGGGTCCCATGTGATTCTAATGTTTCACCAAGTTGCAGTATGGTTCAAAACCTCCCAAGTAATCCTGACATGTGTTTAGGGTTGATAATTACTGTTCAACAGGCACCTGACTTCTCACCAAGTTAGATTTGATTGAACGGACGAATATATGAACAGATTAGCGAATGAACAGGAAGGCTCCCTCACTTTAAACGAACAGAGAGGTATTGAGTGCCTGCTGTGTTTCCTTCATTCTGTGGGGGACTCGGGAGGGAAACAGCTATGTTTATGATTCTTATGTAAGGTGGAAGATGATGTTGATAACTATAGTAGAAACAGACTATGAAAGCTTGGAAGATGGTAGGATACATTTAGGTGGATCCGATTTCAAAGCTTCACAGTGAAGCATTTTGAGTTGATTCTTATAGAATGGAGAGAATTTTAACAGGAGGATGGACATGAGAAAAGAGTGGCTATTTCCTATGGAGAGAATAACGTGTAGAGTGGTAGAAGCAGGAAGATGCAGGTTATATAAGGCTTCTAAAGTGGACCAGTGGCTGTCCGTTCCCCCAAACTAGCCCCCTTCTAGAGTTCCCTAACTGAAGAAGCAGCACCACTCCACATCCAGGTCTTCATGCCAGAAGGAGAGGAATCCTTCTTGAAACTTCCCTCTCTCCACCCCAGGTACCCTGTGGGAGAACTCTTACCTTTGAAATACCTCTCAAAGTTGTCTGCTTTTCATCTCTCCTGCTACCAGCCTTCCTCTGGGCTATTGCAGTAGCTTACTCTATGGTCTCCTATACTCTTCACACAGCAGCCAGGGTAATATTATCATATGCAAATCTAATCATACTCCTCTCTGTGTAAACTCATTAATGGGTTCCACTTGCTCTTAGGATAAAGACTAAAATATAGATGCTCCTCAACTTACGATGGGTCTGTGTCCTGATATACCCATTGAAAGTTGAAAATATTGTTAAGTTGAAATTGCATTCAATATACCTAACCTACCCAACATCATAGATTAGCCTAGAGTGACTTAAACATGCTCAGAACGCATTAGCCTACCCTTGGCAAGATCATCTAAGACACAGCCTATTTTATAATAAAGTGTTGGATATCTCATGTAATTTATTGAATACAGTACACTGTAGAGTACAGTATTGGTGGTTTGCCCTCATGGTAGCTTGGCTGACGGGGAGCACAAACTCTCTGCCACAGCCCAGCATCGTGAGAGAGTATGGGACTGTGTGTCGCTAACCTGGCCAATGATAGAAATGCAAAATTCAAAGTATGGTTTCTACTGTGTGCATATAGCTTTTGCACCCTAGTAAAGTTGAAAAATTGTAAGTCAGACAAACCATCATAAGTCAAACTGTCATAAGTCAGGGACTGTCTGTCCTTTATCCTCAGCCCATCTTTTCCTCCTCACCTTTCCTCCAACCCCTTCACTCCCTGTATTCCTACCACAATGGCCCTTTCTCAATCAGTCTAATCACATCATGCTCCCTTCTTCTTCAGGGCCTTTGCACACGTCATTTGTTCTTCCTGGAATGTCTTCTCTCACCAAGAGAGGAATATATTTCTACTCACTTTTAAGATACCAGCTCAATTACTCCTTCCTCAGTCCAGACTCCCTTGATCTGTCTGACTAGATCAGGTCCCTGCACTATACTTTACCATTACTCTCATGAAAGCCATGCTTGAGAGCTCAAGCTTTATTCTGGAGGCACTGAGATTCTATGGCAGATAGAGTTTGAGAGTACTTACCTGTTTCGTGAAGGTCCAGTGCTGCTAGAGACATTAAAGTTGCTGAAGTGGTTTTTGGTCATATAATTTGTGAATCTTATTAACCATCCCTTGACAAAGAACTGAGAATTGTTGATCATATTGTAAAATAGAATGTAAATGGCCATGCAGTTTCTTTGTATAGATTCTCCAAATTATTGGAATATGAGCCAATTCCATGGGATTAATTTAGGTCCTATTATCTGCAATAAGACATCCCTTGTCAGATTTTCGTTGTCAGGGGCAAGTCTAAAATGTCCAACCATTGCATGCAAACTCGTAGTAAAGCCATTGTCTAGTTATTAACAAATGATGAGCAGGTGAGTGAATTGACAGGAATTATTCTTTTGGGATGTTGCCTCTGGCAGAACCTCAGTTATGGCCTCTGTCATTCTCCCTTCCTAATTTCATTATCTTCCAAATATTATTGACCTCAGATGTTAAGAAAGGTCCAGGTTCCTGGGGGTCGGCACATCGTTCCTTCTTTTGCCAGATATAAGAAACTTTGGGGACCTTGGCTACCAGCCTTTTCCTGTCAGGAAGGTCTGGTGCCATCCTCTTTGATATTGCCCTGTGCCTGTCTAGGTTGGCAGTCTTGTGACAAATCAGTACCTGTCATGGCCCGTGGGTACTTTGGCACTTCAGAGCCATGCAGAATGTGGACAGTGGGTTTGGAATTGTCATTGAGATGCCACTTTCTTATTCTTCTTGTGTTGGTGCCTAGAGTCACAATCCGGCCTGAAGGGCCAGGAGGTTTTCTGGCCCAGGGTAGATCCCCCTTGGCCCACGTACAAGAATCTTCATGCTGACTGAGTTGGAATCTCCTGGTGAGAAGTGATTTGTTGTCCTGATGAGAATGTAAACACTTGCTAAAGTTGAGTATCGTTTCTCATGTGAGTTCTATTATAGCCTTCTGTGTTTATAAACATGTCTTGAGCATGAGGGAGAAATGTGGTAACCTTTGAGTCCCCAAGAAAATGTTCATTTGTTTTCTCTGTGGGCTGAAATTAAGATAACTCAGCATCCTTCTCTGAGCATCCCATATCCCTCTTGCTTTTCCTAGCAGGCCTGGGATGATGCCCAGTTTGCCATTTCCTAATTGTTCCATCCTCTTCCAGTAGAGTCTGTTATCTTTTGAAAAAGTACAGTTCATATTCAGCAGGCATCTACCAGCGGGGCTCAAAGTCCAGGGAAGTCCTCAGTCCAGTCTAACAAACTGTTATTAAATTTTTTTAAAGGTTTAAGGTGTCGAACATTTGAGAAAACAGAGTTGCTGCCCTTGTGCTGCTCACATGTGTGTTAGCACATGTAACAGACATATACATGAATAAGGCATGATGTGCAGTGGCAAATGAGGGGGTAGAAAATACATGTTCTGAGGGTGCTGCAGAGAACAGAAGTCAGATTCAGAAAACTGGGCAAGACTTTATGGAAGAGGAGTGCCTTTCAATTGTGCCTTGAAAGGTGAATTAGATTTTAACAGGCAGAGATTTGGTGGGTGAAAAAGAGGGACAGAGAGCCCCGCCTTTTTTTTTTTTTTTTTTTTTTTTTTTTTTGAGACAGAGCCTTTTTTTTGAGACAGAGTCTCACTCTGTCACCCAGGCTGGAGTGCAGTGGTGCAATCATGGCTCACTGCAGCCTCCGCCTCCCAGGTTCAAGCGATTCTTCTGCCTCAGCTTCCCAAGTAGCTGGGATTACAGGTGCCCGCCACCACGCTCGGCTAATTTTTGTATTTTTGGTAGAGACAGGGTTTCACCATGTTGGCCAGGCTGGTCTCGAACTCCTGACCTCAGGTGATCCGCCCGCATTGGCTTTCCAGAGTGCTGGGATTACAGGTGTGAGCCACCACGCCCAGCTGAGAGCCTCTTTTTTTAAACAATTTTTTTTAAGGGACAGGATCTTGCTCTGTCATTTAGACTAGAGTACAGTGGTATAATCATAGCTTACTGCAGCCTCGAACTCCTGGGCTCAAGCGCTCCTCCTGCCTCAGCCTCCCAAATAGCTGGAAGTATAGCTCTACCACCACACAGTCTAGCTACTATGCCCGGCTAATTTATTATTTGTGGAGATGGGGTCTCACTTTGTTCCCCAGGTTGGGACGGAGCCCATTTTAGACAGTACAAACAATAGGCACAAGAGGGATGGCTCTGTAACGTTAGTAGGGCATATTTGCAGAAAAGTATGTGGTGCCTTGTAACCAGTACTTCCGGTACCTAGGTGGGGTAGAACTAGAGAACAAGTAGAGGGGGGAGAATGGGGCCAGCTGATGAAGAGCTTTGAATGATACACTTAGAAATTTGGCCTTTGTTCTGGAGACAGTGGTTGGAGCTGGATTCAAAGATTTTTGAGTAGGAAAGTGATCCAATCGACCCATTCTTCAAAATTAGAACTGGTAGCAGCATTGTGGATAGACTAGAGAGGAGAGGCTGGAGGCATGGGGACCTGCTGCAAAAATTTTGCTGCAAAATTATGAGGTTCTGAACCAGGGCAATAATTGGAGGGAATTAAAAGGGGTGGTAAATTCAGAGTTTTTGTTGATTGTTAGTTTGAGACTCAGTCTTACTGTGTCACTTAGGCTGGAGTGCAGTGGTGTGATCTCTGCTCACTGCAACCTCCGCCTCCCAGGTTCAAGTAATCCTCCTGCCTCAGCCTCCCAAGTAGTGGTATTACAGATGCGCACCACCATGCTTGGCTAATTTTCGTAATTTTAGTAGAGACGAGGTTTCGCCATGTTGGCCAGGCTAGTGTCAAACTCCTGACCTCAGGGGATCCGCCTGCCTCGACGTCCCAAAGTGCTGGGATTACAGGTGTGAGCCACTGCACCCAGCCTGTTTTGTTTTTAGATAGGTACATAGAATTCACCATCAGTCTGGATGACAGAGCTGAGAGATGATGAAGTCACAGGCAATTTTACAAGATTTCTTCTAGTCTTAGTTATTAGATGGATGGTGATACCATTTACTGAGCTACACCCAAGAAGGAAGTTTAGGGGCAAATGAGTTTGAGCAGCCGGTATACCGAACATCTCAGAAGAGCTGAAAATACCAGTTTGGAACTTGGTAGAGACGTCAGAGCCAAGCGTAGATTTGGGAGTTTGATTTATGTCTGCAGTAGGCATTCCTTTCATGCCTATCATGTGCCAGGCAGTGTTCTCTCATATGTTAACTCAGGCTTGAAAGCACTTAGCACATGGCAGGCATCTCCACAGAGACAGTGGCTGAGCGATTGGAGTGAGTAAGAGAGAATGTAGTTTCAAGAGTAAAGGAGAACAAAGTAGGGTGACCTAGTCTGAAGGACAGGCGCAGAACAGTCAGTGGAACAGCCAGAGATAGCAGCGAGAGAGGTGAGAAGAGGACCAGGAGTAGGTGGTAGAATGGAGTGGAGGAAAGTCAGCGAATGTAATAGTGTCGAACCCTGCAGGGAAGTTAAGAAGTGGCCATACCGTTGCATTCATCATGGGAAGAATTTCAGTAGAATGGTAAGGACAGGAGGACAAGGTGGGGGAAGATAGGTGAATCTATAGATGCATTTGTGTCATCTGATCTGAGGAGACATTTCTCAGAAACCATTCTGTGTGGCACTGATGTTTACAGGTCAACCTGGAGGTTCCTGAGAGGAAGTGCACTGTAGCCAGACATGTGGTATCCCAGCTAGCTTTACTCTGTTCTCCAGAAATCAGCCTGTAAACATTCAGTTGCCTGGTAGCTGACTAAATACAGGCTAACCTAAAGCCTTAAACATTTTAATTTGCAAAACCTTTGTTGTATTAAATCACAAATGGGAGGCAATTTAGCAATGCATCTCTAAAATTGCACTGGGCTCTGGCCGTGGTTTTGCAATTTATGTTGAAAACGAAAATTGAACTCTGTGGCATAAAAACAGATTGTTGATTTTGTGATTAATTTGGTCTCTAAGGCCAAGGAAACTGTTAATGCTGTATATCAGTTATAAAGTTGTGGTAGTATTTGTGGAGCAAAATGAAAAATCAATATCGTAACTACAGGATAGCTCTTTTAAAATCCAAGGTGCATTTTGTTGCAAATTGCATGGAAGAAACTGTCCCCCAAAGGGACAAACATACCTTCCTTATTTCACAAGTGTGTGTCTGTTGTGGAAAAACAGAGGAAAATGGTTGGGCATTATTACAGTATAGCTGGGGGTACTAGGAGAAGGATCAAATTGTTCAATTTAGAGTAAAACCTCACTTACAGTTACCTGTGTCCTAAGGCAACCTCCAGGAGTAATCTCTAGGAGGGTTGTGAGTCAGAAGTCCAGATACCTGGGTAACACTTTAGCCTCTGCTAATCACTTGCTGGTATCAGATGAGCCTCTTCCCCTCCCTGGCGTGTTTTGTGGTTTTATGTGTTAACTTCAGAGATGCACTGACATGCGTCAGTGAAAAAGGAGTGTCTTCCATTAGCATCATTATGAATACTACACCAAAGGGGTTTGTTTATGTTTTCCATTCCTAGAAGTGAATAGACTTCTTTTCTATTAAGCTTGTGTATTTAGAGAGGAGTGTGGGGAAATTCTTTCTTGTTTTGCCTTTTGTTTTGATAAAAGCAAATGGTTCCCACTCGCCGTAGAATCATCATCAACAGATTGCATGGGGAATGTTGAGGTTGGAGCCTCTTCTTAATGGGGATTTTGAGAACCAGGACATGACTTGTTCACCGGTTCATTTCTGCTGGCCATGATGCTTAGATGAGAAGTAGATCTCTCAACATCCAGGCACATTTGTTCTGCGATTCCACCTACCATTTTCCTGGGTAGTGCTGGGATTAATTAAGTCTGATACGCCATCCAGTTGAAATTTACTACCAGCTTCTTAGCCTAGTATATATTATCCTTACAAGTCAGGCCTCACCTTGAGGTCAGAAGAAGATGCAGCTTGTTCAAGAAAGAAGTGTTAGTGGAAATACGAAGAGTTCCTTCCAGTGAACTGTGCCTCAAGTGGCCTTTGTAAACTGCTTCTGTTCTGTGTGACTTATAATTATCTGAGAGCTGGGGGTTTTGTGGTAGATTTTCTTTGATGTATGGGCAGTGGTGGTAATTTGTTTCTTTCTTCCCCCTTCTATTTTGCTTTGCCTCATTTCAACTTAAGCAATGAATTGTGTGGTCTTTTATAATATAGAGATTAGTGTAGCCATTTTTAGCCAGTTTTTATCATCTCCCTTAGGAGCTGACTCTATGCAAAAGAAACACTTCTGTCTTGTCAGAATGACGGTGATTACCCCACAGTTTGGATCATCTCCAGCAGCTTTGTTCCCTGAAAAGCGAATTTGATTTGATGAATAAAAGTTTGGTGTATTTGATGAGTCAGAGGGCAGGAGAATGTCCTTGTCTCTGATGAGGCTCTTACAGTCAGACACATTGAACATCAGGGATAAAATAAACCTTAATCTCTGAAGGAAAAACCCTGGAGCATGAAACTGTTCCCACTAGAAATGCTGTAAATCTTGCAAACCATGTAGGTTTTCTGTTGGGGGCAACATCAAAGCCCAGTGACTTTAGAGATTAAAGTGTATTTGACAAGCAAAACTTTCCCTGTGCCTTGCTCTTTATGAGATTTGGCCTGTCTCTTGCCTTTGTTTCACCTCGCTATGACTTCCTTTCTTCCTGAGAAGTAGGAAGTATCACCTCAAGTCTGGGGTAGGCGGCCATGGTTTGTTCATTTAAAGCCACTCGTAGACCTGGCGCAGTGGCTCATGCCTGTAATCCTAGCACTTTGGGAGTCTGAGGTGGGTGGATCACCTGAGGTCAGGAGTTCAAGACCAGCTTGGCCAACATGGTGAAACCCTATCTCTACTAAAAATACAAAAATTAGCTGGGTGTGGTGGCGCATGCCTGTAATCCCAGCTACCCAGGAGGCTGAGGCAGGAGAATTGCTGGAACCCTGGGGGCGGAGGCTGCTGTGAGCCGAGACCACACCACTGCACTCCGGCTTGGGCGGCAGAGTGAGGCTCTGTCTCAAAAAAAGAAAAAAAAAAAAAAAAGCTGGTCATAGGCCCTGGCCACAGTCCCTCGGCCTTCTCGCATTGTCCTGCCCCAGTGGAGGACAGCGTCTTCTCACGATCACTTCCCAGGGACTCTCTTATTTGTGGAAGAGTTTCAGAGCCTTTTGCTGACTCGAAGAAGATCAAAAGACAGGAAGACAGTGGTTTGCCTCAGCTTGGACTTTAGCATTTCTGTTTCTTTTAAAACCATCTCCTGTGATGTCTTAGAAGAAATACTTCTTCTTTCTTTCTTTTTTCTTTTTTTTTTTGTCCTGTTTCAAATTCTGTTTCGGAGTTCTCAGTGCTTTCTCTTTCACACATTGGAAATAAATGACTGCATTTTTGTTGAAATAATTTTTTTTTTGCAGATAAATAATTGTTTAACAGAATAGAAACTTTTCTTCAGTAACGTCTTTTTTTGGAAAGTAAGTTACAAGATTTTGCTTTAAAAATACAAACTATTTTTAAAGAATTGTACTCTCTAAAGTCAAACATTCCTGCCTCCTGTCAAGTCCCTATAAGATCTGGTCTGTGGCAACTTCTCAGGGTGGTCAGATAGCAAGAGGAGGACAGATTGGGAAGGCAAAATGGCTTTAAGGGTAAACCCCACAGCGTAAAATCTCATTACTGGAAAAGCGCTTTGTGTTTAAGGATAGGTATTCCCGTGTGGAAGGACGGCCATGGCGAATGCTTAAGGGACTCACTAAAATATCTTAAATTGTCTCCGTTAAACATGTAGCATCCTTAGAGGTCAGACAGAGCTGAAACTTGAACAGCTGTACAACAAGCATCTGAGATTGTTTTTAATTGTGTTTCCTTTCTCTAACAGCAGTAATTCTTGTTTATATTGTCAAGAACCTTTCCACTGAGCACAAGCGCACCATACTTGAAGGTCAAATGCTTAACCCTTCTGCATGGTTACAATGAAAATGGACCCTTTTGTTTTCATTAATGTATACCCCAGCCATGTCTACAGGGAGAATGGGGGCCCCAAGCGTTCACCAAGCTGAAGCAACTTATTGTAAAAGAGCCACAAAGAGAGCATATTTTTGTTTCCATACAACAGTTGTTTAGCTTTTGCCTTGTGCACCCAACCATAAGACGGTATGCTTACTTATCAATGGGCAGAATTTTGGGGGACCATTTTGTTCCTTTGACCTGTGTTACTTTTTACTGACCCAACCAAATTGCTTAAAAATTTTCCCTTTCTGCTGTCAGTGTTTAAAGCTGCTTAATGTCTCTGAAGTGATCCCTTCTTTCTTTTTAACACTTTACATTCCTGTTTATCACAGCACCTGTTACTATAGTGAACCATGAAATCACAAATGCTATGCAGCTCTTATTGACCAATAATACTTTATTAAATATAAATAGAGTATCCTCCCAGCTTCTGTATGGTGTATAAAGGTCTCAGTATATGAAGACAAATGCACATATGTCCATAGGTGCACATGTATTGTTTGGTGGGCAACAATCGGGAAAGGAGGATGTTTTATTTATTTGTCAGGCAAGAAATGTTTCTTTTTCTGCTCCTTAAGAGTTAACCAAAACTAAAGGGGCCAGTTCAGCAAACACTAAATGTGAGCCTCCAACATGAAGGCATCTTTGTTACTGAAACAAAAATACCACAGCAGGTGGTAGACTCGAACACAGGAGGGAGGAGGAGGTTCAGTTGTTGCCCATTTTTCTAATCCTTTCAGAATACCCATTGTCTGAACCCCAAAGTTAACATGTTCCTGCTCAGTCTCATGGAGACAATTTCAGCGTGAAAGGGCTGTGCCCATCACTGGTTTTCGACAACAGTTTAATCTTTGGGTATGGAATGTGTAACCACTCAACAAGGCAGGAGAGGCAATTGTCTGTCTGAGATGAGCCAATAATATCTGCTTATCAAAGCATAAAACTATTCTGGATGTGGCAAGTCAGAGTTAAGTAGGAATTCATGCCAACCGCAGCAGTAGTTTGCAGGTTTTAGACTGTATTAATCAAGACAGAAACATGACTTTTGTTGTCCTTGGGGCAGCTCAAAGCAACTTTGTGGCAACCACACTGGCTTTCTAAAGCTAAGGCTAAACTCTGCACAGTCTGCATCTATTTATATCAAGGTGCTTCAGTGGGGATATAGCTTTTAAAATGGATTCATAATTGAAGTTGGAATATTGTTTTCATTCCCTAAAACTGAATGAAATGTAGTTTATAACTCTGGACCTCAGAGTGCCCTACCTAAGTGGGAGGCATTAAAAGATGAGTTAAGGGGCAAAGGCGGGCTAGCAGACTGATGCCTATTACTGCTTATGATGAAGGGTACCACTATCCGGTTCATATGCTTGGGTCTCTCTGTGTTCTCATTGAGCCATCCACAATCGTTTCTTTTATTCTAAATCACCGTTGGAATGATATAAGAAAATGAATGCAGTATAATGAGAATTAAAAAAATAAATTTGTAAGAAGTATAGAGTTGGAAATCTTGTTCCTATAAACGTAAGACACAAATTCTAATGAGCTTATAGATGGTCCGTAAATCACGTTTTGCTCATGTGAACATTGAACATTGGGTATTCTTTCCTAACCAGAGAGAAGCTACGATTCTGCTGCCTATGCCACACTTTAGATGGAATGATGGCCTCTTTTAGTGGCACTAAATGTATACACAGAGCACTAAACATATACACAGAGCAGTATCTGCAAACTTAAGGACTTGTGTGATCTTCTGGATAATACTAGCACTCAGAAGTTAACATTTCATCTGACGCATTCCTTTCATATGTAGTATTCATAAATGTGAAAATAGCCTTAAATCATTATTTTCACCCTTGACCTGGGACACTATAGCTAGGGAGAATCTCTGGGATATCTGGAGGGGAGCTAAGGCTCATCAACTATTTGGTGGTTGTCTTTCTGAGTTTAAAAAATGATGCTGTTTACTGTGACCTCAGGTGTCTGTCTGTGTGTCCAAGTGAGACTGTAGTCGGGGAGAGTCCCTGATTGGAGTCTCAGTCACCAGAAGTCCAGTCACCACTTCTTCCACCAGTGGAGACTGTCTGTGAACCCTAGTCTGTCAGTGAAACCATGGTCAAGGGCGTAGCATCATTAACCCCAATTCTGCCAGCCATCCTTACTCTGCTACCCCATGAGAATCTGGGCCACTCATTGAACACTCCAAGCCTGGATTCCTTCACTTGGAAAATGAGTTTGCTGAAGATACCAACCTGCCGTGTCAGTTTGTTAAAGGGAATACATGAGATGCTGCATTCCTGCCTCACAGAAAGTTCCTTATAGTTTGTCATTTCATAGTTTAGGAGGTAAGAGAGTGAACTCTACTACCCACTGGGTTTAACTCTTGTCCCCACTACTTATCAGCTCTGTGATCTGAGGCAAGTTACTTAATATCTTTGTGCTTTGATTTTCTTTTCTGTAAGCTGGGATAATAATAAAACCGATTTCACTGAATTGTTATAAGGATTTAAATTGGGGTTACATGAAAAGTGATTAGGACAGGGCTTGGCACACGGTAAGTGTAAAATAAGTAATAGTTATTGTTATGTTTTTGTTATTGTTGTTGACACATTTCTGATTATGTGTTTTAGGTAGTCATTGTGATGGGTTTTTTTTTCATGGCTACTATTAATATGTTAATAAATGCACTGATATTTCCAGTTAATAGGTCCTGAATTCCTATTTGAGAGCCATACCACAAAATTGAGTGAGTGTGTGTGTGTGTGTGTGTGTGTGTGTGTGTGTCCATCTGTCCATCCGTCGTCCATCTCCTCTGGGTAAATATGTGCCGAGTAGCAGGTAGTTCTGACATTGAAGACTCTGTAGACAGTGGCGTTTAGGCAGGGACTGCATTTGTCTTAGGTAGATATTATCTAAGGACAAGTACAGCAACTCTGCCCGTGTGATTTTCACTGAATTATCCTTTTCTACCAGATTGTTATTTTATTTAAGTTTTAATCGTTACAATGTCAGTAGCATGAGCTTAGTGAGACATAGCTTTGACCTCAGGAATCTTAAGAAAAATAAGATTATTCTTATCTTAATAATAATAGAAAAATAAGTTTATTAAGAGTGGGCCGGGTTTGTGGTGATATTTGTTAGTTATATCTTTGTTCCTACAGGTCTACATTTTAGTTCCATTGTCTCAAAATGAAAAGATAATAGCACAGTCATGTGTTGCTTAATGATGGGGATATTTTCCGGGAAATGTCTCATTAGGTGATGTTGTTGTTGTGTGAACATCATAGAGTGTACTTACACAAACCTAGAAGGTAGAGCCTACTACACACCTAGGCTATATGGTGTAGTCTGTTGCCCCCAGGCTATAAACCTGTACAGCATGTTACTGTACTGCACACTGTAGGCAACTGTGACACAATGATAAGTATTTGTGTATCTAGAGATATCGAAACATAGAAAAGGCAGAGTAAAAATATGGCATGATAATCTTATGAGACCACTGTCATATATGTGATCTGTCATTGACTGGAACATCATTATATGACACACAACTCTATTTAGCGAATCAGTATTAAATGATAACATGAAGATTATGATAGGCAAGGAACAGGACATTCTAGTAGAGCAGAGTAACTATTTTATAAATCAAAATCAACCCTAAAAGCTTAATCAAATTTAACAGTTATTTTATGTCCCCCTTGGTCATCCTCCACCCTGTGTATATGTTGTATTTCCCAGCATAGATTGTAAGCTCCTAGTGGCCAGGTATTGTGACCTTCTGGATGTCTTCTGTATAGCAGAGACTCAAATGTCATTGATTGGTTTATCACATGGCAGTTTACCTTCAGTATGTTCCATTCCATATGTTCTGTATAAACCGTGCTGGGCCTGGAGTTAGAACACCTGGTTTCTAGTCTGAGCTCAACTTCTTTACAAACTTTGATATTAAAGAGTTACTTAATTTAGCTAAGCCTCAGTTTCCTTGTCTATAAAAATGTGATTAATACTTGCTCTACCCAACACACATAGTTAGTATGAGGATCAAATGAGATGAAGTTAATGAAAGCACTTTCCGAACTTTGTCAGTTTACGTATATGTTAGTTTTGGGCACAGGCGCCTGATGTCTGGGTTAGATTTGGCTCTGTTGCTTACTAATGATATAAAATTTGACAAATTACTTAACCTTTCTGAGTCTCAGTTTTTTCATTTGCAAAATGGAAATGATAATACCTTTATCTTATAGACTTATTTTTAGGATTCAGTAACATAGTATATGTGAGCAGCACCTGGCATATAGAAAGCACCCAATAATGTTGGCTGCTGTATCATTATCATCATTATCATGAGTCAGAAAGTGTCGAGGTTAAGAGATATCAGCTTACCTGATATCAGTGCACTCTGCTACCCCATGAGACCCTGGGGTAAGACTGAATAGGGGTTGGAAAACAGTGTGGAGATGCCTTAAAGAACTAAAGGTAGAACTACCATTTGATCCAGCAGTCCCACTACTGGGTGTCTACCCAAAGGAAAAGAATTCATTATACAAAAAAAGATACTTTCACATGCATGTTTATAGCAGCACAATTTACAATTGCAGCAATACGGAACCAGTCCAAATGCCCATCAGCCAACAAGCGGATAAAGAAATTGTGGTATATGTATATATGTATACCAAATGGAATACTATTCAGCCATAAAAAGAAACAAAATAATGGCATTCACAGCAACCTGGATGGAATTGGAGACCATTGTTCTAACTGAAGTAACTCAGGAATGGAAAACCAACCATCGCATGTTCTCACTCGTAAGTGGGAGCTAAGCTGTGAGGAGGCAAAGGCATAAGAATGATACAATGGACTTTGGGGACTTGGGGAAAAGGGTGGGAAGGAGGTGAGGGATAAAAGACTACACATTGGGTACAGTGTACACTGCTCAGGTGATGAGTGCACCAAAATCTCAGGAATCACCACTAAAGAATTTATTCATGTAACCAAACACCACCTGTTTCCCAAAACCTACTGAAATAATAATAATTTTAAAAAGACTAAATGGGGGAAAGAGAGGAATAAAGAAAGGCTTCATTTTTATGACTCATTTTAGTAGATTTAATGTGACTCTGACTGGCTGGTACTTTAGATTTATCCTAAATCTCAGTAGCAAAATTCTAGGGAGAAAAAGGAGCTAACACTTACAGACTGGCTGCCATGTGTCAGGTACTATGGTAAGGGCCTTATGTGTAAAAACTAAATCCTGTGAGCTCTCTGAAGTAGCTGCTATAAATATCCTCATTTTACACATGAGGAAACTGAGGTCCAGAGAGGATAAGTAACTTGCCTGTGGCCAGCTTGGTCGCTAAGTTGGCCTTCAGGGCCTTGGTTCTTCCTTCCTGTGCTAAAGTCCTCAAG
The DNA here is from genome assembly GCF_000001405.40 of Homo sapiens. NCBI lineage: Eukaryota > Metazoa > Chordata > Mammalia > Primates > Hominidae > Homo > Homo sapiens. Next base: position 53,920,366 of record NC_000016.10, read on the forward strand.
TACAAGGGAGACCTCCTGAATCACCAAAAATAATTTTTTCTTCATTGCAGCCAAAAGCAGAGAAGTTTATGCATCAGCTTTGCTCTAATTTGAGTTTTTGTACTGTCCAGATCGCAGCCTACATAGGGCACATATAAAGTGTAGAATTTGTGTGTGTGTATATATAATTTTCCCAAATCTTTCATTTTTAGCTATACATTTCTCTCATGTTCCAAAATGCTGTCTGCTTAATGTTCCAAAGCATCTCCAACTCCATGTGTCTAGTATGGAACGCGTCCCTTGTGACTTTGCAGTGGCAGGGGTTGGCATGAGGGATATACTGTCTTTGTGCCTCAGTTTTTTCATCTTTAAAATGGAGATGCTTGATATATGGTGATTGCTGGATGAAGTGAGATAATGTTGATGGAATGGTTGTTGGCATGGCAGGTCGTAAGCACTAAATAAACATAGCTGTTGTTCTTATTGCCACTCTGGGGGGACCAGTTCTCTAGGCCTGGGGGCAGTAGTAAGGTCTCAGTAGGACCTTCTGGCTTCACTCTCCTGAGCAGATAAAATTTCCACTAGGGCTTTGGTTTGGGTATTGCTGAAAGAGGAGTTGGGTGGGTAGGTGGGTGGGGGTAGATATATACAAAGGAGTGAATTATAACAAAGAGCCTTTTCTGCTTCAATTCTTGTGTAGAAAACATATGTTCAGTGATGCAGGCAGCAGTTGGGTTAAAGACACACTGTAGGGCCGCAGACAAAAGGCCTGTGCCCTTCCTGCATTCACAATGTTTCCAAACATATTCACTTGTCTCACTTGTTAGGGACTGAGCTGTCAGCTGGATCCTCTTGCAAGTGTGATTTCTTTTTCCCGTCCCCTTTCAAAGGCCATCCCTCCCTTCCCCTCTCCCCCAGTGTTTTACACTTCATATAATCCAGTGTGCCCGACAGACCACTTCAGCCTTTGTGCTGCTGATGTTTAGGGGAAGGAGAGAATTGATCTGATGGAGATCTTGGGTAACTTTTCACTTGTCCAAGGATCGGAAAGTGCTAAGCCACTTTTAGGCCAAACATCATCAGTGGCTCAATTATTTCGTACTTGGTATAGTTAGCCGTTCTTCACCTTCAATTAACAGTTAGGACAACGAACAGATTAGTGCAGTGGAATTCTTAGAAGTAGCGTCTGGGAATTAGGGGCATGTGTGTGTTGTGGTGGGGTTGGGAGAGTTCTTGCTTTTATTTATAAAGTTAATAGTTTTTGATAAAAAGATAAAGATAAGGCAAGGCACCGTGGAAGTATTTGGAGAGAAGTCAGCTGTCATTCTAGTATTAATTATGTGAAATGTACAGGTATGTCCATGTTTAATTCTAGATTCAGGTAGTATTGCTATGTGCCATGGCTGCAGTTTGAGCATTTTCATTTTCTTTATTGAAGGTTTTGTGGCTCTGATGGTTTTATTTTCATCAGTGAGACTTTAAAAAGATATATTTATGTATATTACTTTTTGTGATATATATATATAGCATAACAGTATTAGGTATAATACTTTTATGTATAATCTACCAACACTACTATTGAGGTAACAGCGAGCTAGAGATTTAAAGAATTAGCATGCTAAGTACTTCCATCACTGATTACTCTTGGGCATTTCACCCTCCCAAAATGGACAAGTGAAAATCTGCAAAATGGGAATTACATGATCATCATACTTTATAAAGCGTACCATAGTAAAATAAAAACAGTTTTATCGATGATGGTCAACAACAACAATTTTCTTGTCTTTGTAGAGATCTTGGATTGTGTCTTCATTCCCATATCATTGAGTCAGTTTTAATGCTCTCATTTCCTTTTTTTCCCCAAGAGTTTTGCTCTTGCTTTCTGTTTCATGCTATTGTTTATTAGTTGGGTTGCTCATCCTGAAAAGCAGCAGCATATCCCAAGGAAGGAGAGGCAGTAGGCAGGCAGAGAATTTCCCATTGGCTTAAAGCTGTAAATGGGTTGTTAGCTCATTTTAGCAGTGGAGCAATTATAATCCTGCTAATGAATACGCAGGCAAGTGGAGTTTCCCATATATGGTGTCTTCTGGTGTGAGGATAATTTCAACACCTAAAAATCCACAGACAAAAAAAAATGTCATATAAGTATTTTTTAACAGAAAATGCCAACAAAGTCATCCTCCCAATACGTGTCAGAACCGACAAAGGAAACTACTGATGGTGTTATAACTTTTAGTACTGTCATCTGAAAAATCCTTGAAAGGAAAACACTGTGGTAACGCATACATATTCCCCTCAGACTGAAAGTAACAGCCTGCAAAGATCTTAGTAGTGGGTGAAGCTAATAGACTGCAAGTTGGGATGAATTGCACCTAAGGTGGCACCTTTCTCTTGTGCCTGGAGTGGAATGTCACCCAGAACCAACAGTAGAACAACTGGGAAATAAGTTGATATTCTTTCCAACATCGAATGGATTCATTTCACAGAGTTGGGGAGGAAGTGAGGGTAATAAGAGTGTGTTTCTGAGGCTCTTCCTTCCAGCAGATAGGTTTTGTTTTCTTGGTTGTAAAAGAGGCTAATGCTTCAGAAGCTAGAGTGATTCCTGGACTCTCTTGGTAAGACTAATTATGCTGTTTCCTGCTCCCGTCTGTGAATCAGCTTTGTTACATAGAATGCACGTAATAGTGACGAAGAGTAGACTCTACTGAAGCAAACCAATCTATTAGGCTGCTTGGAAAACAGAGGGAGAAAGAAGAACAATGATTTTGTAAACTCCATAAAGGCCAAAAAAAGGCTTTCAGTAAGTATGCAGAGACTAGAAATCAAATCCCATTTCCTATCATAAGAAGCCTGTTGTTTCAGCCGTAGTAGTTAATGTACTGTATGTGAAAGATTTAAGACTGGTTGGAAAGCTCTGCTTCTGTTTTATTAGGCTGCTATTGAAAAGCCAACAGCATAACTTCGACTAGGTGCTTTGAGATTTCTTAATGGGCTGTCAGGGGCAAGACACCAGGGCTGTGCTATACTAGCTCTTTCCTGTACATTAAAACAACAGGGGCCAAACGATCACATACAGAAGTATGAATTACTTGATGCTTTCTCTGTTCCATATGGCCAGCCATGTCTTTGGCAATTAATCATGTACAAAATCAGTCGAGTGCTCTCTGAAGCATTGAAGTCAACATTTAGTTGTACCTGTGCCAGTAGGGGCAGTGGGGTTGCAGGCGTAAAATAGCAGGATGAGGGGCTGCTGGCGCCAAGGCCCAAGCAGCTGGCTTCTATAAACAACACTTTTTTTTCCTCTTTACCTTTCTCCCCCACTTTTTCTTTCTTTCTATTTTTTTTTTTCTTTCCTTGACAAGTACATGGGGCTGTTTTTCACCATCATCTGAAACACCAGCGTTGCCAACTGGAGCTCTGAGGTCTAGCTTTCGTACATTGCCCCAGCATCCGAGCTTAAACGTATGGGGCAGGCCATCTTTTCCCACAGCAGCCTGAACATTCCAGCGGTCGCCCACATGACTGTCCCCGAGAGTTTCTGCAGTGGCAGGCAGGCTGCTGTGGCTCCATGGCTTTTTGTCAAACAGAGGAGGCAGAGTGATTTCTCTACTCGTAGAAGGAGAGAGATGGGAGATATGGTGTAAGTGCTTTGGGGAAAAAACAAAAATAAGTAGTCATTCATAGTCATGGCTGTGATATTTTAGGATTTTGGGTTTTGTAAATCAATATCCATATCTTTTCTTCTGTGATATTTCCCCCAAGACTTCATACACATAATGCTGCTGCCAATAGTCCTAATACCAATTTCTAACATTTATCAAGCATTTTGTGTATGCTGAGCACTGTGCTAAGCACTTTACATGGATTATTTCATTTACTCTTCACAAGAGCTTCACGAGTTCGGTGCTATTACTTATACCCCTTTATGGATGAGGAAACTGATCAAAGAAACATTTTCCCTGAATTCTTTCCTCATAGACATTCTTGATTACTCTCAGCTAGCCCCCTTAGCTCAATAGTACATGATGGAAAAACACTAAAATATGTCTTACTGGCACATTTTTGAGGAGTCATGTGGTGAACTCTGCGGAGATGTTCAGTCAAATAAAGTGGGTCTTTGAGATGAACTGAACCAAGTGTGTCTTTAAGGTGGGAATGAAAGCCTGCTTTGTTGGCAGCCTCTTGAAGACTTCTGCCTTTGTGCCTTCCTTTCAAGACAGTGGAGTTTATCTCCTGCTTTCCTGGGTGAGTAGACTATGAAGGGCGGGGGAGGGGAAGGAAGGATGAAGACAGCAGCCTTAAGTAGTCCAGTAGACGTGGCACCCAGTGGTGACTTGGTGTTATCTCTTAGCCGAGGTCATCCAGGATGCGTTTTCTCAAATTCAGGAAACAGGGGAAAGAAAGTTTTAACATTGTGTAAACATTGGCACCCCCAAAACCTCCTCCGGGAGATAAGGTAGGCAGAAGGGCTGGGAGGAATGTTTATTTGTTCTGCCACGCTGTGGATCCAAGCATGCTGGAAATCTTTGGTGGTGCCCAGTCCAGTTTAGAAAATGTGAAGGCATCACTCAGCATTGAGCCAAAGAGGCCTCACAAAAGAGCCATCTTAAACTGACAATCACTAAATGAAGGAAGACCTGAGATCGACCTTTCTTTGATGGGACTAAGGCTATCTCAGTGGGTTCTGTGCCTTTCTTCTTTTTTTTCTTTCTTTCTTTTTTTTGTAAAAAAAAAAAAAAAAGGAAGGAGAGAAAAAAAGTGTTCCTGGACTTTTGAAGAGGGGAGCCCTGGTTGGGGCTTTTGACAGCCTGTGGCAATGTTGATGTGAGGAAATAGCTTTCCCAGCTGATAACATCTTAAACCAAGTTTCTTCACAAGTTGAACCTTTAGCCCTCATTATCAGTCAGAGCATATCTTTGTAATTTGTGTGTGCAGAGGGGAAATACAGCCCTAACATGAGACAGCTATGTATATAAAAAGTGTTGGGGGTGACATTTTTCCCGTAATGACAGTATTACTTCTGTGGTGGTAGTGAGGATGGGTAGATGGGGAGGTCAGAAAGGTACGCAGTTCTGGGATCCTGGTGTTTAAATGCCTTTTGAAATTGCAAGAACAGTAGTAGATTTTTTTTTTAATGAACTCTGAAGAGGGATTACCAGCCATATTTGTAGAATGCCATCCTGTTTCCATGCATTTCCTTAGACAACATTCTTTGATTTGTAAGACGGAGAGATTAAGTCTGAGTTTTGGGGTTACAGGCCTATCAGAAGCCGTTGCATCATATCAGAGAGGAACCAAAAGGATTAAAGACTTGTATAGAATTATTAGTAAAGAGTAAATGGTGTAAGTCTCCTTTTAAATTTCAGAGTGGTTCCTCTCTGAAAACCCTACATGCAACAAATTCTGCTATGATACAGTGGAATTAGGACATACTGAAAGTTACTGACTGTAGCAATATGCCCCACAAGAATTAGGTGAATTGCTGAGTTTTAATTGAATCCGTTCAGAATTGGGAGACTTTTTCCAAGAAAGACAGGAAACTTAAGCATAAAATTCAAGGCTCCTTAGAGTTCTTGGCTTTTCTTTTCTAATTTGCATTCAGTCTCTCTCTCTGTCTCTCTCTGGCTGTGGATTTTTTGCTTTGGTTTTATACATGAAGTTTTGAGCCAGGAGAAATGAAAGACTCTGGGAAATTCTTAGGGGTCCTTAATATGCTGTGTGTTGCCAGAATCCAAACTAGTTTTCTCTACTGAAATGGAGAAAGTGGGACTTCTTCCTCCTATACATAACCTCATATTAGGAGGGTATATTTTTAGGCACGTCCATCCAAATGAGTATTGTCCTTTTAAGTAGTCACCTACCAAGGGCATATACTCATTTTTCTTGATTCTGTTACTTAAAAATAGTTTTTCCGACCCCGTTCTTAGACTCATCTTCAGGAATAGTTTGAATCAAATCACAGATGGTTTCACATACTGTTTTTGACCTTGAATAGTGCTCTCTGGCCTGATCATTAGCTTCACTCCCCAGACATGTTTCAGCATGTCATTTGGCTTCATTTATTCCAAAGTATCCATCAGGAGTCCACTTCCGTGGCATGTTGCCATATTAGGCACCTTGGAGATTATTAAGAAATGGTCATGGACCCTTCTGGTCTAATGGAGCCCACACTCTGGAAGAGAAAAATTTAAATGAATATGTAAGTGCAATGGAGTACGACATGGTGGTGCATAAAGAGAATGATCAGCTCCATCTAATTTGGTGGAAGGACGTAGTTTGTGGAAGACTTCACAGAGGAGGTGTTTTTGAGATGTTTCTTGAAGAGTGAGTAGTTACTGGAAAGTTATATGGCAAAGGTACAAATCGAAGTATAGTATAGAATAGCCATGTGTTTTTAGGGAATTACAGTTTTATATGAAACAGAAGATGATAGAAGATAAAATATGAGAAGTAAGCAGGACCTGTATCAAAAGGGTTTTTTTTTTCCCCAGGCTAAGGAATTTGGATTTAAAAAAAAAAATCATTTTTTGTGTGTGTCCTCCAAATGCCAATAACCGAAGCATATATAAACAAAGGTGCTCTGGTTTAGGTGGGATTTTGAAGCCAAAGCTCCTTGTCTCCTTGGTGACCCTAAGAAACTTCGTGGAAGCACTGGGGCTTCATGACGAAAGCCTAAAAACCACTATTATAGGTGATGCTGAATTATTTAAGAGGAAGTAACATGTTTGGACATATACTTTTAAAAGATCACTCTTGAAGCAGGAAAATTAATGAAAGGGGTGAGATGGACACAGACAGATCAGTTTGGAGGCCATTACATGGTCCAGAAGAGAGATGGGCCTGAACTAAGCCTATGGCAGTGGGGAAGGGGTAAGTTTCAGTCATATTGAAGAGAGAAGAATCACAGGATTTTTTATGTTTAGGTATAGGCAGTGCAGGAAAGGAAAGGGAAGAAGATTAGGGTGATTCTTAGGGTTCTAGTTTGGGTTATTGCATTGATAGTAGTGCAGTCACCACTCTAGGGAAATACGGTGGAAGGAGAGCAAAAATAGTTCAAATGTGGACAGGTGAAGGTCAAATCTTATGTTTGAGGCAGTGTGTTTAAGGAAGATAGTCAGTTGTTGGCTGTATGGGACCAGAGCTTAGTGGAAAGGTCCGCTTGAAGGTAGAAGCGTAGAGATGTCCGCAGTCTACAGGGAACCCTTAAAGCCATTGGAAGGGCAGATCACCCAGAGAGAGAGCAAACCGAAGAGATGAGAGGAGGATGAAAGGTATGACCTTGGGATAACAACAGTTCCTCATCCTAGAATGAGGAAAGGCATACAGGAGACTGAGAAGGACCAGCTTAGTGTCGGGCACTGGCCCAGGAGAGAGAGGTGTCCACTAATGGAGAGAGATCAAGTGAAATCAGAACTTGTTCTAAAAATAAAACCCACCCTCAAAGGATAAAGAGATAAAGATTTTCCACCACTAGGGATATGCAAAAAGATATGCCTCTGGCTTCTGGTACATAAAAATTTTATGGTTGTGATTGTTCAGTGGTTGCCTGATTTCCTTTAAAGTTTTTCCACTTAAAGTAATAGACATTTTCAGGAATCCCTTTGTTAAACTAGCATAACCTAGCACAAGGTAGATTGGCAGAGTTTAAGATGAAAGTAAACAATAATAATCATGATGGCATATGTACCAGGCAACTAATACAAGAATTGTGGAGAGGTTCTGTTATTATCACCATTTGGAGTTATGGGAAAGACCCACAGCTAGGAGGTGACAGCGGGGATTTGAGCAGCCAGCACTCTAAAGAATATATTAATACTTAGTTCTTTCTGATCTGGCCTGCATTTCCATAGATTTCTATTGAAAAAAAGTACTAATAAAATGAAATTTAGCCACCAGGACACGTTTCCTAATGAAATGAAATTTAGCCACCAGTGCACGTTTCCTAAACCTGTGGGGGTTTTCTCCTGTATTTTGGGAGGAGGGGAGGGAGAATGTGTTTTTGGTAATAGGAGACTGTTTAAAAATTGTTACTTGTTTGAAGACAGTTCTATGTTACTACTAATGGGAAAATGGTCTATAAACATTTCCTGGGGAAGTCAACCCTTGAAAAGCCGACACTATTATAAGGAGTAAAAATATCACATTAATTGCCCTGTAAAAAGAATGCTCTTTTGACACTGAAATTTCCTTTTGTGCAATGATTTCTTTTCACCCTAAATTTTAGAGTTTGAATGTTCAAAGTTCACCCTTCCTTTTCTAATATTAAAATAGTTTTTTGTAACAGAATTTGTTTTTGTCGTTAAGTTATATTTCTTTATATTTTTACTACTTATTTGCTAGATGTGTTTACTTGAAACTTGTTTTCTGCATTCTTTCTTGTTTTAAAAATGTGATGCAAATGAAGTTTTTGAGTTAAATTAAATTTTATAAAATTTACATACAATAAAATTGGCCTTATTTTGGTATACAACCCTATAGGTTTTTTATGGTTTTTATTTGTTTGTTTGGGTTTTTTTTTGAAATGGAGTCTGCTCTGTTGCCCAGGCTGGAGTGCAGTGGCATGATCCCGGCTCACTACAACCTATGCCTCCTGGGTTCAAGCGATTCTCCTGCCTCAGCCTCCCGAGTAGCTGGGATTACAGAAGTATGCCACCACACCTGGCTAATTTTTGTATTTTAGTAGAGACAGGGTTTTGCCATGTTGGTCAGGCTGATCTCAAACTACTGATCTCAGATGATCTACCTGCCTCGGCCTCCCAAAGTGCTGGGATTACAGGCATGAGCCACATGTCCTATGAGTTTTAACATCTGTATAAACTCACGTAACCACCACCACAATCAAGGTACAGAATGGTTCCATCATGCTCAAAAATTCCCTTATGCTGCGTCTTGCCCAACCGAATCCCTAGCAACCAATGTTATGTTCTCTGTCCCTACAGTATTGCCTGTTCCAGAATGTCAAACAAGTGGTTTTGTTCACTGAGCATAATGTCTTTGAGATGCTGAGTGATGGCATACATCAGTTGCTCAGCCCTTTTTATTGCTGTAGTGGTGTTCTGTTGTATGGATGTACCACCGTGTATTTATCCATTTACCCTTTAAGGAACATTTAGATTGTTTCCAGTTTTTGGTGATTATGAAGAAAGTTGCCATAAACATTTGTGTACATGTTTTTGTTTGAACATAAGTTATCATTTTTTTAGATAAATCCCTGTAAATGAAATTGCTAGGTCATATGCTAAACGTATGTTTAACTTTATAAGAAATTGCCAAACCGTTTGTCAGAATGGTAGTATTTTGCATTCCTCCTAGTAGTGTCTCAACTTTTAAAAACTTAAATGCTATTTTAGATGCTCTTGGGTTGGGGTTGGCAAATTGTGTTTCGCAGTGCCTTGGGGCTTTGAGAAGATGCCCCAAAACAAAGGGAGGACTTCTAGGTCCTCCATACCAGCTTCAAAGAGAACTGTTCCAGTTTTGTTTGTTGTATATATTGGGAGTTGCATGTAAGGATACATTTGGGGAGAAAAGAGTTTTATCTGCAAAGTGTTTAAAAACCATTGCAGTAGGGAAGTGCACCCACAATGTGAGATGTGGACCACAGGTGATACAGGGTGATGCTAGGTGGCACTTGGGGACTCTGCACATGAGGACCACACTGTGAGGCAGTGATTCTCTCTTCAGCTCCATCTGTTTATGTGATTATGTCAAGGAAGTCTTCATTTAAATCTGCTGCATCGTTATTCTCCACCACTTGTTAATATCTTCCTTTACAAAGAGGGAGCATGCTTTAGTCTCAGAGCCCTCAGCAAGCAACAGTATCTCTCTAGAATGAAATAAATATATAGTTTTGTTTATATTTACTTTTATGATTATCTTCTTTTTTTTTTTTTTTTTTTTTTTTTTGAGACAGAGTCTCGCTCCCAGGCTGGAGTGAAGTGGCGCGATCTTGGCTCACTGCAAGCTCTGCCTCCCGGGTTCATGCCATTCTCCTGCCTCAGCCTCCTGAGTAGCTGGGACTACGGGCACCTGCCACCACGCCCGGCTAATTTTTTGTGTTTTTAGTAGAGACGGGGTTTCACCGTGTTAGCCAGGATGGTCTCGATCTCCTGATCTTGTGATCCACCCATCTGGGCCTCCCAAAATGCTGGGATTACAGGCCTGAGCCACCGCGCCAGGCCAATTATCTTCTCATTTATAAGTACCATTTTTCTTTTGAAGTGAACTTATAGTTTTAAAAAATGAGCCAATTATCATAGTATCATTTTTTCTTTTTTTACTTTTATCTAGAAATTACTACGAAAAATGAGTCAATTTAAAGAAAAATATTAAATACTGTATTACATAGTTCATATACAAATGTGGCAAGAATTATGAGGATGTGCTAGAATAACTGAAGTTTAGGAAACTCTTGAACTTCTAGAGGATCTGGTTATTTAAAGAAACCTTAGAGTGAATCCTTTTGTGAAGTGAAGAGCTCCTTGATAAAGCACATAACTATTTCTTAGTTTATCCATTTTATGAGTTTATAATTTATGTAATAGTTCTTAAAAGAAGATAGCCTTCATTGTTCTTTGTTTTTGTAATACTTATTTTTCAAGTCCCTTCTTTATTCACTGATTTGACAGATATTTTGTGGGCAATGGGGATACGGTGTTGAACTAAACAGGCGACATCCCCTTTCTTTGTGAAACTTTCTTTCTTACATCCTTCCCCTCTTAGAGGCTGTTCAGAGCCTATGGAAAACAAGGGCCCCTGGATAAAATGTAAATGATATGAAAGGCAAGGAAGAGGTAAATGACTTTAAAAAATAAACATTTTAATAGATTCACAGGGGGGAAAAATTTTGTTTTGATCATGTTAGCTAGCTAGATGTCTACTTTGTCTTTCATTTGATGCATTTTTGCATTTTGGTAAAATAATATGTATCCACAGATATAACCACAAACTATGTGACTTTTTTTTTTTTTTTTTTTTTTTTTAAGACAGAGGTTCACTCTTGTTGCCCAGGTTGGAGTGCAATGGCGCGATCTTGGCTCACTGCAACCTCCGCCTCCTGGGTTCAAGCAATTCTCCTGCCTCAGCCTCCCGAATAGCTGGGATTATAGACGCCTGCCACCACACCCAGCTAATTTTCTATATTTTCAGTAGAGACGGGGTTTCACCATGTTGGCCAGGCTGGTCTTGAATTACTAACCTCAGGTGATCCACTCACCTTGGTGTCCTAAAGTGCTGGGATTACAGGTGTGAGCCACTGCACCTGGCCGATAAAGTACTTGACTTTTTGAGGTTCCTTTCAACTTTAAGAACATGAAGTAGGGTGTCACAGACAAGGAGTAGTACCGTTGTTAGAATACCCGCTAATGCTCAGACCTCTCTGAAATTAGACATCTTTTAGATTAGAGATCACAAATTGGTAGCTGCCTAAGTTCTATTCAGCCCATTGGTGTTTCTCATTTGACCCACATGGTATTTTTTTAAAAAATTTTAATGAGTTTACAAGATTTACAAAAATCAGTTTTTACATTAAACACACACACACACACACACACACACACACACACACGCACATACCAGATTTCTTGTTTATTTTGAAAATTCATGAATCTAGCATCAGTGAGCCAGCTTTTCTGAATGTCAGAGCTGGCTGGATCTGAATAGTGCGTGCCTTTTTTAGGCAGAACATGTGCTGTCTTTCAGTAACCTCTGCTTAACTCATTCATGTTATGTGCCTGGCCCAGTGAGTATTTGAATTTGCAACCTGTGGATCCTGGGTTTCATGCACTGGAATTACCTAGAGAAGCTGAACATTCCTCCTTGTGCTGGAGGGCTGAAAATGTTGTTGCCACAGAAGCTGCTTGAGTGTCCAACTGGGCATATCTTCCAGCACAGTAGATGGAATACTGGGATAGGAGGCAGAATCAGGGTCCTTTTCCTGGCTAGTGTCAGGTGGATTATCCAGGCTTCTTCACAATGGAGGTACTATTTTCTGACTTACCTGTTTGTATCAGTTAACATTTTTGATAGCAACAGAAACAGATTCTGATGTGGTTTTTTTTTTTTTTTGAGATGGAACCTCACTCTGTTGCCCAGGCTAGAGTACAGTGGTGTGATCTCAGCTCATGCAAACTCCATCTCCCAGATTTCAAGCAATTCTCCTGCCTCAGCCTCCTGAGTAGCTGTTATTATATGTGCACGCCACCACGCCTGGCAAATTTTTGTATTTTTAGTAGAGATGGGGTTTTGCCATGTTAGGGAGGCTGATTTCGAACTCCTGACCTCAAGCAATCTGCCTGCCTCAGCCTCCCAAAATGCTGGGATTACAGGCATGAACCACTGCACTCAGCCCTGGTGAATTTAAACAAAATGGGACTTTATTGAAAGGATATTGGGTGACTGACACTATCAAAGGAAAAGCGAATGATCTGGCCTCGGAAAGTTCTGGAAACTAGAGATACTCTGAGGACCATGGGTGGAAGGAATTAAGGGAATTGATAAATTGCCTCAGCATTTTCCCCCGTTTCTTTATCATTCCTCTCAAGAGTCTGAAATCCTGGAAAAGAATCAATTTGGTCTGGCCCACATCCTTCATAGGGGAAGATAGGACACCTTGGTTGACAGTCCCTCTAAGACTTTATACCATGAAAGAAAAGACTTTGTAAGAAGAGATTTAGGTGATGTTGCCAGACAAAGGGGATGAGGTATGGATTTAAGCAATAGAAACAACAAATGTTCACTACTCCTCTTCTCAAGGTTGTCATGAAGATATTAAATATGCGCTGTCAAATGCTATCAAAGAGTAAGGGAGTAGTGTTTCAAGTTACAGGAGAACCAGGTTATGGGTATGCTCTTTAAGTAAACAAATATATTGGCGTCTGTTAGATAAGGAATATATTGAATGACTTAGAACACAGACAATTTCATTGAAATTGTAGTGGCAATTTCATTCCTTTTAGCAATTGCTTTGGTTATAAAATCTCCAAAGAAGCCACACTAACTTTAAATTATAAAACAACATCTATAAAAATCTAAAGATGTTCTTTGAGATACTCATTCAAAGAAATGGTCTTTCTGATTTTTGTGTTCCCATTTTTTTCTTTGCAAGATCTTGATTTGCAACAGGCAAGGAAAATGAGTGAATCTTCCCCCTTCTTCCCCCACAAAACATTGCTGGCATGGGTAGAAATTTAAAGTAATGATTCAAATAAGAGAGGCAGAGAAAGCCTCAGCTGGGTGGCAGGAAACAAGAGAGTGAAAGTCAGAGGCTGCTCTTTTTTAAAAAGGCAAAACAAACAACTCACAGTGAAGTGTACGTGAAAATCATTTCTAATAATAGCTCATGGTAGGCAATTCCCAGGAAAAAAAAAATCGTTGGTGTGCTGAGAAAATTAGAGTAAGAATGCGCAGTATCTTGATGTGTTACTTAAGGCAATGGAGCTTTAGAGTTTACCTTATGTGCCATGTACATTGATTAAATACAAAATATATGCCGGCCATTTTTGGCCATCATTTACTGCATTGATTTGTTAGCAGGGGAACTGTAATAAAAAAGCCATTGATTTACTGTCCTTATTTGCTTATGGGCTTTTTTTTATTATTAATTTTTCACTTTTTCTTTCTCTGTTTTGGATCATTTCTTGTAGACAAATGCTGTGCTTCATGAAGTTAAAAGAGAGGGGCTCCCCGTGGAACAAAGGAATGAAATCTTGACTGCCATCCTTGCCTCGCTCACTGCACGCCAGAACCTGAGGAGAGAATGGCATGCCAGGTTAGTTCTGTTGTGAAATGGGATTTGTTGTTCTTGACAAACAAGAACTATATTTGGCCAAGCCCTTCCTTATGGCTGGCCTCATCCCTTTCCTTTGAGGGCCCATGAAAAATAAGCACGTTTAAGATGCTTTCAGCTAAAGTTAGCTTTCCTGCCCACGGCACCTACATTAATTGTAATGATCCATTGACGTCATCAGTATATTTACACAATTTGTTCCCAAATATAACATTTAGCATAAGTGTTTGCATTTTGAGCATAATGTAATATAAGTACCTGATGCTGAAGAACCCTTTTTAATCAACAGTGTAAAAGACTAGCATTGCTATTTCATTAGAGCAGATGTCTGAGAAATCCATATAGTGCTCCTATATCACTCTATGCAGGGCAGATTACTTGAAAGTATAGTCATGCATCCCTTAATGATGGGGATAGGTTCTGAGAAATGTGTTCTTAGGTGATTTTGCCATTGTGTGAACCCCGCAAACCTTGATGACATAGCCTACTATACACCTAGGCTATATGGTGTCGTCTGTTGCTCGGGGGCTGCAAACCTGTACAGCATGTTGCTGTACTGAATATTATAGGCAGTTGTAACACAACAATAAGTATTAGTGTATCTAAGCATAGCTAAGTATAGAAAAGGTACTATAAAAATATGGTGTTATAATCTTATGGGACGGGACCACTGACATATATAAGGTTCGCCGTTGACCAAAACCTCAAAATGTTGTTACGTGGCGATGACTGTAGCCTATTTATCAACCCGATTTTTAGGGTTGACCAACTAGGAATGACTCTTGTTTCAACCTGGTCTCTTTCCATAGAGTTGCCTGTGCTTAGAAACGGTGTTACTGGTGAAAACTTTCTTTAAATCATCAGTTTTTACAGAACTGATGCTTGCATAGTAAATATCATGTGGTCCTATTCTGTTTTGAAAAACAGTTGATATGTGGGAGGCTAGAACTAGTTCTCGCAAATGTTAGGATTATCTTTTAGATCTGTAGTTTGTAAAAATTATTGAATTGTCATCCGTCTCTAAGCCAGAGGGAGAGGAATCAGGAAGCGTATGGCATATTTTGTCTCAGAGTCTTATTTGGTGCTTAAAAATTCTATGTGCCTGGAAGTCAAGAACATTTATTGATAGACATAATATTCTCCAAATGACTTCATGCAACAGAATTTATAATAATTGATAGCTTTACTAGTAATAATTATCATAAAAATAAGTTTGTCTGAACAAGGCTGAAGATGAGCATTTTCCAAGAAAGGAGACAGTATGAGTATTTATTCTCATTGGATATCAGAAAGCTGCTTTTTCAAATATGTATTATCTTTAAATTCAGACTTGTATTTAAACAGTAATTTAAAAATTCCCAATGATATTCACCCTCCCCTTCCCCCATCTTTTTGGTGGTGTGGTCGGAGTAAATGGCAGACAGTTTCTTTTTTTTCTTTTTAGAAAAAAATGTTTATAAAAATAGACACAGGATCTTGTCATGTTGCCCAGGCTGGTCTTAAACTCCTTGCCTCAAGCGATCCTCTTGCCTTGACCTCCCAAAGTGCTGAGATTACAGGCGCGAGCCACCATGCCTGCCCAGTGGCAGACGGTTTCAACTAAAGTAATGACTAAATGATTTCCAATTTACCTTTCAATAATTAATTTTAAAATTTTCTCTGTATTATAAGTTAAGCATGTATATTCATTAAAGTATACATAGTAAGGAATGGAATATCAGTTTGTGGACATCTAAGGGGTTTCTTTGTCTCTGTTTGATGTCTTATGTCGCCCTCACGATGATTCCAATTAAATAGAAAGGGAGGAAGAAAGAATTTCCCTGTAATATCTCCTCTGCTTCCCTTCCGTCCAAAGACCGTGTGGCCCAGTGAGAGCATAAATGGATGTCTTTTGTTGAGTGCATTTGGTTTGTTAACAATAATTTTTTAATACACCAAATCATTAGACAACATGGTCAAAGTGGCCTGTTTAAAAGGAATCTGCTTTCAGCATTTCTGGCCCTTACTGCTAACAATTTAATCAGGAGCTGGAGCCAGTGTTGAAGTTGATGTAGTCTAGCAACTGAAACAAAAATTCTCAAGTCCTTTGTGTTAAGGGAGGAGGAAAGAAAGAGCTTAACAGCTGACACTGTGCAGACCCCCTTAAAACTAAACACCTGAAAGAAAATTTCAAGAGGCTGGTGTCTTGAGATCTCAGAAGGAAAAGTGTCCTCAGAGTATTAAATAACCATAATCCTTCTCCCCACCACTTCTCCACCTCCATTTGATGTTTCCCATCTTAGTGACCTATCTACAGACTCATCCATGCGATCCGTATAAACAGACGGTTACCATACACCTTTCTTTTCCTCATCAAAGTGTCATCTGGCTGTCTGGAATTGGGCATTGCCTCGAGTAGCCGTCAAATGGGTGGTGGTGAAAGTTATAAAACATCCACTGCAGTGCTTACTAAGCAGCCTGTGTTTTAGAGATTGGCCTATTGTGTACTTCGGAATTACACAAGGAAAAATGTGCTTTGACAGAAAATAATTAGCACTCACCAAAGGCCAAGCAATAGGTTACAGTATTTTACTTTCATCAAAGCTATCAGGGGATCAGTTAGATTAGATAATAGAAATTTTTTTCCTCTGAAAGTTAAATACACATGACTCTAATTACCTTATATTGCACATTAGAGAGTGCATTATGAATTGTACAACTTCAAGAAATTTAGGTCAACGGAGCCGCCGCAGCTGGCAGTAACTTTAGTATAAGTCTTTTGTAATAAAGGTTTTTACCTCTCTTTAGCAGGTTCATTTGCGATCATATTAGGGAGAATTTTTAAAGTAAAACTTGTAACCTGGTTGTAAAATATTTGTCTGTCTCTCAGGTCAGGCGCCAAGCCATTGTTTGGGACTCACTGAAGTCTCTTAAACTGAAGCATATGTTCCTTGTAATTTAGCTTTTTGAGGAAAGTGTCAATTTTGCATGACTTGGGGTAACCGAGTTTGTCACAGTGTCACACAACCCAGCGACTCTAGAGGCACATCTGAGTGCTGTGGGTTTCCTTCTCCAAGCTTCGTAATCCCATAAACAACCCTCTCCAAATAGGCTTATTAGGGCTGTCTATTCACTTCCCCAGAGTTGAATGATCCAAAGGACATCGGGAGAAGCTGTGTGAATGCAGGGTAAGTGTTAACAGAAGTGGGACAGAATTTCTGAAGATTCGCCTTTGTTTATCCAGTCCCCTCTGCCTGATGGACAGCTTGTTATAGCTTTTAAAGAACTGGGCGAGCCCTCTGATCTGACCCCTTCTTGACCTGCGTAGCCCAAAGGTCAGTCTGCAGCTAATAAACTCTGAGGTTCTTAGGGTCTACTGTAGGAAAAGGCAGAAAAAGAGCAGCTGCAAGGACCGGGTGTCCCAGGATAGGCTACTTTAGGGTCACTCTCTGATAATGAAAATGATTACCAAATTATATGGAAGTTTAACTGCAATCGTGAGTGAGAGGAGGGTGGGGCCCGGCGTATTAGGTTTGATAAATGAACTGTGAAGAGGCCCATCTGGCTCTCAACATCTTTTCTCCCCCTCTTTCCCTACCAAGGGGAAACATTTTAAAATAACAGCAGTACATATAGACTCAATGACCCATGCAAGGAGCTGGAATGGATTAAGATTTAATGGTGACAGTGGAAGAAATTATCATTTGAAAAGTGCTCCAAAGAAAAGGTACAGTTCAATGTCCACACCCGAGTTGTCTTTCTAAATAAAATATAATAAAAATCAGCGCCTTGTTTATTTTCTACAAAGCCCTGGCGTCTTTCCTAGATGGCTGAAAATTTTGAGGGTGTTGTTTATTATGGGATAATTATTCATAGTTTAGCTTCAGGAACGGAATGGGCTTCCTTTGCCTTGAAGAAGTCAGAATGAGAATCAAAGATTTTGTTCTGCCTGCCTGCTTCATTTCAGTGATGTAGGTAAATCAAGTGTTAGAGAAAATGCTTTTCCAAAAAAAGTGTGTCCATGTCAGCATCTGACCACTGATTATTGTGCACTCTTTAGTACTAAATATATGTGTGACTCTTGAACAGAGTCTTATTCCTACTACAACCTGGCAGTTTTTCTGTAAATATAAGAAGAAAGCACATAATGTTAACTGAGTAGTTACGTTTGGTTCTTTCTTTGTTCCTTTTTTCAAAGAAACATCATGGTGATGCTAATTATTGCCAACAATGGATGGGGTCACTATACGCTATTCGTCTATTTATTTATCGCTAATTGATAAGATTAGTCTATTTAAAGCTCTCCCCCAGTTTCTCATGAACATAGAGTCTTGATTTCAGACCAGTGATGATGGAGGCCATGTAGCTCTGTTCTTTTGCAGAGATGAGTGGCACATGCCATGAGTCCACTTTCTGAAGGGAGAATGATTTCATTCAGTGAGCATCTTTTTGTGTATTTTGTATACCTACTGCATGAGATGCTGTGCATAATAGGGAGTGAGCTAAGTGGCCAATTTCAGGGTTTATCTGGGGATGAGAATGTAGAAAGTTCCTAGAAAGAGGCTGTGGAAGGCAGTGGCAGGGAAAGCAGTGGAACCATCGTTACCACAACAGAGCGGCAAGTTCTCTGACCCACTCAGGAAAGTATTTAATGGTAGATGTCTTGGAAGACTAGAATTGTTGTGTTACTGAAAACCCTTTGGCTGGGCATGGTGGCTCACGCCTGTAATCCCAGCACTTTGGGAGGCCTAGACGGGCGGATCATGAGGTCAGGAGATGCTGACCATCCTGGCTAACACGGTGAAACCCTGTCTCTACTAAAAATACAAAAAAAAAAAAAAATTAGCCGGGCTTGGTGGCGGGTGCCTGTAGTCCCAGCTACTCGGAAGGCTGAGGCAGGAGAATGGCATGAACCCGGGAGGCGGAGCTTGCAGTGAGCCGAGATGACGCCACTGCACTCCAGCCTGGGAGCGAGACTCTGTCTCAAAATAAAAAAAGAAAACCCTTTATATTGAACTATACTGACTCGTAATACAGGCCTCACCCAGACAATAATTATGTTAAAAAATCAAAACAGAAGGCTTCTAAACATTATCCAAAGTTAGCATATTTTTCATCAAGGTTTTGGCTTGACTATCTATGTCTGGGGGCATTTCGAGTGAGCAGAAAGCCAGGTAGAGGATAATTCAGGGAGATGGCAAATACTTTGAGAATCAATTGTGCTTTTTAACTTTAAAGCCATGGCCCTAAATTTTTGCTAAGTGAGGTGTAAATACAAAAAGCAAACCAAAAAAAGAGATGAAAGCAAGGTCATTAGGGTTTTTAAAAAATTGAGGTACAAGTCATATATAACGTAAAATTGCATATAACAAAATTTATCGTTTTAAAGTGTACAGTTAAGTGATTTTTTAGTATATGCACGAGATTGTGCAACTGTTACCACTATCCAATTCCAGAGCATCTTCCTTCCCCAGAAATGAAACCCGGCATCTGTTAACAGCCACCCTCCATTCCCCCTTCTCCCCACAGTCCTGAGCAACCACCAGTCTACTTTTTATCTCTACAGATTTGCCTATTTATAACATTTCTTATAAATGAAATCATACAATACGTGACCTTTTATGTCTGGCTTCTTTCATTTGGCATACTGATTGTAGGATGCATCCATGTTATAGCATATAAGTACTTCATTCTTTTTTACTGCTGAATAATATTCCACTATATCGATGTGCCACATTTTATTTATCCAGTAATCAACTGATGGGCAGTTGGGTTGTTGGACAGTAATAAATTGATGGACATTTGGGTGGGTTGACTTTCTGGCTATCATGAATAATGCTGCTGTAAACATTCATGTACAAGTTTTTGAGTGACATATTTTCAGTTCTCTTGGGTATATACCTAGGAATGGAATTGCTGGGTCATATGGTAATTCTGTGTCTAACTTTTTGAAGAACTGTCAGGCTGTTTTTCATGTCTGTTACACCATCTTATGTTCCCACCAAGAACGCACAAAGTTTCCCATTTTTCTATGTCCTTGTCGTTACCTGTTATTTTCATTTTTTTGGACTGTAGATATCCTAGTGGTATATTATTGTGGTTTTGAATTGCATTTCCCTATTGACTAATGGTGTCGAGCATCTTTTCCTGTGCTTTTTGAAAACTATTGCTTTTTCAATCGGACATTTTAAAACATGGCGGACTTAAGGACTTACCCCTCTTGTTGGTGATAAAGAGCTCAGAAGCCTGTTAAGAATATTTGGCTTGTAGAAGAGGTGAGGTTCCAAATGGGGCTGTCATTAAATTGCAGCAGTGCACGTTTCCCCGTTACCATGGTCAGGCCTGGCTCTTTATTTATTTGCATGTGGCCCCACTTATTTTTTTCTAGAGATTACCTACTTATTTCTCCTACCATTCTCTTACATTTCATTCAACATTGCACACTGGATAGGAATGTAGCCTGATTAAATGGAAACTCGGTACCTTTATAGCTCTTTAGCTTTTAGGCTCAAACAGGAGTTACTGTACTCCCATAGGAGACAACTTCATTTGGGTCGAAGGAGCCTTAAAAATGGTGCTGAGATTCATTTCAACTAATGTTTATGGAAGTTTCTTCGAAAAGCTTTTAGAACTACTTGCTTCTACTTAAAAGTGACTCTCTTAAGATCCAGATAACTTTATGTAAAAATATCTTCCTCATATTGGTCTAAGTTCCCATTTTTTTCTGGACTGGTAAAACAACGGTCTTATTATTAGTCATCTTTCTATTCTCTGTGACCCCAGCCATCCCATCACCACCTACCCCCAGAATGGATCCACTCTGGACATCTTTGTTAAGGCTGTAAAATCTGGTTGTTGGAACCTAGAATGTGTAATGAATAGGATTTACTATTCCAAGTTAATCAGCTTTAGAACTTTGATCGGGGCTCAACAAGTATAACACTTTGTATAAGTTACTTATATGGATCAACTAGCACACTGAGGTGTTCTCCACCGGTATCTGTCTCCCCTTCTGCCTCCTAGCTAGTCACGGATTATATGCAAAACCGACAAGTCGGCACCGTCCAGTTTAGCAATTAACTATTATTTATTGAGTGTTTGTTAGGTGCAAGTAACTGTGCTAGACACTGTGGGGAATATCAAGATGAGTATGACGTGAGTCTCAACTGTGGAATAATTTACTTTAATGTGGAGGTGGTAGTTAATAAGAATACAATGGCTAGCACACACCCTTTAACTCTTTTTTCTATGAGGCACTGTGAAACCATAAGGTAATTTAGCAATGGGGTCTGCCCTAAGGGAACTTATATTTTGATAGAAGCTTAAAAAATGAAGTAACCTGACATTAATTATATATGGACTTGATTCTGTGTTTACATTTTTATCTCTCCTACCAGAATGAAAGTTTTATGAGGATTGGACGTTTGTTTGTTTACCAGCCGTAAAACATACACCTCAGGCCAGGTGCAGTGGCTCAGGCCTGTAATCCCAACTCTTTGGGAGGCTGAGGCGGGCAGATTGCTTGAGCTCAGGAGTTCGAGAACAGCCAGGGCAACATGGTAAAACCCCATCTCTGCAAAAAGTGCAAACAACTAGCCAGGCACGGTGGCGCACACCTGTAGTCCCAGCTACTTGGGAGGCTGAGGTAGGGGGAAGCACTTGAGCCCAGGAGGCAGAGGTTGCAGTGAGCCGATTGCATCACTACACTCCAGCCTGGGTGACAGAGCAAGACCCTGTTTCAAAACAAAAGAACAAATTTGCACCCCAGATCTTTGTAACATTAAGCTATCTCTTCCATTTGAATAATGCCCTCTATCAAAGGACCTCATTGCCTGTTTACCACATATCCCTGGCATCTAGAAGAATGCCTGACACTCAGATTTGTGAAATACCTTTCCTCTCAATCTATTCCAGTGTTTATAAGTACTTTGTCTGCTTTATTAATTTTGAAGAGGAATGACCACTTGTGATATTGGCCTGTTGCTTTTTTTGCTCTTTTTCTCAACCTTGCCTGGTGTGGAAATCTTGAAATTCGAAGTCAGGATGGATCTCTGATATTGGAAGTAAGCACTGGTTATTCATCTAACCTTGCCAGGGGTGGAAGCCTTGAAACTGGAAGTAAGGAGAAATCTCTACTATGCAGTTCTCTGGTGTTTAAGCCCCAACATGGTACCACAGGCCCTTATTCCAGCATGAGCAAAGAGGGATGCCATGTGCACAGGCTGACTCCAGTGTACTTGAGGAAGAGAACACCATGGGACTGGGCTAAGACCAGGACAAAAAGACATGGTCTCCTCCCTGAGCCACCATTCCTAATTTGTTGACTTTCCTAGAAGTGAAATGGAGCTGGGTGAGAAGAGGAAGAACTGGCATGGCGAGGAAGAAGAGAGTTATAAAGACAGCCCTGGGACATGCCTCTGAATAAAGGGATGGGTTTTAGTTCAGTAGGGATAGGAACAAAGCTGAGGCTAATATGGCTTCCAGTCTGTAGGCAGCTGTTTTTTCCTGGTCACCTGCTAATGTCCTCGTCTGCTTTAGTGATATCAGCACAGTTATGAACTTTAGCGTTGGTGATTCGGCATGTGGACTAGAACTTGGAGCTGTGTTCACAAAAAGTGGAGCTCCTCACCTTGAGGATGGGCTGTGGGATAATGAGACTGATGCAGTTATCTGCTGAGACAACCTGTGATTGTGTCATCGGACCACGTCAGCTGCTATCATTCATGCTAAAGAGACTGGCTGCTTACTCCGGCACAGCTGGTTAGTTGGAAACTAGAAGTTGTGGCATCTGTAGTTCGGTAGCTGTCAGTTGCTACTAGGTAAACTTGTTTGCAGTGTTGGGGTGGGCATGAGGAATAAATGGAAGAGATTCCAGGGAGAAGCAGGGAGGCACTGGCCTGCTAGTTGCCATCCGGGTCTTTTTTAAGACATCTGTCCCTTCGCTTTTAATAATTACAGTCTCTGCTTTTTGCTGCCCTTAGCAGAAGAAAGTTCTTTGTGTTTCTGATCCAGATTACTCCATAAAACCTGATAACTCCATAAAACCTCCTCAAAAATGTGTAGGAATTGAAACATTGTATAAATTTAGAGCAAAGATTAAATGAGTCTAGAGATAGGGTTACTTTTTTCCCCCAAGATACAGCAACTTATCTTAAGGAGGCAAGTGTTGTTAATGTTATTACCATTGTTACTGTCATTATTTGAACAGTTTTATGGGGGACAAAAGCCAATTGACTTCTGTGCATCTTATTTATAAAATCAACACATGGGCTTTAGCATGAACTCTGTTTCTGGCAGGTTTCTGACTGTGATCAGTTGCTGGCTGGCTGTTTCTTAGGGGCAGTGCTTCTTAAACTTTTTGAGAAAACATTGATTCATTTATTTATCCAACATACATTTATTAAGTGTCTATTGTTTTCTAAGCACTGTTCCAGGTTCACAGCAGTGAACAGAACTGATGACAGTTCTTTCATGGAGCTTATATTCTAGTGGAATGACAGATATGAACTCTTTTCCTAAGCGGAACTCTGAAAATTTCTTTTATAAAATGTGCATATAGTTGCTATGCCCTGTATATTCACCAGCACTCAACAGTGACCAAAATAAAGTCATTCAGTTGAGATAAAGATACACAGTTCTCTTTTCTGAGCTTTGTTATAAAGTAATCACTTGTTATAAAATTTACATTTCAAGTTGCAGTGGGTCATATTTGGGAAGTAGCCGTGGGATGCCAGTTTTCTGAGGAACACCATCCTAGGGAATCCGTAACATAAATTCTCCTTCAATTATCCGTACCGTGGTTCCCATTTACTTTTCCAAGACCTGCGTCACTTTAAAGGTCTTCATTTGAAGGAAGGCTTAAATTCAGGCCACATTATATTGACAAATCTCTCTGAAGAGAGAATGGGCAAAGCCATACCTATCTCATAGGTGTTGGGGGATTACCTGTGATAATGCACTCAAGTACTTCATAAATGCTGGGTTTTGTTGTTGGGAGTGATCTGTCAGTCATGCGTTGGTTCTGCAAATATTTCTTAAGTGCCTACCTGGTATGAGGAGCTATCTTAGGTCCTGAGGTTGTAGAGATGAGTAACATTTGATTAGGGGAAATGTATTACACAATGTAGAATCATAAATACTATGGAAGAGATTGAGTCATGATTCCATAGAAACCCACATCCCAGGGAAGAAGACAGGCTCTCCTTAAGTGTTCTCATAAGACTCTCATTATGTGCCCAGCGACAGTGAGAAATACTGCTCCATTCCCCAATTGTGTTGGCTACCAGTAGATAGGTAGCTATTTGTCTCAAAGCATGAGTGAGAAATAGGAGAGAAATTTATACGTGAGGATAGGTCATTGTATAAAAGTTGTGCTACCTTCTTTCCATTGTATAAAGTTTGTGGAGGAAAAATGGTTTTCTTTCAGAGTAAATTTAATTAATATGTTTGGGGGCATAGATTCTGAATCAGATTGCCTGGGTTTGAATCTTGGATCCACTTCTATAACTCCAGGCAAGTTACAATTGTGGATTGTAACTAGATGAGTTACTTAACCCCTCTGAGCCTCAATTTTCTCGTTTGTTATTTGCCTAGGGGATGATAATAATAGAACCCATTTCATAGGGTTGATTAAGTGATTAAATGTAAAACACCCAGAGCAAGTACCTGTAACGTATTAGGTGTTCAATAAAAATGACCTATCATGATCTTCAGATCAAAACAATAAAGCCAGGAATAAACCCAGCCACCCTTATCCAAATTGGCCTCTCCTTTGAGAGAATGCCTCATGAAGTAAATATCCTAGCCTCCTGGTAGGGGCCTGATATTGCAAAATTGGTGCAGGGAAGAACACTAGACAGAGTTGGTGCTCTGTGCTCAGCAGTGTCACACAGAATTGACAGGTGGAGGGCTGGACTCCAGTTTGAATCCCATCATTAGTGACTATAGGACTCTGGGCATGTCACAGACACTCTACGCCTTAGCAACTTTATGTAAGAAAGAAGCGACTTGATCTCGATCGCCCCAAAAGTGGGAGGCATCTTCCAGCTCTCACAAGGAGTGGCTCCATACGTGAGATCCCCGGGAGCAGGGAAAAGTGGATGTTACTCCTGATGGGTTTCACTCCTCTACTTCCACTTTCCCTGAAGTCTGCAATTGTACTAATTTTAACAACAATAGCAGCTGACATTTATTGAGAAGTCACTGTGTTCCAGACAGAGTTTTAAATGTTTTATATGATGAGAAAACCGAGGCACAGAGGTGCAGAGTAACTTGCCCAAGGCAACAGCTAGTAAGTAGTGAAGATGGAATTTAAGCCAAGACGGCCCAGGTTGGCCAAGAGCAATAACAAAGCTTTAGTTTTTAATCAACCACTGATACGATTCACTTAGTATTTTAGAGACCTTCTAGGATCCTTCTCAGTGTGGAGATAGGCAGGTATGTATCTTTACATATTTATTTCCTCTGGTACCTAACATGTTTTACACTTTTTAGTTGTGGGTGCATCTCTATAAGGAAATAGTATCCAGCTAATGCATTATCAATCTCCCTGCCATGGATCTTTTAAAGGAAAGTTATCACCTTTATATGCTCTGTCATTTCTTTTATATTGGTTACAGTCTTTTAGAAGGTGGGAGAGTAGGGGTGAAAATTAGAACACCAAAGTTTAGCCTCCAAGAATCTGTAAATCTCTGTAAATCCTCTAAGTCAAGTAATTTTGGGGCTGCGTTAGTCAAGGCTGATTTCAGTGGGTGCCCTTAAGGTGAAAGGGTAGCAATTTATCTACTCCATAATGGGTTAATCACCAGCTGTACAGTTTGTTTATATCTAGGAAACAATTTACCACACATGAAGAGTAGTAATTTTATTCTATCTCAGGGGTATCCCCAGTGTATTTTACAAATTTACTCTGTAATGTTATAGATAAAAGTTTAACTCTGGCTTTCAGTTGAGGAAGTCATGGTGGAGGAGGATGGGGGAAGGGGAAGGAACAGCTCTACTGGCCTGTAGGGGACACTGTTGCATCATTTATTAGAATTTTCCAGTCTATTGTCCCAGGACAAAAAAAACAAAACCAAACAAATCAGAAAACAAAAAAAAATAGTTGAATCACCTTGAAAATGCTTATTAGAATTATTTGAATCGTTCCAATGTGTTTAGAATGTTCAGGACTTCTCAGGTATTGGTCAGACTGTTCAGTATCCATGCGTGAAAGAAATAGGTTAGTGGTTCTTTCTGAGACAGGAGTGTTTGATGGGACTCTTCTGATTACCTTTCTCTCCATAGTCAACTTTGGATAGGGTGCTCAGGACGTTACTTTTTAGTTTAATAAACCTTTAGGTTTAGTTAACCATCTTCATTTTTTATTAAGATATGCTCATATTAAGTTGTTTTGCTTCCAGAATGTATGCTAAATAAATGTCCCAATCCTTGGAAGGGCGTTTTGGAAGTTCCTATTGTCTTCTTTTTATTCTTATATTTTTTTTCACTGAAAAAGTTGCTGTTTACTGAAAAAATGAAGTCATATCTACAAGGAAGGCTTATGTAGGGCCTGGTCTGAACTCCAGGAAGCATATGACCAGATGCTGTGCTACGGCTCTCTTTCCAGACTGTTGACAGCCATTGTATCTGTCCAGGTACCCCATGGCCTGGCCAGCAAAACCTCCACCCCTCTGCCCAGCTCTGGCCTCTTTCCTACCAGAATACGGGCCTGGGAGGCAACTGCAATGAACCCTCGGAAAGCATAGGTTTTGCTAAGGCAGCCTGCACAGTAATGATATTGTTAGCTTGCTTCATTTCCAGTTTCACCATCAATTACGCCATGTGTTTCATCCAGTTGGTGCTACCCTCCCAGTGTTAATTATAACCTACAAGACTGTTACAGTTAATTTTATGGCAAGCATATTGTCTCTTCAAGGCTCCAGAGCAGCTCATAAATTATCTTGAAGGTAAAATGTAACTTGGGGAACTAGTTATGAAAATTCCATCCATCTCGCTTAGGAGCTGCAGCTGCTACTGTCAGCTGCCTTGCTGCTGCACTGTGAAGGAATTATGGTGGGTCAAGTTTAAGAGGGTAGGCCCAGGCTGTCACTGAGGAGAAAGGCTGTCCTGGCCCTGTCAGACAAGTACCTTCTGCCAATCCCTGGTGGTTTCACTTTGCAGGCAGGAAGAGGCAGGCAGCGCAGGTGGATGGTCCCCAAGCTGTCTGTATTCATTACTTTACAGAAACTTGTTGTAGGTAGGCAGGTCCAGAGACCTTTCCTCTTCTCTGTTGTCATGATGTTAGGCATCATCTGCAAAGTGTGAGATAGATAACTCTATAACTAACTCTGGGCTTGGTTCAGGAGAGGAGGAGAATAAGGGGGCGGAAGCTATTAGTGGCAGCACTTCCCAGCCACCCCTTACTGGTCTCCTACTTGGTAATTTCTATCTTGCAAAAGCCCCTGGCTTGAACGAGCATTTTATTTGTGGTGGTGATTTTTCATATAATCTGATAAAGCGAGATTTCACTGTGGACGAATGTACTCGAAAATTGCCTACTAAATAAATTAACAGGTTATCTTATTGGGATAATAAACACACTCCTTTTCTATTTCCTCACACGAAGTCTAAGCTTTACATTTCAGCCCTCGGGGCTTTAGCATTATTATTTTTAATGACTGAACACAAGTCTTTCATTTAGCTTGTTTGTATAGTTACTGTAAATGATCTTTCTGCTGTTGGTACTTCATTTGAAATTCTGCATGTTATGCTAGCTTTAAAAGCTTTGAGGGGGCCTTGGAGAATTGGGAAGCTGTATTAAGCACAGCATCTTCTAGTGGCATTGGAAACGGGCTATGGCAGAAAAGTCAGAGAGGGTGTGTTAAGAAAGTACGCCTGCATGTATAAATCAAAGTCTGAGTTTGAGTGACGCGTACACAAACAGTGGTGGTTTCGGTGGCAGGTTGAGAACTCGCCATTGTAAAGTAAGAGAGCCATTCCCTTAGCTGGTGATTTCTCCTTGTGTGTTTCTGAGCACTTTTATTGCATTCACACATCTACTAGTTTTTGTACGAAGAGTGCCTCAGATCATTACACTGCGGCTGTATAAGAGACCTGGTTTGGAGGGATTTGAAGGACACATGGAATAGTGAATTCATGTCCAAAGAGGCACCGGGCTTTCTGAAGGAAGTATTCGTCTGAGCTTTTGATGATGGGGGCATGAGAGTTGGATATTTGTGAGTTTTCTAGTGAATGCTAGTGAACTCAGACCAGGGATTGCAGATTCAGATGTCTGTAGGCCATGGTAATCATGTATGTAGATAAAGCCAGAGAGGTGAGACACTGTTAAGTTCAAGGCAAAACACACGTGTGTGTGTATGCCAGAATCTGCATAGAGTAGAACAATGTTACAAGGTCACAGAGGCAATACCCAGATTGTCTTCTGGTCTCCTGGCCAGCGGACATTCACACTTTGTCTCAAGTGGGCAGCCAGGCAGCTGCTATCCAGCCTTGCGAGGAGGCAGGATCTATGTTAGTAGGTCTTCCACATTTTCAACAGAAGTGGAACATTCATATTGTATGTGTATGCTTCCGAAGTCTCACAGTGATTTAAATGTTAGCATGAATTCAAATATTTGTAACTGTTAGGCTAATCAAAACATGTGTGGAGCCTGGACATTGTGGGCAGGATTCTGCTATAGAATGAAAGTCCTGACTGCTTTGAATTAAAAACCTTCTCCATCTTCTCACACTTCTCAAGAATAGAAGGAATGACCCTGGCTGGGAGACCAGTACACAATCTGTGTATTGCCTCTGTGACCTTGTGACCTTGTAACATTGCATTATTCCATGTAGGTTCTTGCGCGTGAGTGTGTATGTGTGTACGTGTGTGTTGCCTTGAACTTGGCACTATTTCATCTTTCCTTTTATAAACAAAGTATATGAGAGTTTCCAAAAGTGAATGAGGTGTATATGGTGCTCATTGTCACCATAAAAAGGTGTCCACAAAAATGTTGGCAGTTTTGAATTTGATAAAGGGTTTAATTCTCAGAAAGGAAGGACTGGGACTTATTGCTAGTGAATCACCATTTCTCCTGTTACACCCTTGAGCTCCTGCTTTAGCTCCCATCTCCTCCATGGGGGAACCCAGCTGTTCTTTCACTGTAGAAGTGAAGCTTGAACAAAGATGTCATGTGGCCAGAATCATCTTTTAGTCTCACCACTCCACACTGATGGTCACATAGAGGTGTGAGTTGGGAAGTTGTTAAATACAAGAGGGTTTGAGCTTCTGGAGAAGAGGAAAATGTAAAAATATTTTTTCCTTTAAGAAAGATAAAAAGGTAAGCCTAAACCTTGGCGGCCACCGAAGTCAGCTGTTACGCATGTGTAGTTAAATTTCACTGTAAATATTTCATAAGGGTTCTTAGAATGGAGCCAGGTTGACATCACAGCCCCAACTGTACCAAAGGAACCATTTCATTAAAATAAGCCAACATTTCCAAAGAAACACGAATGTCTATGGCAGAGTTAACATAAGGTCAGAAAATCCTCTGGAAGAAATTTCGGTATCAATGTTTATAATCTCTGCATTTATGGATTTGCAGTTTGTGCAAAAAAAAAAAAAAAAACCCAGTGAGACTTTATTTTGGTTAAATAAGACTAGCTTGTGAAATAGTCTGTATATCCAGATCCATCCTAACCCAATGCCTTGGCAGCCTTTTGGATAAATAATGTCTTTTCCAAAATGTGTGTATTTGAAAAAGGAAGAGGAAAATTAAGTGGCAAACTGTGTCTCTGGGTTGCCATAAACGAACAGAATCCAGAAACAGAAAGCAAAGACTGACAGTTCATTCGTTCTTTAAACAAATTACATAGCTGTACGTTTATTTACTGATGCATGAAGGGTTGCAGTGAAGAGCAAAATGTTTACCCTAACTACTTTCATTTTCTTTTTTTGGGGGGGGAAAGTAAAGGTTTATTTAAACATTTTTTTTTTTTTGGTGTGTAACACAAAATCTATATGAGGTTTAGAGGCATTTGGCAGGAAAAAAAAAGATATTCACATTTGTAAAAAAAAAAAAAAAAAAAAAAAACTTAATCCATGCTCACAGATGGTCCTGTTCAGGTGCTATTTTAATTATGAGGTAAAAAAACAGCCCCACACAGTAGGAAGTCGTCTTAATAAATGGACTGGAGCTTTTGTCTTCAAGCGTCAAAAAGCCTCGTTACTGAGAAATTTAAATACTTTGTATTATAGGGGAGAGTCTCAAAATGACCAGGATACTTGGAGAAAGCAAAATGATGGATTCTTCTAAAGATCAAATGAGTATACGAGAAATGTTTTACAATTGTATAGCTTTGAGCTTCCTTAGTATTGGTCATTTTAGTGATATTTTTTCCAGTGATAAATGTCGTAGATATATTCATGCAGCCAGAGGAAAAATAAACAGAACAAATTACAAATACATTTAAAAAATTTTAATCCACGTGGAAGTATTTCTTTCCTGTTCTTAAGCGCAAAGGGCTGCTTTGCCCTTCATGTGAGAGAGTGCCCAGAAGAACTAATAGTAATTCAAATGATGCGGTAACTTACAGCTTGCATTAATAACACACAAATAGAACAGTCTTCTTACTAAATATTAGTAATATAATAATGTTTTACTGTCTTTCCCATAGTGGGGAATTATGAGGACCTCATGTTAGGACCTCAGTGTCCTGACATAGTTAATTATCCGTGGATAATGGCTTCAGCCACCAGAGTTCTCAGTGAGGCAGCTTTGTTGTTGAGGGCTTATTAAGTGTTTGCAGACTCAGGTGCGGTGCACCTAGGCTCTTTCCTACAGAAGCAAACAGCTGTGTTGGCTTTACCGTATTATACATCACATAAAGCATCTCATTTATTATAACGAAGCTAATGATGCTAGTGGAAACCTTTATGTCCCGTTCTATATAGTGATAATATATTTGCTGTAAAGTTGTTAGCTTGTTTTTCGTAAGTAATTAATCTTTTCTTATACCAAATGTATCACATGAAAATGGGTTAGCACAGGGTCAAAATACATTTAAACCAGTCTGCAGAGATTGGATAAGACCTTTGAATAGAGCATCACTTTTTTTCTTTCACAAGGACCTCACCCCGTCTCCAAGCTACCCCCCAACACAATGCTCACATTACTAGGAACTTAGGCTAATAACAGGGAACTGCTTTCAGTTTTTTAGTGCTGAGATAGGATTCAGACCTGAATGTGTACTAAGCCAAGTAAGCTTAGTGACAGTCATCCATGTTCAGTCCCTTAACAAGGCTGTGTATTGTCCATGTGGATAATTTTGGTGGTGGGTTTCTGTCTAATCTACAGTGACTTTGAGTTTGTGCCTAGGGAGACTCTAGTGAAATGTGCCAAGGCCTAGTTCAGAGAGTCCTGAAGTAGTGCGCTGTGCGTGGCACACAAGATGATTCTGTGAGACACTGATGAATACTTTTTATTTGAAAATTTATATGCTTTGCTTTTTGTGTATATAGGGAGACATTTGAAATTCACTCTCAGCAATTTTGAAATCATGCACTCTATTATTATTAACTGTGTTACACTGCTATGCAATATATCTCAAAAACTGATTCCTCCTGTCTAACTGAATATATTTTACGTTAGGTTAGAAAAGCATAATTAGAATATTGGATCCATGGTTTTCAACTAATATTATTGAGGACAAGACTCAAATCAATCTTGTTTTTTTTTTTAAGTTGATTTAAAGAAAAATGCTAGAAATGCAATAATGTGGGTGGTTCATGGATATGGCTAAAATCATGATAGTGGATCACATCATCAAAGTTTATAAAATGCTGGCCTTATAAACTGGAGGGGTGCAGAAACATATGTTTCAATCATAATTATGCTATTGATTATGAAGAAGATGCTGATCATCATCATCATCATAATAATAGCAGCTAACCTCCACTGAGTCTTTACTGTATGCCAGGTACTATTCTACGTGTTTTGCCCATATTCCTTACTTACTCCTCACACCAACCCAGTGAAGTAGTTTTGTTTTGTTTTCTTTCATTTTATAGTTAAGGTGACTAAGACCCAGAGAGGTTAGGGAATTTACTCAGGATAGCACAGGTTGTCAGTGGTCAAGCCAGGATTTGAGCCCAGGCAGTCAGCTTCTGGTGTCTTCTTCTTAATCTACTTCCTTTTGTGATAGATTAAGAAATATTATTCTCTCTCTGTTCTCTAAAGAAGAAAGGTGGAGAAGCAACATGGAAACATGCAACATAGCATATGATAATGCCATGATTATCCATGTTTTCTGAAGGGCTCTAACCTGTGCAGCTGACTGGACCCTGCTGAGCCTTTGGCTTCCTTATGTAGCATCCTGGATGTGTACTAGAGCAGATGACAAGGGTCAGTGGAGCAAAAAAAATCTTTGGCAACTTCCCATATTTTCGTACTTAGAAAAGTATCATAATTCTTTTCCCCAGTCACTTTAAATATATGCAAGCAGTATCTAATCTTGTGGGAAACTGAAAGTGAAACTCTCTAGCAAAGAGCATGGTTATATTCCAAGGCAGAAGAGACAGAGTTAACCTATGAAAATTAACCTTGACTGTCAACAAATGTGCTGAAATGGGTGGAAGAATACAGCCCACAAGACTGAGATGTGGGTGGGAATTGGATCTGCCAGGTCCCAGAGCTAGACCTAATGCACATGTTTGAAGTTCTTCTGTGACTCTCGATTAACCTTGATTTAAAGTTCCAGAAAAATGCTCAAGCAGGTGAGAATTCTCATACTGTCTTTCTCATTTGATATTTTTCTGAGCCAAAGTGCCTACTTTTTTTGAGCGGTATTTATGACTAGTTACATTGCACAAGGAAACTTGACTTGGGTGAGGTGTTAAGGTATGGAGAAATGGATAATTGGGAAACTTAGAAAACCCGTCCAATGAACGTTTCCAAGTCACCCTCCCCACGGGCCTAGAGTCATCATGAACAATTACTTGAGAATTGTGAAGGGCTCAAAGAGGAAAACTGCAGAACAAAATGGGTTGAAAGAATGTATACTTTTGTCATTTCGACTTGAAGCCAGGGGCTAAAACTCATGTCTTACACCATTGTAGTCTACAACCATTTAATTTGCTAACAAGACTTAACTGATCAGGATCTGCAACCTCCTTCTCCAGTATAATCAAAACAAGAAGCATTTGGCTCTGGAAAGTAAACGTTGTCTATCTTTTATTGTCTGGCCCCACCATTTTCTTTCTGGCAGGCTGAGATGAAACAGAAAGCTGATATTTGGAGCCACTGGAATTGTAGGCCTTGTAATTTAGAAATATCCATTTTATCCCGTGTAATTTCTTCCCTAAGATTCCTCAGTCTAAATCTGATACAGGTAGGAGCCAAGACAAACAGTAACCATTTATAGTCACCCAGACCAGTTTGAATTTCACTCTAATGTAAAGCAAAAAGAGTTTTTGGCTTCATTTCAGGTGTGTAACAGGGGTAGAAAATGCATTTAAAATTTAGCAGCAAATGTTACCATATGTTTCCATAACAACTGCAAACTTTTATGTTAGAAAAGCAATAATATAAACACGTAGGAATCTTGGAACAGCAAACTATTAATTTACCAAATATAAAAAAATCCAGCATGAAGGGGCTTTTATAGCCACAGAAGCCATGAGGGGCCCAGCATCCTGTGAATTTCTCCATTATGTGGCAGAAAATGCTGCTGGTTCATTTAAATGAGCAAATCTTTTAAAATTATAGGTACAGTGTCCATTCTCCACAGTGCATTTTTGTGAAACAATGTGTGGTGATGCCAGCTATGGCTGAATTCTTCTTACCATATTGAACTAGTAAAATACGCTTCGGAAGCTACTCCCAATGTATATCTGTAAAACAACAGCATTTTCTACCTTCACTTATAGCTTCAAACTTAATGACGAAGGCTAGGGTCCTGCAGAAAGTGTAGTGCCCAGTAGTTGGCCCTAATGCTTGGCAAGGAGTAGATGTTCATAGATTGTTGATAGATATGAACAAGGTTCTCAGTTTTCTCACCTACCCATTTTGAAATATAAAAAGACAAGGGGAAAAGGGGAAAGGTGGATCTATTTAAGCACATCTCGAGAATGAGGAGTTAGTAAGAGTTGTTGAAATCAAATTCTCTGTTCTCTGATTTCCCTGTGGAACAAAGAAATAATCTTCTTTTAACATGGCTACCTGTGGATGGGCCTTTCATTTAAAAGGAGGCAGAACTTTTTTTTTCCCTAGACCTACCTCAGAGGGTACATAGGGTTTTGAATCTTTACTACAATAAAACCAACAATGTTACCTTGTCATTTAAGGCAGATGGCGTACCTTGACTATTCCTGAAACTTGGGTTCATGATGTCACTATCATTAAACATATACCAATCAATGAAGGGTAAGTAAAGTCAAAGAGAAAAGAAGGTCAAAGGGAAGTGGCTGACATAAAACTTAGGTGCAGAACTCTGGGTGCACAGGGGATGCATTCAGGAAGGGTGCTGGTGTGGCTGCAGGGTAGAGAGAAGGGTGAAATCTTCAGAACTTTAGAAGGCAGAGTAAAGAGACGACGGTTTCAGCTGTGGCAGGGTTTTCACCTTGGCCCCTCTTTAGCTTTCACAGTAGAGCCCATGGGCTGTTGAGCCGGAAGTGGTGCAGCAGGGGCATTGGTTAGGAAGGCTCACGTCGTTAGTGGGCCAAAGGAGATGGACGCTAATGTTTAAGGAGCCTGAATGGATCTGAGAAAACGTGGCCAAGCAGAAGCAAGAGTGAGTGGCATGATTTAGAGTAGCAGAGATGGGACTGGCAAAAGAAGAGCTGCTTTGTGAAGACCTGATTCATTCCCAACTCTTTGGTGGACCTCTATTTTTAGAGCAGAAACCTAATTTCACCCAAGTTACCACCGTCTCTAATTAGACCAGTAAGAAAGTTTCTCCTGTTTCTGTCAGTGCTTGACCACTTCTGGAGTGTTTTATCCCATAAAGCATTCTTTAAGCATTAGTGCCATTGGAGTCTAGCATTGACCATATGGGTCCTTAATTTGTATCTGAGTATCCAGTTGCATGAAGATGGATGGTTAAGAAAAAAACCAAGAGCTATTCATTTATTCCACAAATATTTACTGAACACCTAACAGTGTCCCTGGAACTGGGTATACAAGAGTGAACAAAAAAACCACAGCCTGTTTCTTGTGCTGGTAGAGCTTACAGTCTAGTGGCAGGAGGCTGACTAAAAATAAGCAAGCAAGTAAAAAAGAGGATGTCAGATAATGACATGCACTATGGAGAAAGGCAACAGGTAGGCAATTGGGGAGGGGAATGGAACTTTTTAGGGAAGCCTCATTTAAGCTGAGATGAGGGGGAAGAGAAGGAACCAGTCAATATGACAGAGGGAGAAGTAAGTGAGATGGGATGAGAGAGGAAGGAGGGGTCACATTTTAGGGTTGGAGTAAAGACTTCATCATGGAGTTTGCTGACAGATGAAACATAAATCCAAATTCTATTTACAAAGTATACGGAAAGTTTCCACTGTGTGGCCAGTGCTGTGTTAGGTGCTGTGGAAAACACAGTTCCTCTAATCAAGGTTATAGTTTAGTTGTTGGGAAAGAGACATAATTGATTGTGAGATAAATGCCAAGTTAAATAACATTGACCATAAGTACATCATGAGCTCTTTGAAATAAGTAGTCAGTGTGAATTGGGGAAGTCTTTATGGAGAGAAAGAGGGCATCAAAATTGGAGCTCAAAACTATTGAGGCTGGGCGTGATGGCTCATGATTGTAATCCCAGGGCTTTGGAAGGCCAAGGTGGGAGGATTGCTTGAAGCCAGGAGTTCAAGACCGGTCTGGGCAACATAGCCAGATCCCATCTCTACAAAAAAATTTTTAAATAAAAATTGAAAAAAAAATCTATTTTGCACCTCCTATGTGTTGATGGTTTGTGTGTATCTTTAATTTTTTTCCTTGTAGTAATCATACAAAGGTGAGTGGTTTCATCCCCATGTTATAGATGATGAAACTGAATTCAGAGAAAGTTAAAGATAACTATTGACAAAACTTCAGCTCAAACCATTTAACATCTGAGAACCTAAAAATCACTGACCACTAACTAAAAATATGACGGGCTTTGAGCATCCCTGTGATATTTCTCTCCCTGTCTCTTTCTCTGTTTTGCCGTTGATATGCTAAATGTCAGAACCAAGAGGATCTGTGTGCTTGTTTTTAGGGCTGTGGGGAGGAAAGAGTGCTCTGGGGAGTGGATGGTCTATTATGAAGCCTGTCTTTGGGAGAAAATTCTCCAAATCGAGCAGGTAGTGGCAGCTACTAAGTGATGA